>NC_000008.11:8885051-9189533 GCF_000001405.40 Homo sapiens | reverse complement strand
ACTGAGGGCCATAAAGCAGAATCCAGGACAGGAGTGGAAGTTTATTTAAAAAGCCTTTGGAACACGAAAGAGCGGGGCGCGGTGGCTCAAGCCTGTAATCCCAGCACTTTGGGAGGCCAAGGCGGGAGGATGACGAGGTCAGGAAATCGAGACCATCCTGGCTAACACGGTGGAACCCCGTCTCTACTAAAAAAAAAAATACAAAAAAATTAGCCGGGCGTGGTGGCGGGCGCCTGTAGCCCCAGCTACTCAGGAGGCTGAAGCAGGAGAATGGCGTGAACCCGGGAGGCGGAGCTTGCAGTGAGCCGACATCACGCCACTGCACTCCAGCCTGGGCGACAGAGCAAGACTCCGTCTCAAAAAAAAAAAAGAACAGGAAAGAAAGGAAAATTCGCTTGGAAGATACCCAAGCCGTCGCCTGAAGGTCCAAGAGAGAAGAGAGCAAAAAAGGGCCTTTAACCTTGATCCTAAAACTTTACAGGCTCACCTCTTTCCCATGATTCTTCCCTCAGCGTGGGTTTCCCGCATGCGCAATGCTTTCCTTAGCCTTTGGAATTGAGCACGCGCAGTGCGTTTAGGGAGTTACACGCATGCCCACCTGAGACTTTTTCCTTTTTCCTGTGGCGTGTACCCCGGAAAGTCATACTTTGCCATTTTATCTCTTAACACACATGCCCAAGAATCTGCTTCTCCCTGGGATCTGTATTCAGTTAACACTTTTAATGTCAAGGTTATGGACCATCAGGAGATTGTCTCTCCCTGGCTGCTGAATTATGATTTTTAGAGAGGCAATGCGATAACTGTGGAACTGTCATCCGACATTTCTAGTGCGTCGGGGGAGAGCCCACTCTTGCCTATCTACCTGTAACAAAACTAGGTTTTGGAGACAAAGAAACTTGTTCAAGATCACACAGCTAGCTATGAGCACAACTGTTCACGGCAGAACTTGCTGGACCTTCTTAATAGTAGAGCGTCAAAGCTCTGAAATTCCGCCATTTGAACTCTATGTTCCAGTCCAACAAGACTGTTGCATCCCCCCCACCCCCACTTCCGCCACCACACCATTCAGAAGAGTCTCCCCCCATCTCACCATGGCTGCTCAGCCTTTATTCACCGTTCAATTTCAGCTCAAAGCCTTCCCCCTCTGTAAATATCCTCCTTGGTATTCCCATTGTTTCTTTCTCTTCCCTGTAACAGAACTTAGCTCCCAGCACTGGGAGTGCCTGATTATTTGTAATGTCCCTCCAGAAGACTCTACCCTCTTCGGAAGGCACAGATCTTACCTATGCTGCTCCCCTTTGCACCCATGGTACGTGGCACCGGGTCTGATGCAGAGCAAATGCTCAAAACTATTTCTGGAATGAATGAGTCATCTAACTCCTCCATTTACTGTTGAGGAAGTGAACATTCAGAAAGGCTGTGTTGATTGCCCAATGCCACACAGGAAGCAGGAGCACAGGTATAATAAGTCAAAAGCCAGGTCTCGGACTGGGAGTGGTGGTTCACACTTACAGTCTCAGCACTTTGGGAAGCTAAGGGAGGAGGCTTGCTTGAGCCCAGGAGTTTGAGACCACCCTGGGTAACATAGTGAGACCTCGTGTCTACAAAAAAATTAAAATAGCTGGATGTGGTGGCGTGCACATGTGGCCCCAGACACTCCAGAGGCTGAATCAGGAGGATCCCTTAAGCTCAGGAGAGTGAGGCTACAGTGAGCCGTGATCACGCCATTGCACTTCAGCCAGATCTCCTACTTCCTAGAGAGAGCTCTTTCTACTTTGCCAACGTCACTCTCAGCTAGAATGTTCCAGTTCTGTTCTCTACCATCTCCATCCTCTCATCCTTACAGCCCCAGCTCCTGTTTCCTCCTCACTCACACTGACTTCAGCAGACCCACTGAAGGTCAAAAGCATTCGTTACGCAATTTACCACCTAACACCTTGTGTTCAAAATTCCACTGTTGTTTCCAATCGCCTTTTACATCTTGCCCAACCATGTTTAATGCTCTCCAGTATCCTCAGCAGCACCCACACTTTGCTTGGTAGCCTGTAGCAGGGGCTCAGGTCAATGTTAATTTGATTTTGCAGTGCCACACAGAGCACAGGTGACCCTTGCTTTTTCATAGGGTATTAACAGTGAAACAATAAACGATAGTCCACACCCCAAGATAGCCAGAGAAGACCAAAGAGATTCTCATTCCCCATTCATGTCACAATTCTAACAATGCCAAAACTTAATACCCAGCAATCTTATTCCTAGTGGGCCAATGTTTCCTGATGCCTGTCTCCTCCCCCACTGTATATATTGATTCAATGAAAGGCCCCAGCTACCTCCATTATTCATGCTCCTCACTTTCCCTGCCTGTTAGCTATTCTCCAAATCGAGCTATTCAAACCAATTCATCAGATTACCTCCGGAAACATTACAGGCTGGTCAAGGGATGAGAGCAAATAACAAACACTAAGATTGCAAAGCCATTCTTGAACAGTGTGCTAAAGGCAGAAAATTGAACATAGAGGAGAGACAGCAAGAGCTTCAAGGAAGCCATTGAAATGTCCTCAGATGCCAACAGACAGGAAAATGTGGCAGAGAGGAAAGTCACTGGGGCGTACAACCCACCAAACCATCACTCTGATTTGAAGTCAAGAAAAATAAGGGGAAAGTACAGTCTACTAGATTTACATGGTTCCCCAAAGGAGAGCATATTAAAATATATTATTAAACCATTTTTAAAATCTGGTTTCAGGAGAAAAACCTTGGCCCAGTGTTATTCCTCATTTACACAGTAAATACATTCATTCATCATTCATCCTCCCCATCTCTTCGAATTCTATGAAGTGCTGCCTACTTCATCTCAAAATATCTATGCTTGCAGAAGAATGTGCAGTTTAAGCACAAAAGCTGTAAAATGCCACAAGAGTAATATCAAAAATCAGCTTAAGAACTTAACGCAATAAGACAAAAGACCAATAAATCTCAAGTATGAGTGTGTGCATATTTTAATAAAAGAATTCCTGAGTACAGCATTACAGTTGGGCTTGCCACATAGAAGATATTTTCCAGTATCCTATGTTCATAATTGCAATAAAAGGTCTTATTGTAAATGCTATGGTCAGGAATTTGAGGGGGGTTGGGGGGCACATCTTAGGTTAAGGAGTTTTATTAAGGAAGGTAACCTGTAGTTGCCCAGGAAAATTGATCATTGATTTTCCTGCTCAAATCGTGAATTTGAAGTTAGGCAGTCGAGTCTTACCTTTTTACATCATTTTTCTTTTCTTTTTTTGTTTTATTTTTGAGATAGCGTCTCACTCTGTCACCCAGGCTGAAGTGCAGTGGTACGATTAGAGCCCACTGCAGCCTCCAGCTTCTGGGCTCAAGTGATCCTCCTGCCTCAGTCACCTGAATACCTGAGACTATAGGTATGCACCACCATGCCCAGCTGATTTTTAAAATTTTTGTACAGGTGGGGTTTTACTATATTACTAAGGCTAGTCTCAAACTCCTGGCCTCAAGTGATCCTCCCACCTAGACCTCCCAAACTGCTGGAATTATAGGTGTAAGCCTCCACATCCAGCCCTTTATAATACTTTTTAGGGAATTTTGGCTTTTAAAAATGGTTATTGCATAGAAAGATCCTCTCTTCTTTTATTTCTCTGCTCCCTACTCCCCTTTTAAACTTGAAAAAAAAAAAACAAAGTATTTACGTTGATATTCATTCACACACTTGTCTAAGTCCTTAGGGATATTCAGATGAACCTTCTGGTGTTAGGGAAAATAACACTTTCTTCCAAGCCTTTCCTTGAAAAACACAAATTTCCATTCCACATTGCAGCAGGTGATGAGACAAGATGGTGGCACCTTAGCTCATGTAGGCAATGGAGATGAGAGACTATCATTGGTCTGACGTGGCTGAAAGGCTGCCTGACAGCAGGACCTTGGGTCAGATGGCTCTCCAGTGACCTGACTCTGCTGTCCTGCATCCCCAAGTGGAGGGGACAGAATTAGAGCAAAAGCTATTTACAGACAAACACTACTGTAATGTCCTATCAGATGACTTTCATGCGCGTCCGTGTGAAGAAACCACCAAACAGGCTTTGTGTGAGCAATGAAAGCTTTTAATCACTTGGGTGCAGGCGGGCTGAGTCTGAAAAGAGAGTCAGCAAAGGCTGGTGGATTATCATTAGTTCTTATAGGTTTTGGACTAGGCGGTGAAGTTAAGAGCAATGTTTTGCAGGCAGGGGTGGATCTCACAAAGTACATTCTCAAGGGTGGAGAGAATTACAAAGAACCTTCTTAAGGGTGGGGGAGATTACAAAGTACATTGATCAGTTAGGGTGGGGCAGAAACAAATCACAATGGTGGAATGTCATCAGTTAAGGCTATTTTTTACTTCTTTTGTGGATCTTCAGTTACTTCAGGCCATCTGGATGTATACGTGCAAGTCACAGGGGATGCGATGGCTTGGCTTGTGCTCAGAGGCCTGACAATGACAACATTGTCCACGAATAGAGGGAGAGACAAAATAAACAAAGGATTTTCTGCCACTCCTGAAATCGTAAGTCAATGATCTGCACATTAGTATAAGATCTGGATGAGATATTTAATCCCCACTTTCTGTGATTAGAAACATACCCATACACACATACGCATCCCCTTAACTCTTAAAACAATAGAACCATGCTTAGAATGCCACCTTCTATCCCTAGAAAGTCTAGGCAAGAACAACCGAGCCAGTGTAGGCACACAGGAAAAAGCCTTTGAAAGGAAGTCACACCATCAAAAGCCTTCATAGACCCATTGGATAGCACTAAAGGCAGCAAGTTTTGTTTGTTTGTTTTGTTTTGTGTTTTTGTTTGTTTGTTTTGAGACAGAGTTTTACTCTTGTTGCCCAGGCTGGAGTGCATTGGCACGATCTCGGCTCACTGCAACCTGTGCCTCCCGGGTTCAAGCACTTCTCCTGCTTCAGCCTCCCCAGTAGCTGGGATTACAGGCGCCTGCCACTGTCAGGCCTCTGAGCCCAAGCTAAGCCATCATGTCCCCTGTGACCTGCACGTATACATCCAGATGGCCTGAAGTAACTGAAGAATTACAAAAGAAGTGAAAATGGCCTGTTCCTGCCTTAATTGATGACATTCCACCACAAAAGAAGTGAAAATGGCTGGTCCCTGCCTTAACTGATGACACTACCTTGTGAAATTCCTTCTCCCGGCTCATCCTGGCTCAAAGGCTCCCCCACTGAGCACCTTGTGACCCCCACCCCTGCCAACCAGAGAACAACACCCTTTGACTGTAATTTTCCTTTACCTACCCAAATCCTATAAAACGGCCCCACCCCTATCTCCCTTCGCTGCCTCTCTTTTCAGACTCAGCCCGCCTGCACCCAGGTGAAATAAACAGCCTCGTTGCTCACACAAAGCCTGTTTGGTGGTCTCTTCCCACGGACGTGAGTGAAAGCCACCATGCCCAGCTAATTTTTTGTATTTTTAGTAGAGACAGGGTTTCATCATCTTGGTCAGGCTGATCTCAAACTCCTGACCTCAGGTGATCCGCCCACCTTGGCCTCCCAAAGTGCTGGGATTACAGGCGTGAGCCACCGTACCTGGCCAGGCAGAAAGTTTAAAATTGGATTTTAATGCTATTTAGGAAATGAAGAGTAAGGTGTGTAAAATGAAAATAAATCTTGGGACCCCAGAATCACTAGGCGAAGGGAAAAGTCATGTTGGGAACTATGGCAGGCAAACCTGCCTCCTATTTTACTCCTAAATAAGACTGCTAGAAAGATAAAAAGCTGCATGCCTCCCTCACAGTTTGCCCACAAAGGACAAAGGACAGACAGAACTCAAAGTGATTTCTCTGAGGCCTGCCTGAGGCAAATGCATATCTGATAGCTTCCTCTGCCCTATTGTTTTTGTAAAAATGCAGATTCACTGAACCAGACTACGTTGTGTATTCAGTAGAGGGTTGATCAAGAACTCAAAAGAATGCAATCTCTTGTCTCTTATCTACCTATGACCTGCAAACTCCCTGCTTCAAGTTGTCCCACCTCACTGGATTGAACCAATGTACATCTTACACATATTGATTGATGTTTCACGTCTCCCTACAATGTATAAAAAAAACTGTGCCCCAACCACCTTGGGCACATGTCATCAGAACCTCCGAGGCTGTGTCACAGGTACGTCCTTAACATTGGCCAAAAAATCTTTCTAAATTGACTGATACCTATCTCAGATATTTGGAGTTCACAGGTGCAGTGCCCCCACAGAGTCACTCTGGGCCACAGGAAAGATCTGAGTGGCAGGTTTGTAATAAATAATATTCATTTTCTTTCTTAGATTTCAAAGTGCATCATCACTGTGTGTGCGTGGCTGAGAAACAACGCAGCGCTGTCTACCAATTCCCTCTGGGCTCATAAGCAAGTGCTTGTTTACAGGAAAAGAAAAAGTGGCTCTTTAGCGACTTATATTGATGAAATGAGCCATACTAAGTGTATCATTGATCAATTTCCTGACAGCTCCAAATCAAAAGGTCAGAACCAAAGAGAGAAGGAAGCTGGCTGGGGAAAAGCCAAGCAGAACTGACCCAGGTGCTAAGCGCGAAGTCATTATCTCTCTGGATTCCCTACAGTGAGGAAACAGAATCCCATTTGTCACCTCCTGGCACTTATTTCTGGACTCATAGATGTTTGTCACCAAAAGGATGCTGAACAGTCTCTAGTCCCTCTGTATCATTTTGTTAAGGAGGAAGCTGAGCTCCAAGTAGAATTTGGGATTTCTATGAATTTCTCATAGTCTTAACAGGCAACGACTAAGTGACAGAGCCCAGGGGTCCTGGGTTTCAGCATGTGCCGTGCATAGCAACAGGGAGAGCAGAGGTGTCAGGGGAGAGAAATGAGCCCCAGTCTCATCATGTGGCAGTAATTGGGGATGCACCTTTTCTTATATTAATAGAGATGAACAAACACTGCTCCAGCACATTCACATTTGAATCTTCCTGAAAACCGTGCTTTCCCATTTTGCAGATGCAGAAACTGAGGCTCCAAGAGCAGAAGTGACACCGAAGTCACCTAGCCCGTAAGTGACCCTAAATTTTATGCTGCTGCTTCCCTTTTCTTGTGTGTCCCTTATTTCAAGAAATAGACCCAAGGTGCAGGTCCATTTCCTACCTAGACATGCAAACCTGACAGAGACAAAAAAAAAAAAAAAAAAGAAAGAAAACCAACAGAAAGCACTTTATATCTATTCTTGACCAGCCATAGTGAGGCTGGCCCATCACACACACACACACACACATTCACTTAACTGTTAAAACAATTTAACAATATTTAGAATGCTTGTCGTACAACAATTTCCTAAATGAAGGTCAATACTTACTATAGTATAAATTGAAGTGAAATTCTTCAAGGAACGACATGATTCCATTCTGATTCAAAGACTATTGCTACTGCCACATGTTTCTTTAACCTTTAAGAATGTCTTATTTTTTTGTTTTGTTTTGTTTTGTTTGAGACCGAGTTTTGCTCTTGTTGCCCAGGCTGGAGTGCAATGGTGCAATCTCGGCTCACCGCAACCTCTGCCTCCCAGGTTCAAGCGATGCTCTTGCCTCAGCCTCCCTAGTAGCTGGGATTACAGGCATGTGCCACCATGCCCGGCTAATTTTGTATTTTTAGTAGAGATGGGGTTTCTCCACGTTGGTCAGGCTGGTCTCGAATTCCCGACCTCAGGTGATCAACCCACCTCAACCTCCCAAAGTGCTGGGATTAGAGGCATGAGCCACTGCGCACGGCCAGGAATGTCTTAAACTCACATTCTTTGGTAGAAGAAAAGATTAAGCTGCTATCATTCCTGCATTCCACTGGCAAGTGTCCATACTTTAACCTTTCTTTTCAAGTTATGGCTCATCTCAACTTCCCTGGCTTTTCCTGTTGGAAATGAAAGTCTGACTCTAGGCAAGCTAGAAGCACTGGTGTGTAGCACATTTGCAGCCTCTTTGCTCCAAGCGGAGAATTAAAACTGTCAGATGCAGCCCCTGTGAGGCCAGTTCCCGGACGCTGGCCAGGACAGCAGCAGTAATTATGAACCAGGGCGCCTGGTCTCAAAGTTGTGCTCAGAGCAGATTTATATCATGTAAATGATTGTTCTAATAAAGAGATTGGTACATTAGCCAAAACTCAAGGACATGCAAAATGTATTAGGCAATTTATAGTCCAACAAGTTTCCTGTGGCGAAGGCAGTAGAGAAACATTCCCAAAATGAATGTCATTTTAATTCTTAATCTAAAAAGAATTATAACCACAGCTGGTTTTCCCCACTAAAATTAATTCTGCATTATCATCTATAATGGAGCAGGACACTAGAAATCTGTGATGACCTTCTGTCCCTGTTGACATCAAGAGTTCAGCACCTGCTCAACACTGCAATCACACCTCTCAAATGTACAAAAGTTGCATTAATTCCTTGGAATTATATAAGCCTAGGGATCTGGCATCATCATTTAGACTCCTTCAGTATATGTTCGATCTATAATAATTGCCACGGTTAAAAAGAATCTTCAATGCTTGTATATTTTTAACTGCATTTAAAATAAAAAGGAAATGGAAAAATATTTTATTACCTGCAGAAACATGATTCCAAGTAACTGCAGTGTTATTAAAAATGGTGCAATAAAATTCATAGTAAAAAAACATAATTACCAAAAGAAAAAAAATTGGGCATGGTGGTGTGTGAGTCTGCCATCCCAGCTACTTGGTAGGCTGAAGCAGGAGGATTCCTTGAGTCTAGGAGTTCAAGCTGTAGTGTGCTATGATCATACCAGTGAATAGCAACTACTGCAGCCTGGGCAACATAGCAAGACCCTGTCTCTATAAAAAAAAATTAATTACAGTAATATAAACATTCAAGTTTTTTAATTTAAAAAAAGAGGCACAGAAGTTAATACAGGTGATAGTGGCTTCTGCTGGTAGAAATTACCAATAGTAGATGATACTCAAGAGCTTTTTGTGTTCTACTCTGCAGAGAATTGTCTATCATCAAGGCTGCTACTGGCCTCTCTAGGAGCTTTTGTGTCCACAGAAAAAGATGTTCCTCTGGCCTGCCACAGCCTGCGGAAATGTTTGCCCTAGGTGGCAGAGTGCCAGCTGAGTGTCAGCCCACAGATGAAGGAGCCTTCAACTTAGGCCAGAACTTTGTGCAGAATGCAAAATATGCACCCCTCTGCTGGCCCTGTCTGTAGAAGTAAAGAAGTTAAGAAACAGATCAATAAATGATGGTCTATTCACATGATGAAATACTAGGAAGTCATCAAAATTATGTTTTAAAGAATATTTAATAGCCAGGCGTGGTGGCGGGCACCTGTAATCCCAGCTACTCAGGAGGCTGAGGCAGAGAATTGCTTGAACCCAGGAGGTGGAGGTTGCAGTGAGCCGAGATCGCGCCACTGCGCTCCAGCCTGGGTGACAGAGCAAGACTCCATCTCAAAAAAAAAAAAAAAAAAAAGAATATTTAAATATTTAAATCATTTAACTAATGATTTTGCTATTGATACACGTCTGCATTTGAAAAATTTTCTTCAATGGGCAGGAATTATTCCTATAATAAAATAAATTATATATAATTTTTAAAATCTATGATTCTATCTGCTTTTCAGTCAAGGAAGTAATACCACCTTGTTACTTATGTTAAGCCATATTCTTTCCACTTAAGGACACGTGGGGATGTTAAAGCCATAAGAAAGCAATTGATTATTTCTCCAAGGCCGTGATCTCCTTAAGGATGTGCAAGTAACATATGGTGGTTTAAAAAGAAAAAAATTGCAGCTTAAAGTAGGAGGTAAGGGTTTGAATTCTACTTCCAGTAGCCATTAGGATATGACCTTGGAAAACTACTTAATGTCTTTGATTCTGTTTCACCTTTTATACAATGGGGTTAATCTGCCTATCTTAAAGACTGCACTGAGCATAAAATGAACTCATGGAACCATAGCATAGGAACTGGCACTTAATAGGTACATAATAATTGCAGTCTTATTACAATGATCTTGTATACGTCACACATCCCCTAGCCCACTGCCTTGCACATATTAGGGGCAGAATAAATGATATGATCAATGGCTTGCGTTACACTTTGAGGAAGTCTGGCAGTTTCAGGAAATCTAAAATGTTATATAGCTGGGTAAGCCCTACAGAAGTGGCCTTATTAGAACAGACCCTAGGTTGTGTTAGTGAGCACAGAGCCTCTCTCACAGATCATTTCTCTACTACCTGTGTGTTTGGGCACTTGTTACGTGTGCTGATATATGGTTTCAACCTCCTGGGGCTCTTCGCCTTTCATGGGTGAACCTTTAAAGCACGGTTCTCTCTATGTGGGAAAGGAAACTCAGAGCTTATGAACGAACCTGGACTTGAAGCCTTATAGCAATCTCCAAGGCCAGCACTTATACTAACCGAATTAATACGAGAGGGACCTCCACTGGAAACTCAACTGAATAGGCAGATTTAACAGGGGAAGGACCTTTGTAGTGGTGCCAGGAGGGTATAAAATATTGGGCCTGCCTCTCCCTCAGAACGCAGAATTAGAGGATGTGTATCATGTGGTCAGGAAGCGCAGACAGCAAGACTTAGGAAAAGCTAGGTAAGCTGTTCAGGGCCATAAAATGGCTTTTGTAGCTCAAGAAATTCCAGGGCTAGTATTTAAATTATTTCTTTTTTTTTTTTTTTTTTTAAGATGGAGTCTGGCTCTGTCACCCAGGCTGGAGTGCAGTGGGGCAATCTCGGCTCACTGCAAGCTCTGCCTCCCGGTTCGCGCCATTCTCCTGCCTCAGCCTCCCGAGTAGCTGGGACTACAGGCGCCCGTCACCACGCCCGGCTAATTTCTTGTATTTTTAGTAGAGACGGGGTTTCACCATTCAAAGGATGGTCTTGATCTGACCTTGTGATCTGCCTGCCTTAGCCTCCCAAAGTGCTGGGATTACAGGCGTGAGCCACCGTGCCTGGCCTTAAATTATTTCTGTGCTTCTACTTAGATAGGTAGACTCAGACATTTTACCGTAGAATCCTAGCAATTTTTATATCATTCCTGTGTTCTCTCTTTTCCAGTCATTTTTGCTTATGTTCATTTTTGCTTATCTTTGTTTTTTAAAATATCAGCTTATCTGAAAAAGAGTGATTAGCATTACCGGCCATGAGCAGAGCTATTCCCCCAGACCATCCTGACATCCTTTCTCATGGAGTAAATTATAGATAAGGAGGCCACTTCCCCCAGGAAAGGGATGTGTCAGGACAGGCAGGGTTAGGTTCACTGTAAACCTAATGAAGTCAAGTGAGGCCAGGCACGGTGGCTCACGCCTGTAATCCCAACAGTTTGGGAGGCCAAGGTGGGAGGGTCACCTGAGGTCAAGGGTTCGAGACCAGCCTGGCCAACATGGCTGAACCCCGACTCTACTAAAAATACAAAAATTAGCTGGGCATGGAGACAGGCATCTGTAATCCCAGCTACTTGGGAGGCTGAGGCAGGAGAATCGCTTGAACCTGGGAGGCAGAGATTGCAGTGAACCAAGATCGCACCACTGCACTCCAGCCTGGGCGACAGAGGGAGACTCTGTCTCAAAAAAATAAATTAAAAAATAAAGTGAAAGGGCCTCTCACTTACCTGCAACCCTCCCTTTACAAAATTCTGTATGATGAATGTATTTGCTTTCCTGCACATAAGGATCCCAAACTTCATAAACTCCAAGCCCCACAGCTCTGGATCTACCACTGGTGACCCAGCAAATCAAATGACAGCGACAAAGGACAGACTGGCGGAGGCTTTGGGGTCTGTCCCCTCGAGGGGGTCTGGTTTCTGCTGGAAAGTTTTGGCATTGCTTTAAGGGTTTCGAGCTGTTCCTGTACAAACCCCAACACAGCGAGAGGTTATTACTGGATTTGTATGATTTTATCTATTGATGATTGATATCTGAACAAAGCAAAAAACGTTTCTTTGGTGTCGGGTGCAACACTGATTCAGGCCATCCTCAAGATAACATGAAGCAGGACTGGAGTCTCAAATAACAACCTCTCCCTAAGCAGCACTGAAGAAGCCTAAAAAAGGAAAACAAGAAAAGGAAGGCAGTGCCTCCAGGAGCCCAGCGCTCTTTGATTATAACCCACTGAAGCCACCTGCGTCCTTAAGAGGAGCGGGTGCTCAGGTGGACAGCTGACTCTTTAGAAACTGGGCCTCGTGGGTGGCACGGGACACTCCGTTGCTGGCGTATCATTTGCTCTTCCCCACATGGGCAATACTGTGGTGGGTCTGTATGGTGGGGAATGAGGGAAGGGCTGGTAAATATCTTAGAATAACAAACAAACAAAACCCTGTACGGGATTTCTCAAAACACTAAGCCTTTGTTTTCATTGATTCATTGATTGATTGATTGATTTTTTTTTTTTTCTCTAGAGAGAGAGTCTTGCTCTGTCACCCAGGATGGAGTGCAGTGGTGTAATCTCAGTTCACTGCAGCCTTCAACTCCTGGGCTCAGGGGCACTGATTTATTAACATGCTCTTGGCTTTGGAATATTCTGAGAAACTCTTAGCTCTGCCTTTTACCATTCTAGCTGTAGCATTAAGAAGAGGGTCTTATCGAAGAAAAAAAAAGCAGACTAAAGGGTAAAGTTGGTTTTTGTTTTTTAGAGATGGGGTCTTGCTTTGTTGCTACAAGTATATGCCACCATGCCTGGCTAATTTTTTTTTTTTTTTTTTTTTTGTGGAGACAGGATCTTGCTATGTTGCCCAGGCTGGGCTAAAAGTTTTCATATTCAATAGTATTACAACTAAATATTTTTTGTACCCAAGAAGAAAATACATTAAAACACTAACAATAGTGGTATTAGAAGGTGGGTTTTTAATTTTCTAAATGTTCTTCAGTATGCATGTATGACTTTATAACATAAAAGGGACATCATATACTTGGAAGGGGTGCATTTTATTAGTGATTTTGTCCCCAGCACTTAGCCTACTGGAAAGCAACCAATACATACTGTTTGAAATGAATAATCCATATGTAAATGAGTTATTGGCCTTCTTAACAGCACTTAGTGGAATCCACTGAAGTTGCAAGACCAGCCTGGATAAAAGACAGCTGCAGCTCTCCTCACACTATTTTAATTAACCTTTCCTCCATCTAATTATTTTTGTGACCAGGGGGTCCAGTAAAAAGGTAAAAACCTGCAGACTATACCATGATGCCGCTTTAAGTGACAATAACAAAATTCACGGTTTTCTAAAACTGCTAGGGTATTTTGAATGACCCTGGTTCTTATGCTAAGTTGATGTTTAATTCTTCAGCTTTAAAAACATTATTATTAATCATTTGCACAACAGAAAAATATGCCTCTTGTTTCAACCAGATAGGTCAGTCAGTAATCAACTTAAGCCAAGTCAGTGACATTAAAATTCTGTTTTAATTCCGACCACCTGAGGGTCCTCTCCATGAGATGCTTTGGCCTGGTCAAACTTGTGTAGTTATGTTAAATACTGGATCCTGCGAAGAGAGGGAAACACCTGTCTTGGGGTGGGAGGGTGGAGACAAGCTGGCACGAGGCTTATTCAGTTTTCCTTATCTTGCTAAGATCAATGGAGGTCACCACCCTGGTGATGTGGAGCCCATGCCAACCTCCACTGCTTTTTTTTTTTTTTTTTTTTGAGGTGGAGTGTCCCTCCGTCGCCCAGGCTGGTGTGCAGTGGCACGATCTTGGTTCATTGCAACCTCCACCACCTGGGTTCAAGCGATTCTCCTGCCTCAGCCTCCCGAGTAGCTGGGATTACAGGCATCTGCCGCTGAGGCCGGCTAATTTTTGTATTTTTGGTAGAGATGGGGTTTTGCCATGTTGCCCAGGGTGGACTCGAACTCCTGAGCTCAGGCAATCTGCTGGCCTCGGCCTCCCAAAACGCTGGGATTACAGGTGTGAGCCACTGTGCCCGACCCTCTCAAGCTCTTTTTAATCTGTTTGCCTCCTCTTGTTCTGTTAGTCCTCTCCTCACACCTTTCTCCCTCCCAGCGGCTCCTCTGCCTTGAGTTGGTTTCTCTCTGCTTCTGCCTTAGGCCTGGTGCTTATGGTTGGTGTGTGGCCCCTGTAGTTCCCTGCAAGCCACACACCAAAAATCTACAGTCCAGGTGAAGAGCCATGCAGTTGAAAACATCTCTATGGTAAATTCGGGGACTTGGCTGGATCTTGTTTATTCTGATCAAACCACAGAATGCCTAAAGCAGCTCCTGGTTTTGATCGGAGGCACTTGCAGCCAACAGGTTGCCTAAGCAAAGCCAGCCAGTTTATGGCAGCATTGACTGGGAGCCCAGTGGGAGCCCTAGGGAGCTGGTTCCTTCTGTACCAAGTAATGAGCAACTGACATCATCCATGGGTGACTCTGGAAAATCTCAGGCTCTCTCTGGTGGTTTAGCAACTGCTCAGGTCCCTCAAGGTGATGTTTAATAGCTTTTTTCAGCAACAGGGGCCGTCTGCCATAGATACGGAAAGGCACTATTTATTAGGATGCTTGTTAAATGAAGTGCTGATAATCAAGAACTCATAGTAGGACAAAGCTGACTGTATTTTCTAAAACACTCATAAAATATCCAGAACCTCATGCTGTTGCAAAATCCTGCAGTTCTCCGATCAACAGATGGAGTCTTGGCCGGGTTGAGGCTCACGCCTGTAATCTCAGCACTTTGGGAGGCCAAGATGGGAGGATTGCTTCAGGCCAGGAGTTTGAGACCAGCCTAGGCAACTTAGGGAAACCCCATCTCTACAAAAAATTTAAAAATTAGTCGAGCATGGTGGTGCACACCTATACTCCCAACTACTCAGGAGGCTGAGGAGGCAGGATTGCTTGGGCCTGGGAGGTCAAGGTTGCAGTGAGCCATGATCAGACCACTGCACTCCAGCCTAGGAAACAGAGTGAAATCCTGTCTTTAAAAAAAAAAAAGAAAAGAAAAGAAAAAGAAAAAAGAGTTGGAGTCTACATCCTCTCGCCTTTATCTGGGCAGGCCTTTGCGACCTCTGAGGGTGGGTCAGAAAAGGCTGAGGGTTCTCTCTCACGTCCTCTCTCCCTCTTTCTTTCTCCATGTGCCTCTGGAGCTCTAAGCTGCCACAGAAGAAGCCATACTACTCTCACATGCAGCGACAGAGAGACAGAGAGAGATGTTAGACATGTGAGAGAGTGAGTCTTAATGTGATTCCAGTCCCAGTTGCTGTCTGACTGCAGCTGCATGAGAAACCCCAGTAAGGGCTGGAGGTGAGAACAAGGCACACACATTGTGGCTTGTGGAGAAGGGGATGATGGGCTGGGGTGAAAGTTGTCTTCACAGAGGAGTTACAACTTGAATTGGGTCTTGAGAGATGAATAAGAGCCCACCAGAAAAACAAAGGAAGAGGCTCTCTGGGTAGACATAGCAGCCTATGAGGCTACATATGAGGGGTGCAACAGCCACCAGAAGATGCAAGGTTTCCTGGGGTTGGAAATAAAGGACTTCATCTGCAGAGTTAGGAAGAGACATCAGCAAAAGGAAGCACCACGTGATATTCTTTTTTTTTTTTTTGAGAGATAGAGTCTTGCTCTGTCACCCAGGCTGGAGTGCAATGACATGATCATAGCCCACTGCAGCCTCAAATTCCTGGGCTCAAATGATCCTCTCACCTCAGCCTCCAGAATAGTTAGGACCACAAGTATCCACCAGCATACCTGGATAATTTTTTTTTTTTAATATTTTAGTCGAGACGGGGGGTCTCACTTTGTTTCCCAGGCTGGTCTCGAACTCCTGGGCTCAAGCAATCCTCTCATCTTAGCCTCCCAAGATGCCGGGATTACAGACGTGAGCCACCACGCCCTGCCAAAATCTGATTTTCATTTGAGAAAGCTCATCCTGACTGCAGAGGAAAGGGCGAGGTCGGAGTGGGGGGTGGCAGAAATATAGGCAATGCTGTGGAAATAGTCCAGGTGAGAGAGGATAAAAGTACCAAATTAAGGCCGGGTGCGGTGGCTCAGGCCTGTAATCCCAGCACTTTGGGAGGCCGAGGAGGGTGGATCACGAGGTCAGGAGATCGAGACCATCCTGGCTAACACGATGAAACCCCGTCTCTACTAAAAATACAAAAATTAGCCGGGCGTAGTGGCGGGCGCCTGTAGTCCCAGCTACTCGGGAGGCTGAGGCAGGAGAATGGCGTGAACCCGGGAGGCGGAGCTTGCAGTGAGCCGAGATCGTGCCACTGCACTCCAGCCTGGGCGACAGAGCGAGACTCCGTCTCGAAAAAAAAAAAAAAAGTACAAAATTAAGGCAGCAGCAGTTGAGATGGAAAGAAAGTGGCAGCGGAGAGAAGGGAGGTGGCTTGAAAAGGAAGTGGTCACCTGCTAGGGGTGAGAGGGAAGAAATCTGCGGTGGATCCCGGTTTGTAGCTCAGGCAACAGAGTGGTCAGTGGTGCTATTCACGTGGCTTCAGACTGCAGGAGCATGTGCTGGGTGGGGTGCACGTGGACTCCTGCTTTTTCCACCGGTGTATGAGCTTCTGGGGAGAACGTATGCTTCTCATCAGCAACAGAGGCATTTTTAACTCAAGAAAAGAGAAGAGCCTTGGAATAGTAAATAAAATGATGAAAGAAGAGGGTGATGAGCGAATTTGGAAGGCTACCAACCTTTGAGAAAGCAACAGAGAAAGCAGACCCTGGAAACGAGAGGAGGAAGAGCAGAGGAGCCTATGACAAGTCTAGGATCCCAAGAGCCAAGGGCATACCCATCCCTGGGCTAAGGAATCAGCTCCAAAGGAAGCTCGTCTCTGGATGGAGTCTAGATATTTCTCCCTTGCCTTACTGTGTCCTTCTGCAGCTATTTAAGGCACAACATTTGAAGAAATGTATGACCCAGCACTGATCTCTGGTTTATCATTTAGGGACAGTCATAACTGTTTTCAAGTTAACCATAAGTCATAAGTTTTTCAAGTTAACCCATTGTCTTTAAATGGTTTTGGCCAGGAGTTTGCTTAATTCTTTAGGTAGTCATCAGAATTTTCAGTAAGAACACACTTAAAATGCAGGAAGGAGAGTGTTGTGGCCTTTGGATGTGGCCCAATTGATACAGTAACCAGATCTGCAGGTATATGCAAATTCCTCAGGGGCACACAGGACCTGAGAGCTTGCACGTTTTTTAGAATACTAAGGAATCCTGAGAGCTGCCAGCACTTAATTAATATTGATGCTCCCTTTCCTAGAAATGCTGGGCTTTGAAAGCACCTTAGATGTCATCAACTGCAACCTCTAAAACTTACAGACTTTGGATGGTGTCATTAGAAGTCAGGGGCCAAGGGACTTTAATTCCACTGGAAGCAGAACAAGAAGAGAAACTTGATTCTATGCAGAGCTGACCTCCAGGTGGATATAAATTATTGATGAGGACTCAGCCTGATGAATTTGGGGGTAAACATGGATTGGCTATAGATGAATCACAGACTTTCTCTCAACCAGAGCTCCCGGGGCTGGGACTCTCACTTTCCAGATGAGGAAACAAAGGACCACAGAAGTCAAGCAACTTGCCAAGGTCAAACCCAAGTTACAGCCAGAGCTGGGACGATTCCTGCGGCTGACCCCTTGCTGGGCTCGTTTCCTTCCGCCTGCCCAGCCATCTCTGGTTTTATCTGATGTGTCTGATGTCAAACGTCATGAATATGGAAAGCAGAAGACCTTGTTCTGGGTTGACAAATGCTTGCAGTTAGGGATTTTTTTTTTTTTTTTTGCTCAAGCTTTTCCAACATCTATCAAATGCACCTGTGGAATATGCAAACAAAATTCCTGCTGCATCTGGGCCGATCTAATATATCTTAGAAACTCAGTGATCATTGTATCCTTAAAACGGGTTTGGAAAATTAAATAAAATTTTATCCACAGAGAGAATGTAATTGTGAACTGCCTCCCAAAATCTAATTGTTTTATTTCTCAGGATATGGGTTATAGCACCACGGTGTGCTACAAGGAACTCACCAATTACAGCTTAAAACTTCCAGGCTTGGCCAGGTGTGGTGGCTCATGCCTGTAATCCTAGCACTTTGGGAAGCCGAGGCAGGTGGATCACCTGAGGTCAGGAGTTCGAGACCAGCCTGGCCAACATGGCAAAACCCTGTCTCTACTAAAAATACAAAAATTAGCCAGGCGTGGTGGTGCATGCCTGTAATCCCAGCTACCTGGGTGGCTGAGGCAGGAGAATTGCTTGAACCTGGGAGGCAGAGGTTGCAGCGAACTGAGATTGTGCCACTGCACTCCAGCCTGGGCAACAAGAGCGAGACCTCATCTTAAAAAAAAAAAACAAAAAAAACTGGTTCAGTACTCCCTTCGGCACTCCGGCCTGGGTGACAGAAAAAGACTCCGTCTCAAAAAAAAAAAAAAAAGAATTTGGGTGTAGGTAGTTCATTTGGAAGATGACCCCTAGGCTAGGATAGAGAGGGGTTAAAGAAGGAAGTCAGGGAAGAGAGGGAGGCCAATCGTATGGTGCACTGCCGAGATTCCCCCTCAGGACTGAGGTCCTCACTCTCCCAGCTGTTGGGAGTGTTGCTGGTTGATGACTTTTAGCTGAGTCTCGAGCCAGGAACTGCTCTCAGCAGCAGAGAACAGCCTTAACCCAGGTCCCAACCTGGGGCAGCCACATCCACTGACTAATCAATAGAGGATATAAAGCCCTGACCCCACCTTGGTCTCAATAGGTCAACTCTGAAGGACTATCCCAGGGCCAGAGCTTCCTGTGGGATCCTCTCAAGCTTCAATAGCACCACAGTTCAACGACTACCTTCTATCCAGTCCTACTTTCTTCTTCATAGGCGTTGGTCTCAAAGGAATTCCCTAATAAACTTCTTGCACGCAACTGCATATGGCAGGGTCTGTTTTTCAGGTGACCCCACCTAAGACAACTAATAAAGTTGCATTTATGACAAAAATGCTGCTGTGAGCAACTGAGGCTCAATTCTTCCAGGACCCCTCAAAAAACTGCATAAACCTCAGCAATGACCTATCATGGAGCCGGAAGGCTGGGGTGTTTATCCAGCAGCTTCTGTCCTTCATTGGTTGAGGGATGCTCCCAACGCTGTAATGTTCTGGCACTTCTAGCCTGTCTCTAGGTGGCCAGCCCAGAGAATGCTGTCAGGCAGAGATGCTGGAAGATACCAGCTCAAGGGGACTTGTCTGCAGGCAACTCTAAGAGTGGACCAATGGGATCTGGGCAGAGAACACCAACAGCATCTGCTACAATTCCCCCTCCCCAAGAATCGCCTATGGCTCCGCATTTCCTACAGCAAGGATCAAGCTCACAGAGCAGTTGTCAGCCACTGATGTGACTGGTCGGTTGGAAAAATGCAGCATTTTGACATTCTAAATTTAAACAGGGAAATCACATTCAGAGACTTCACACATTTGCTACTTATGCAACCTCTGAAAACTTTTCAGATCTGGACACTTGGTCTAGAAAATAAGTCCAGATTTTTTTGACTACACACTTGGCAGCATTTGTGACCTGTTATCAAGCAAGCTTTCTAATCCTGTGTTCTTCTAATCTACTTCTTCCACACAGATTGGTCTGTCTTGTGTGTGTGTGTGTGCATGTGTGGTGTGTGTAAAACAAAATTCTAATCATGCAATACCTTCCAGAAACTTTCCACTGACCAGATCAACTTCAAATTCCTTTGTAAGGAAACGAGGGCTCCCACTATCTGGCTAACCCCTTTACAAGGATATATTATACATAGTCATGCCATCCCTAGGTACTCACGGGGGATTGGTTCCAGGATCCCCACAGATACCAAGATCCTCAGATGCTCAAGTCCATCAAATAAAATGATGTAGTATTTGTATACAACCTATACACATTCTCTTCTATATTTTAAATCATCTCTAGATTACTTATAACACCTAATACAATGTAAATGCTATGTAAATGGTTGTTATACTGTCTTTTTAATTTGTATTATTTGTATTGTTGTATTGTTATTTTTCTATTTTTTGAACATTTTTGATCCATGGTTGGCTGAATTAGAAGATTCAGAACCCATGCAGACAGAGAGCCATTGTGTTATATATTATATATAAAAGAATACATCTATCTTACCCTTTACTAGGAGAGCCAATCCTATAACTCCCAGTCTAAGGCTGAAGGCCTGGGAATCAGGAGGGAGAGTGGGTGCTGGTATAAGTCCTGGAGGCTGAAAGTCTGGGCATGTGACGTTGAAGCTGAACCCAGGAGGATAAGGAAGAGGCTGCTAGGGAAGGAAGATTGCAATCAGAGCTATCCATTCCCCACGCAGAGGGTGGGGAAGCTACAAAGGCTGTGTTCACACTACGCATCAATAGATACTTACCACACCTAGGGCAGAACCTTTAGCCTGGGTCCCCCCGAAACAGGCTGAGTGTCCAGCTTCCACATAGTGTAAACAGCAGCAACGCCAAGAGACACGTGCATGGAAATGGTGGCCTTTAAAATCTTTGAAGTTCTTGGGGAATGTCGGTGACAGCTGGACATTGAAGAGCCTTTGGTGGCTCTCAGGCTGCTTCTCATTGATTGGAGGTGTCTCTAGGTCAGCACGCACAATTTGTGATTTTTATGGTTTAGTAATAGCTTGTTGTCCATTTTCAAGGATTAAGCCAAGTGGCGTTGATGTGATGATTACAGACATAAGTGCCCTGCCCGTTACTGCAATTAGCACTCTATTAAAACAGACAGCATTTGTACAGACAGCCTGAAGCTTCATAAGCTAAAAGGTAGAGCAACATTAAAATCTGGCCAGGAACAAGGAGACTGTATTTTTCTGAAGAGGGCCAAGTTCCCTAAACACACCTCTGGCCAACATATGTGACTTGGCAGAGACGCATCTTTGCTAGAAAGGGGTTTTGTGAACAGCTTTCCATTTTACCATCTACACAGGAACCAACTGAAGGCCATTAGTCATTCCATGCAACACTGCTGTGAAACATGTGAACAATCTCACCACATTGCAGTTTGACAGAAGTTATAAGGCAGGTCAATGACAGATCTGAATTCCAAGATTCGACCTTTGATCTTTTGATGTTTCTCAGCATCTTCCAGAGTGTTGTCTGATATCTGCTTTGAGAGGCTTCAGGAGAAGAGATACGTTGCCAAGCCCAGTAGTTAATGTTTGGTTTTATAAACAATTAAACAACCATCTGTTGGTCTGCTTCAGCGGCTGTGAAAGCAAGGCTTAATTGCTGTAGGGATCAAAATGGACATGATGCGTTTGGGTGACTGCATTTTGGGTTCCGTCCCGTAGTTCCAGTCACCGTACTATTAAAGAACTTAACATATGGGCCTGTAGTGATTTGTTGACAGTCATTCCTCTCTCCAATGGTGAGCACATCACTGCAGCAATCCTGGCTTGTCCACTACACATCCTCAGTCCTGACCAAGCATCTGGCACATAAATTGCATCAAATGAATGAGTGAATAAATGTGGATACTACAAAGATAAAAGTCCTTTATGTTTAAAAGAAGAGTTTTCCCTTTAAAATCCGCATAAAGTGTTCATATGAATGGGTTTCTTGCTAGCACCTGTGCTGGTGTAAGTGATGCACTTGTGCCTTGTCCCTGTGTGTCTGTGTTTGTGCAAGGATGGTCTATTTTGGTATGTCTTTGTTCCTTTCTGATAAGCCTTAAACTGGTCAGTTGAATCTCTCTCATTTGATTCTGTTTCTTCTACTGTGGTTTGGTTCAGTGCTTGCGTGGAAGAAGGCATCCTTCTGCCTGTCCTGCTATAGAAAAAAAATTGCTCAGCACATAATCTGTTAGTTTCCCTCCTTGTTCTCTTGAGGCCTAAGAGTGCGCAGAATTGAATCATGCATGATGTATTTCCCAATTCTGTTAGGATTTACTTCCTAAAATTTCACTCATGCTCACTGCTATGGTCTGAATGTTTGCATGCCCCCAAAATTCATATGTGGAAGTCCTAGCCCCCAAGGTGATGGTATTAGGAGTTAGACCCAAGAGGTGGTAATTAGGTTATGGGAGGGCAGAACACTCATGAGTGAGATTAGGGTCCATACAAAAGAGGCCAGAGAGAGCTCCTTTGCCCCTTCAACCACATGAGGATACAGCAAGATGGCACTGTCTACAAGGAAGCAAAACTTCCCGAGACGCCAAAGCTGCCTGCAGCTTGATCTTGGACTTTCCAGCCTCCAGAACTGTGAGCAATAGATGTGTGTGTTATTTACAAGCCACTCTGTGGACAGTATTTTGTTATAGCAGCCTAAATGGGAATAAGATACTCATCTATATTCATTCTGATCTCTTTCCCACCTTTCCATACACTAAAATGCAGCGTTGCAAGAACCGTGAGATCTTGGGTCAGCTTGTGAAGTGCCAGGTTAAATAAAGCTAGCCAGAGTCCCACAATACAGGATTCCTCTGAGGCTGTTAAAAAAAAATTTTAAGTTTAATTTTTAGTTCTGCGGTCCCTGTGCAGGTTTGTTACATGAGTAAACATGTGCCATGGTGGTTTGCTGCACCTGTCCACCCATCACCTAGGTATTAAGCCCAGCATGCATTAGCTATTTTCCCTAATACTCTCCCTCCCGCCACCACATCCTCCGACAGGCTCCAGTGTGCTGTTCCCCAACCCGTGTCCATGAGTTCTCGTTGTTCAGCCCCTACTTTTTTTTTTTTTTTTTTTTTTTTTTTTTTTGAGACAGAGTCTCGCTCTGTCGCCCAGGCTGGAGTGCAGTGGCACCATCTCGGCTCACTGCAAGCTCTGCCTCCCGGGTTCGCACCATTCTCCTGCCTCAGCCTCCTGAGTAGCTGGGACTACAGGTGCCCACCACCGTGCCTGGCTAATTTTTTGTATTTTTAGTAGAGACGGGGTTTCACCGTGTTATCCAGGATGTCAGCTCCCACTTATAAGTGGTTTTTGGTTTTCTGTTCCCGCATTAGTCTGCTGAGGATAATGGCTTCCAGCTTCATCCATGTCCCTGCAAAGGACATGATCTCATTCCTTTTTATGGCTGCATAGTATTCCATGGTGTATACATACCAAAGATCTAGAACCAGAAATACCATTTGACTCAGCAATCTCATTACCGAGTATATACCCAAAGGAACATAAATTCTCTTACAAAGATACAGGCACGCCAATGTTCATTGAAGCACTATTCATAATAGCAAGGACATGGAATCAACCCAAATGCCCATCAACGACAGACTGAGCCTGGTTTTGATCCCAGAATACTTTTTGTGATGACCTTCTCTCAAGAATAGTGTTCTACCCAAGCACTTTGGGGAACAGTTGCTTACTTGGCTTGTTGTTTTTCCCTGTTTCTTTACACAACCACACCTTTTCTCCAATGCCTCTCTAGAAACAAAATAATTTTCCTGTATCCAATTTTGGTCATCTCTTAATCAAAAGTGTTGTTTAAACAAATAGGTACTGAATACATTGATAAAAGTCTTTAGGGCCGGGCACGGTGGCTCACGCCTGTAATCCCAGCACTTTGGGAGGCCGAGGTGGGCGGATCACGAGGTCAGGAGATGGAGACCCTCCTGGCTAACACGGTGAAACCCGGTCTCTACTAAAAATACAAGAAATTAGCTGGGCTTGGTAGCGGGCGCCTGTAGTACCAGCTACCTGGGAGGCTGAGGCAGGAGAATGGCGTGAACCCAGGAGGCGGAGTTTGCAGTGAGCCAAGATCGCACCACTGCACTCCAACCTGGGTGACAGAGCAAGACTCCGTCTCAAAAAAATAAAAAGGTCTTTAAATATTTGCCAAACAGAGAGAGTTAGGAAATCTTGAGGCCCCTGTGCACTGTAAGGAAGGTGGCCACGACCCATGTCCTGCTTCCCCTGGGAGGAGGAGAGGTGGGCATCCCTGCCAGTGAGTGGCACAAGTGTAGAGTCTTCTGACTCACTGTTCTGTAGCTGGAAGTGGCCACAAAGGCAGTAGGCACATTTGTCCCAATAGAGGTTTTTCCACAATCCCTACAGAACCCTAAACTCGGCCGGATGCATTGGCTCATGCCTGTAATCCCAGCACTTTGGGAGGCCGAAGTGGGTGGATCACCTGAGGTCAGGAGTTCGAGACCAGTCTGGCCAACATGGTGAAACCCCGTCTCTACTAAAAATACAAAAATTAGCTGGATGACCATCCTGCCTAACACGGTGAAACCCCATCTCTACTAAAAATACAAAAAATTAGCCAGGCGTGGTGGCGGGCGCCTGTAGTCCCAGCTAGTCGGGAGGCTGAGGCAGGAGAATGGCGTGAACCTGGGAGGTGGAGCTTGCAGTGAGCCGAGATTGCACCACTGCACTCCAGCCTGGGCAACAAAGCGAGACTCTGTCTCAAAAAAAAAAAAACAAAATTTAGCTGGATGTGGTGGTGGGCACCTGTAATCCCAGCAACTCTGGAGGCTGAGGCAGGAGAATCACTTGAACCTGGGAGGCAGAGGGTGCAGTCAGCTGAGATCATGCCACTGCACTCCAGCCTGGGTGACAGAGTGAGAATCCACCAAAACAAACAAACAAACAAAAAAACCCTAAACTCATGACCTTCCAGTGATCTGGAAAGCCTTGAAATTTTCATTACTTGTTTCTGCAACATATCATCTTATTTATAAAAATGCCAGATGACACATATTCATGTTTTAAATTATTGTAAATTCAAATGAAAGTTAATTTTTGTTTTGGCAAGATGTTTTGAGGCTGGTATGATCCCCCCGGGCAGGAAATACTCTATTTTGAGATCTAGGGAGTTCTCAAGGTACAAAGGTCAGTGGGACATAGGATTCACATCCAAGATGACCAACTGGCAAACTGTCCCCCCGTCCTGATCACACTCTCTCCTTGCAAGAGTCACTTGCTTCACATGCCATGTGACAAGTGCCAGTCCTGGCTGGGGGCCATGAAGAGAGGCTGCAGATAAGGATAGGGCTCAGCCACTCAAGAGCCTCCACTCCTCTCTTAACTCCCACAAACCATGCACCCAAGTGTGACACACTATCTGCACATTGAGCTCTGGGCCTCCAGGTGTGACAAAGCCAGAGATGTCAGTGATGTCTAGCTGCCCTGGCCTCAAAGTATTCACCCACCCTAGACAAACTTCTCAAATCAGTTTTAAATAAAATGAATTCCTTTCTGGTTTACTATAGAATTTCCCACCTCCACTGTGTTTATAGCAGGCTATTTGTTAATTTATTTTCCATGCTGTTTGAGGACGTGGGTGTACTTGAGAACTGTTTAGGGTAGCATTTTTTTCCATGTGTGGCTTCCTCCTGGAAACAGAGATATTTGGCATCTGTTCATCCATTGTGTGGCCTTTCCCTTGCACCCCAGACAAACCTCAGAAACCTGTCTCCCCAAGTGTCCCCTCTCATGGTTTTCTTCTCTACCTCCCCAGACTTCCTTCCTGCCTGCCCTGCAGCAGCCATTCGGGGAGGCTGTAAACCTCCCCTTCTCCAGCCAGAGCTGTAGCCACCACGAGTAACCTAATCATCCTCTCTTTACCTCCTGCCTGTGAATGAGGTGGTTGTCCTAGCAGTCAAATTGAATTAAGGGCTATGTTTTCAAAATCCCAAATTTATTCTTCTGAGGCCCAGTGAAGGCCCTATAATTCAATCGAGCAGATCGGGGAAGAAAGCCAAGGTGTCCCCAAAGTGAGACCATCACCCTCTTTCATCTGCTCACTGAGAGCTGCAGCCTCGTGTGGTGTAAACAGCCTAAACTTTGGGGTCAGATCTTACTTTGAATCAAGATTCTGCTACTCACTGCTGTGTGATCTTAGGTGAGTTACTTAACTTCTCTGAGTTTCACTTTTCTTACCTATGAAAGGGGGTTAAACAAAAATACCTCCTTTTCAGGATATTGGTATCAAGTATGTAAAGTGTCTGTGCAGCAAGAATGCTCAAAAAGTAATAGTCCTTACTGTTTAGATTGAGGCTGTGGCACATAAACCTGGGAGGTAGTAGTCAGCTCATAGTAATGAGCTGACCAGAGGGTTTTCACCCGTGGAGGTCATGGCTCCTGCTTTGCTCAAAATGCACCAGCCAGTTTGTCGATGGCAGAGACAACGTCTCACCTGGGTTGCTGACACTGCTCACGGCCACACCTTCCAAGGCTGACGCACATTCCCACGGCCTGCCCAATACAGCATGAGGCATCATCTTGGAGACTTGAACGTGAGTGTCTCCTCACCAGTAATGACCCGACAATGAGTTTGTTTCTCACCTGGTATGAAGTGAACTTGTTTTCTAAGCCCTCAACACACCATCCTGCCCTCCTTACTGCTATCTTATCTAGGGGAAGGGAGACAGACCATCAAGACCCCTGGAAAGGTGACTTGGTTTGGCTGTGTCCCCACCTAAATCTCATCTTGAATTGTAGCTCCCATAATTCTCACGTGTTGTGGGAGGGACCCGGTGGGAGACAATTGAATCACAGGGACGGTTTCCCCCATACCGTTCTGGTGGTAGCGAAGAAGTCTAAGGAGATCTAATGTTTCTATAAGAGGTTTCCCCTTTTGCTTGGCTCTCATTCTCTCTTGTCTGCTGCCATGTAAGACATGCCTTTTGCCTCCCGCCATGATTGTGAGGCCTCCCAAGCCACGTAAAACTTTGCTGTGAGTCCATTAAACCTCTTTTTCTTTATACATTACCCAGTCTTGGGTAGATTTTTATCAGCAGAATGAAAACGGACTAATACAAAAGAGCTCCGAGAGAGGAGAAAGTCTCCACAAAGCACAGCGGACACCTGCTTACGCATGCAGGTTCCGAAGCCCTCATGCTCTCTGGCAGTCTTTCCTGAGCAGGAGGCAGGCTGGAGAGTGTCCCGTACCTTCCAGAAGTGGGCCTGGTCATGGCCAAGGTAAAGACAATGTAGGGGAATTATTAATTTCTTTTCTCCGTTCTTGGAAAAACGTATTTGACAATAACAAGTGGATAATAAACTCCGTACTAACCCACACTGGCTATGGATAATGTAGTGGCTATTGTGTAGATCTGCTCTGTGCCCATTTCCTGCTCATTCTCCTTAATTTACTGACAGAAAATGTTCCTCAACAGAGTGGTGAGCATGGAACCAGGCTGGGTCATCCCTTTGTCCACAGTTACGCAGCCATCAGTGTCCCCTCTGGGAATTCTGTACATTGACGACAGGTGGAAGATGCCCTCTTTCCTCTCTGCTCTTTAAGTGGGGTTGATGTTAGCCCAGAGATGTGAGCAGCCATGTTCCCTGTGATGTGGAGAAGTTAATCCTAGGCCCAGTTCTGCCCCTGCCTTCCTGGTATTTGGTTATGACCCAATTCATTTCTTCTTCTGGTTTGATTAGGCTAGTTGGAGCAGCCTCTCTTTTGAAACCTAAAGAGTTGTGACTCACCTAAGGAGAGAAGCTAAGAAATCTACAAATGCAGGAGATGATTTTGCCCCTTGAATTTGGACCAGTGTTTGATGAAAGGATGTCAGGTGTCATGAGCCAAGTCTGCTTGCTTAGAAAGGAAGTTTTTGTTACTAGAACCCTTAAAAGTCAAACTTTTCTTTCTTTCTTTCTTTCTTTCTTTCTTTCTTTCTTTCTTTTTGTTTGTTTGTTTGTTTTGAGACAGGGTCTCACTATACATCCCAGGCTGGTCTTGAACTCCTCAACCTCCTGAGTAGGTGGGATTACAGGGGTGAGTTACTGTGCCCCTGCCCAAAGTCAAAATTTCTAAGAACTTTGAAAAACTGGCTAAAGCATGTCTTCTGTATCCTTGGACTTTTCTAGAATGAATACCTTGAGTTTTCAATGGCTCTGAGGTGCTATGTTGAAGGTGTGCCTCTGCTTATTGTTGGAAATTCACTGACTTTTTGATTACCGGGCATTAGCTTGCCTTTGGCCATTCCACAGGCTTTGGGCCCTGCCACTCACGAACTTCTTCATCATGGTGAAGATGGGATCACTTGGGCCTGCCAATAGATCTTGTCCATCAGTGTCAGTCTGGTGCGGGATGCAGAAAAACCAGGAGCCTAGCTGGTCCTAACACGAACGGTATCTGAATCCTTGACTCTAGACAAGTGATGGCTCTTTTCTCGGTCTGTTTTTTTCACCTGTAAACCAAGGATGCTAGCCTAGAAGATGTAAGAGGCCTTTTAACTCTAATAATCGCCAGTTTTTCAATATAATTCATAAATCAAAGTCTTGGCATTTGGAGTAAAATTAAGGGACAAAGGCTTGCTATGTGGAGCTCTTCCACCTGAGCAAACACTACGCCCACAAAGTAGAAATTCCCAGTGGCAAGGCAAACAAAAGGACCACCCTTGGAGTGGGAGAGATGAGGTTAAAGAAGTCATTGGGAGAGAGACCTCTTTTCTCAGCAGCAAATAACACTACCACTGCCAGATTAGAGGAACGTTAAAACCAAAGTTAAAACACACAGAGAGATGGGGAGGCATAAAATTGGCATTTTCATACAACTTTAGAATCTCATCAAGAAACTAAATTACCATAGTGGATAAGATACAATAACTACTCTTTTGAGTACTAATCAGTCTCCTTGCTGTATTATGGTAATAAAACTAGGGGGTATTAGGAAGCAAGGTCATTTACACATGAAAGTTGACTTGGCTGAATATAAAATGCTTTTAGATGCTTCTCCATTGTTTTCTGACTGTAGTAGTACAAAGAGGTCAGAAGTCAGTCTGGTATTTGTTCTTCCATCAACAACTTGTTTGGGATTGGGGGTGGTATTTCCTGTGTGGATAACTTGCAGCACTTCCTCTTCTTCTTTTTTTTTTTTGGTCTTTGTAACTAAAAAATGTGGTCAATATGTGTCTAGGTGTGGGTGTTTTAAAATTGATTTTACCTGGAATTTGTGAGCCCAGTCAATCTATATACTCCAGTCTTTTTCCAGCCTGAAAATGTTTTCTTCAATAAAGTCATTATCACTTATTTCTGTTGTTCTGGTTTCTTGATTAGTAATACTGTTAAGTCTTAAACTGAATTCCCATTGTTTATATTTATCAGAATCTATCACTTTTCTTAGTTAACTATTTATTTTCACTTATCATGTCTAACTCTATGCTCTTTTCCTGTAAAAGACCTCTTAAGGTTCACCTCCAAATCAACGTTTCCATTTTCTACACTGTCAATTTTGCTTCTTTCCACCTCCATGAGGGATTTTAATTCTTGGATTGCATTTTTTTTTGACATCCATTCTTATCGCATCTCTCTTTGTATCTTGTCTTCCTAACTTTTCATCTTATCTCTGTGTGTGGTTTTCTGTAATTCATAGACCATGTCTTCCTGCAATCCAAGATGTTTTTAAAATTTTCTTTTGTTTCCTGTAGTAAAACTATTTCACGGGGAAATTTGGCAAACTGGTGATGCCCTTGGAATAGTCACCATACACTTGATAGTTTACAAATGTGTCAGCATGTAAATTTGTGTTTCATTTTCATATACCCCAACATCTTATAATGGAGGGAAAGGCAAGTCTTTGTTTTCCAAGGTCTTGGCTCTTTTAGCCGCAAAGTGGTGCTAACAGCTCCTTCATGTTCCAGGAGCCTCTGGAGAAACTGCTTCCATAAAGTGTTTGGGAATTCTGGGCCCTCCCAAGAAGGGGCCAGAACTGTCCAAGAGTGGGAGGAGCTCCAGCCTGGTACTTCTGTGGATTTACAGAAAGATCCACCCCAGAAAGGGGGTGAATCCCCAAAGTCTGCGAGCTGCGGGACTGAAGTTTCTGCAGGCGGTAGGACACCCCATCTGAGTCCAACATTCTGGAAGAGGCTTCTCTCTGGGGGTGCATGAGCTTCCTGTCAGGCCTGCCAAGTGGGCATCACCAAAGCCTGCCTTGAGCAGTAGCTCCAGTGGGTAGTGAGGACCTGACCTGCACAGAGGCTGGGCTGCAGAAGGAGCAGTGCTAAGGGCTGTAACCACAGAGTCGAGGAACAAAGGACCTGTTCCCAGTTGCATGAGCCACATAAGCCAATTGACATTAAGCTTCTTGCTGGCCTTAGTAGGTGGAGGGTTAAGATCCAGATTTCACTGTATTTAGAATCATCAAGAAATGTGACTTTTTTGCACTTGGGTTTTGTGGAGCAAGTCATCCTGATTATACATAAATATTGTTCCAGGAAATCCTCAGAATAACCCTACCAAGCAGGCATTACTATTCCCATTTTGCAGATCTGGAAACAGAGGCACAAAGTGGGCAGGTGATTTCCCCCACGCCCACAGCTCATTGTGGCAGAGTCAGCATACTCATCCAAGACCACCAGGTGACTGAGATCTTACCCTACACTTCATTATCTCTAGGGCATGAGGGTTATGTGAGTCTTCAGCTTTTTGTCTTTCTTCCTAGGAATTTCAGCAGGAAGTTAAATCAGAAACTTCCTCGCTTATTTTGCAATCGGTTCCTTCTTTTCATAAACCATGTCTTGGGACTGTTCTTAAAAATTGATAAACAGTGCTGATTTATAAGAGGGGAGAATGACAGAATTGCTTATTTACTAATCTTACAAAATTAGAAGAGAGAAATTTCTAGATTTTATAAACTCAGGAGGAATACTTTTAAAAAGGAGGAAGGAAGAAAAAAGAATAAGGGTTAAACTCAGGGAAGAAAGGATAAGTTAATTCTCTTTTTGGAACAAAGGGCCACAACTAAAATAAGAGACAAACGACCCCCAACTTGGGAGGATTTTGCATTTGAAAATGACGAAAGAATTAACAGAAAGAAAATGGGAATGGTGCCAAATATCTTTGTTAAGTCTGAATATATGGTTATAGCAATCTCTAAGGTTTAGATGGAAATAATGGCAAAGTTTGGCTTTGTATATTTTATAGTCCTGGCTATCTACCAAGTAAGACTCATACTAATAGTGAGTTATCAGGTTGTTGTTTTTGGTGAAGAATAATTGTATAACAAACTCGAGTAGCCTTTATAACAAATGCGCTATTGTCCTGTACATTTTATTATATAGTAGGTGAAATAACCTCACTAGACAACGGCTGCCCCTCTGCCCTCTGAGATGCGTGTCTCCTCAGGCACACAAGCCGGGCGAGATGCAGTGAAGGAATAATCTCAACGTGTGTGACCTCCTAGTTTTAACTGCTCCATTTCAAACTCCAAAATAGCCTGTGGCTCTGCATGGAGAAATCTTTAACATGAGTTTTGAGAAGGAAGAATGCAGTCTTTAAGTCATGATTCCCTAGAGGATATCAAATAATCATGAGGAAAACCATGAAGTCAGTTCACTTCTGACTCTAAATTTCAAAGAAAAAGAGGAGTGACAGAAAATCAAAAGCTGATGGAAAACATAGTGGTGTACACTTAGGACTCATTGTACATAAATACTTAGTTTGTTTTCCTTCATCTTTCAAGCAAATCGTTGCTTTCTTAATAGAAATATATATCATTGCATGGTTGTAAGTATGATCCAGGCAGTTTTGTAAATATCAGGACGGAACCAGCTGAAATTGCTTATACATACTCTGAAGTGCTTGCAGTATCAGAGTCATTTGATTCCAGAGGCATGCAAGAGAAACATCCCAGACCTAAGGCACAAGGCATGCAATAGCCAAGTGGTTAGTTACAGTCCTAAAAGCAGCTTGACATATTTTTTTTTCCTCACAAAAATGCAGGCCACTTGTCATGAAATTCTGCATGCAATGTTGCTATGCCTTGCATTATATGTATATAAAGTTACAGGTTTAAATATAATTTATGACCACACTAGTCATGAACAGAGGATGAATAAGCAAAGAATATAAATATATACTGGTTCTGCCTAATGGTATTTAAGCCTTTGGCAAGGTGGTATTCCCTGGTTTCTAGCCTCTCCACCTTCTCCCTGACCAGCCACCACTTAATACCATTTAAGTCGACAATATGGGTTATGAAGTCCTTATTCATAATACAAATTGGCTGTGTACTTTGAGATTCAAAGCTAAAGCACTAGATAAGGTGTGCCGCTATTTTTACCCAGGCATACAGTAAATGATTCATTCGTAAAAATTCTCATATGGCTATTTTGCAAGATGAGCTATAATTTTCCCCAAGTCCACAAACCAAGACCTTATTGAGATTATTTAACTTAATTTTCCCCAGTAGCAAGAATGAAAGGTCAATACTAACCTTCCTAAAAGGTTAGTATTCAAATCTGGCAATATGCATCCAGCCTGAAGAACATCTATACTCTGTAGGAAATAGGCAGGAATGTGGACAAAATTTAAATATGAAGATGCTTATTGAAGCACTAGTTTGGTGCAAAAGTAATTTTGGTTTTTGCTGTTGCCTTTAATGGCAAAAACAGCAATTGCTTTTGCACCAACCTAACATATTTACAATAAAGAAAATTTGGGAAGAAAAATCTAAGTGTCCCACAATAAGAAAATAGTTAAATAAATTATGATCTCTCTATGTGAAAGAATATTATGCAGCCATTAAAAAGCATATGTCAGGAAAACTATAATACTAATATACTCAAAGTGAGAAACAGTCATGAATAAAAATCAAGATATTAAACTATATATACACACTATGATTCAGATAATATAATGTTTATGCACAGACTAAACTGAAGAAAATACAGTGAATTATATTGATAGTTATCATTGGGTAGCACTAATTCTATTTTCATCTTTATATTTTTCTGTATTTTCCACAATGTCTAATACTAATACAATGACTTTGAACAACTTGGGTTTGAACTGCATAGGTCCACTTACATTTGGATTTTCTCCTGCCTCTGCCACTCGTGAGACGGCAAGACCAACCCCTTCACTTCCTTCTCCTTTTCAGCCTACTGAAAGTGAAGACAACCAAGATGAACACCTTTATGATGATCCACTTCCACTTAATGAATACTAAATATATTTTCTTTCTTTCTTTTTTGAGACAGAGTCTTGTTCTGTCACCAAAGCTGGAGTGCAGTGGTGCCATCACAGCTCACTGCAGCCTTGACCTCTCCAGGCTCACATGATCCTCCCACCTCAGCCTCCTGAGTAGCTGGGATTACAGGTGTGCACCACCATGCCTGGCTAATTTTTGTATTTTTTGTAGATACAGGGTTTCACCATGTTGTCCAGGCTGGTCTTGAACTCCTGGGCTCAATGAATCTGCCCACTTTGGGCATCCCAAAGTGCTGGGATTATAGGCATAAGCCACCATACCTAGCCAACATATTTTCTCTTCCTTATGATTTCCTTAAGATTTTCTTTTCTCCAGCTTACTTTATTGTAAAACTACAGCATAGAATACATATAACATACGTAATATGTTTAATTGACTGTTGATGTTATTGGTAAGACTTCAGGTTGGCAGCAGGCTATTGTAGTGAAGTTTTTGGCGAGTCAAAGTTATATGTCGATTTTCAACTGCACAGGGGGTTGGTGCCCCAAGCCCCCACATTGTTCAAGAGTCAACTGTAATCATAAAAAAGAATAAACAACACAAATTAAAACATATCACGCTCACACAAAGCACTGCACAAAGTATGAAGCTGTAGAATAAAATCAGTTCTGTAGTCACATAGCTTTCAAACACGTGATCCATTTGTCAACCTCACTCAGGAACTCAAAAGCCCTCAACGGTAAGAAAAAATGCCCTAATGGGCTCTAGGAGCTTGGTGTGTAAAATACTCAAGATCTTCTCACAAGCTGAGGACACATTATCTGCAGACAGAGGCTTATAGAGTTCCTTTGTAAGTATTCCTCTGCCTGTCCCCATGAAACATGACCTTGCAAGTCAATGTCAGTCAAATATGAAAGAGGGGCAGGGGGCCCCAGGTAACATAATGCGCCAGAACACGTCTGCGGCTCTGACAGGTGCAAACAACTCCACTCGGCTAAATATAAATTGACTCGGGCAGTTTGGAAGCAGTCTTTCCCACTTGCTATTCTGATCAAGCAAAAGAATGTTCTCTTCTTTAGTTCTGACTCCCAAGGCTGGTTATTTTTATTTAGATTAATTTTGCAATCATTTTCATTCAACGAGAAGCAAATTAGAAGTAAAAAAAAAAATTTCTCTTCCAAAATCTCCGATGAGAATAGGACTAGGTTTGAGCTGTTTTTGAAATGCATTAAGTTGAGAAGGAGGTAAAACATTTGCAATCCTTTTTAAAAGTTTCTGGATGAGCAGAAAGCTGATGTGAACACATGTATAAAGGAACACTGTTTAATATTTAAGCCAGAAAGAGGACCTAACTTTTAATCAGCACAGTGGAAATTCTCTGGGTACTTACCGAACTCTGCGTCTTTGCCAATTCCTGCCATGTTCCCTGACATGACCCTTTAACTCTAACTCCTCCTCCAGGATCCCAATGATCACATCTATAGGATCAGCCTCTGGTCATCCCCATTCCCCCCCCAACTCTGCTGCTAAACACACAAGGTCTTCCTCTTAACTCCCCTAACACAGAGACTTACCTTAACATACATTTATCCCAAATCAATATTTTTTTTAGCCTATGAGCTTCTCAGGGGTAAAATTATATTTCACCTATTTTTCCACGTTCAGCATCCCGGCTTAAGGAGGTTCCTTAGTAATATGTCGTTGAATAAATGAATACATGAGTGAATGAAGAGAGGACTGAAGAAGCCACACATGAGCCTAAATGCAAGGAAAAAGATGGACAGTGCTACCACTAACAGCCATGAAAAAGAACAGTTTCTCCCCCTCCCCCTCCCCCTCTCCCGTCTCCCTCTCTTTCCACGGTCTCCCTCTCATGCTGAGCCGAAGCTGGACTGTACTGCTGCCATCTCGGCTCACTGCAACCTCCCTGCCTGATTCTCCTGGCTCAGCCTGCCGAGTGCCTGCAATTGCAAGCTCGCGCCTCCACGCCTGACTGGTTTTGGTGGAGACGGGGTTTCGCTGTGTTGGCCGGGCCGGTCTCCAGCCCCTGACCGCAAGTGATCCGCCAGCCTTGGCCTCCCGAGGTGCCGGGATTGCAGACGGAGTCTCGTTCACTCAGTGCTCAATGGTGCCCAGGCTGGAGTGCAGTGGCGTGATCTCGGCTCGCTACAACCTCCACCTCCCAGCCGCCTGCCTTGGCCTCCCAAAGTGCCGAGATTGCAGCCTCTGCCCGGCCGCCACCCCGTCTGGGAAGTGAGGAGCGTCTCTGCCTGGCCGCCCATCGTCTGGGATGTGAGGAGCCCCTCTGCCTGGCTGCCCAGTCTGGAAAGTGAGGAGCGTCTCCGCCCGGCCGCCATCCCACCTAGGAAGTGAGGAGCACCTCTTCCCGGCCGCCATCACATCTAGGAAGTGAGGAGAGTCTCTGCCCTGCCGCCCATCGTCTGAGATGTGGGGAGCGCCTCTGCCCCGCCGCCCCGTCTGGGATGTGAGGAGCACCTCTGCCCGGCTGCGACCCTGTCTGGGAGGTGAGGAGCATCTCTGCCCGGCTGCCCCGTCTGAGAAGTGAGGAGCCCCTCTGCCTGGCAACCGCCCCGTCTGAGAAGTGAGGAGCCCCTCCGCCCGGCAGCCGCCCCGTCTGAGAAGTGAGGAGCCTCTCCGCCCGACAGCCACCCAGTCTGGGAAGTGAGGAGCGTCTCCTCCCGGCAGCCGCCCCGTCCGGGAGGTGAGGGGCACCTCTGCCCGGCCGCCCCTACTGGGAAGTGAGGAGCCCCTCTGCCCGGCCACCACCCCGTCTGGGAGGTGTGCCCAACAGCTCATTGAGAACGGGCCAGGATGACAATGGCGGCTTTGTGGAATAGAAAGGCGGGAAAGGTGGGGAAAAGATTGAGAAATCGGATGGCTGCCGTGTCTGTGTGGAAAGAAGTAGACATGGGAGACTTCTCATTTTGTTCTGTACTAAGAAAACTTCTTCTGCCGTGGGATCCTGTTGATCTGTGACCTTACCCCCAACCCTGTGCTCTCTGAAACATGTGCTGTGTCCACTCAGGGTTAAATGGATTAAGGGCGGTGCAAGATGTGCTTTGTTAAACAGATGCTTGAAGGCAGCATGCTCGTTAAGAGTCATCGCCACTCCCTAATCTCAAGTACCCAGGGACACAAACACTGCGGAAGGCCGCAGGGTCCTCTGCCTAGGAAAACCAGAGACCTTTGTTCACTTGTTTATCTGCTGACCTTCCCTCCACTATTGTCCTATGACCCTGCCAAATCCCCCTCTGTGAGAAACACCCAAGAATTATCAATAAAAAATAAATAAATTAAAAAAATAAATAAATAAATTAAAAAAAAAGAAAAAGAACAGTTTATGGAAGAATAATAATTTACTATGCTTAGCCACTGCTGTTTTCTGGTTTCATTTTTTTTTTTTTTTTTGGTTGGGGGAGGAGGGTTGTTAAATAAAATTAAAGCTGTAACCCAATGCCAGATATAATAGAAAGAACTTGGTGTGCATTGACTGATGCAGTAAGCATTGAAATTTTCCATTTTCACTTTCTCTCTTTGTTGCCATAAAATGAGAGGGTGAGGCAAGATCGTGTCTGAGGGTGGGTCCAGCTCTCAGGCTCTGGAGCTCTGCACTGCTGGGTCTCCTGGTAAAGCCCTCCTCTGAGCTTGCATCTCAGCTCTATCCTGATGGCAAAGACTGTGCTCTTTTCAAACTCATAGATGACACCCTCCTACCTACTAAGGCTGTGGTGTACCACAACTAAGTTTAACCCCTCTCTCCTGGTCTGAAAAAGTCATCTAAACCACAGGGGAAATTATTGACCATGGTTTCCTAGATCTATGCAAGAAAAATGCTCCCAAACCCTAATGCTACAAAGCTGTATTTACTTGTCCCAACTCTTTCCCGGTGTGGTTCGGATTACCCTTTGCCTGCATATGTTTTGCAATACCTCTTGGCTCTTCATCTTTGCCCACTCCTCCAGCATGCTCACTACACCTGAGAAACTTAGCCAGTACTTGGCTTAAAAATCTTCAACCTACTCATCACCTAACAAGAGAGGGTTTAAAGTTGGCAGAGGGAATATTGCACAGAAACGCTATTTGCCAACCACCTACCAATAGCTGACTTCACAAGTGGTCCCTTATCAGATCTGCCCATCAGAAAAGAAGGAAGAAGATTAATGATCATTCTTCAGACACCAGGACTCCCTCCGGGGAAGCTCTCTATAGAGCTAAAGGCTTGTATTGGATTATTGTCACCGATCACTGTTTTAGGCTTGCATTCCTAGTAAAATTGAAGCTGAGCCTGTATCCCTTACAGTAGAAACTCCCAAATGCCATATTCAACATAATGAGTTTTCAGAAAGCTAAATATATCCAATGGGAAAGACTGGCCATTACATCCTTCCTGCATTTCGTTGTTATTGCTATTAAAGTGTACTTTAAAAAATAAAAATAAAAGGATAGTAATAGAAGACAGCAGGGTTTATTTTCATGTCTTTCTTGGCAGTTTAAAAAGTTGGCAATCCTATATCAATTTCTAATTTTTTTCTAAAACTCTACTGGTCATTAAAATTAGAAAACTGGTAGCCTCATGCCTAAAGTGGCTAGTTCAGATCAAGTTACATGTAAACTGAAGAAAGGAAGAGCCTCTGATTCAAACTCTTTAAGGTCATCATTTTTTTCTTTTTCTAAGACCATTTTCTATAGATCTCAAGGTGCATAATATGCATCGCGGAGGCCCTGTAGATTTAGATAGCGATTATAACCGATTCAAGTCAGGAAATTTCTTCTGAAGTATACCTACCTGTGAAACCCTCCATATCTGGGGCGCTCTGTGCCACGGGTGTCAGACTTTTGCAAAAGCCCTGTCATTCTAACGGGACGCCCTCCTGTAGGAAGTTGCCCCCTGGCGCCCGTCCTCCGGCTTCTGATGAAACGGCGACCCACCACCCCCTTCCCAGACCCTGGCCCGCAGCCGGATCACTCCGGGCGCGCTGCCGATCACGTGGCGAAGCGGTGCTCCCCAGCGCCGTGGCTGCGCGCCCATTGGTCGGCGGCTGGAGTCCCGGGCGCGCCCATTGGCTGCGGGGGGCGTTCACGTGGCAGGGGGCCTGGGATGGACCCCGGGGTCCCGAGAGCTGGCAGGAAAGTTAAAGGGGGCAGCGCGGCCGCGGGGAGCTCGAGTCCCGGGTGACTGCTGGAGGGAGGAGGTGACCGCGCAGCTCTCGTGCACGGACGGACTTCGCCGCCCGCGGGGGGCGCGAACCCGAGCCCGGGCCCAGCTCCTGCCGTCACGGCAGCTGTCCCTGTTCCCCCAGGGCGTATGCTGCCGCGGGCTGGCGCGTCTGCCCTCGGGACTTATGAGCTGAACCCGGTACGTAGCTCCCCAAGTCTCGAGTCCGAGGGAAGGGCTGGGGACAACAAGGCGAGGGCGTGCAGCGGGGACCTCTTTGGGTTCCTGTCACCTACATTTTCACCGTGCGACTTGCACTGGCACACCGGGGCTGGAACACTCTAGGTAGCTGGCCCCAGGGAGCTGTTGCTTCAGCGTGGAGAGGGCGATCCAGGGACCGCAGCTGGGAAGCGCCTCCCGGGCCCACGTGCTCCACCGCGCTGCTGGGCCCGGCTGCGACCGTGACCCGGGAGCTGCGGCTGCGGCGGCTGATCCCTTTACCACCTGTTGTTCTGGCTTCGAAACTAGCACAAGTTCCCAGCCCCGGGTCCCGAGAGGTCTGGAGACTTCTCCAAAGTTGGGTAGTGGGGTTTGGAGCTTAAGGACAAGCCGCTTCGTCTCTCTCCGGGCCTTATTTTCCCTATAAAACGCGAGGAAATACACTTGGTAGGCTCTCAGGCCACCGAGGGCGACGGGACCTAGCACGATCCCCGTCCCGGGCTGGCGGAGGCCAGGCGGCCGCGCGGGGGTGCTGGTGTCGCGCTGCTTGCTCCGGCCGGGGTTGCCCCTTTGCCGGCCCCGCCCGGGTGCGATAACGGGCTCCTCCTCCTCGTCGTCTTCCTCCCACCGCCGACATCTCCGGGAACCCAGCCCAGGCCCTGCCTCCCGGACACACCGACGCTCACGTAGTCGCGCTTGCCACAACCCTGCGGGCTCTCCGATGCGGCGAGCGAGCTGGGGAGGGGGCTTCTCCGCGGCCCAAAAGGTGGGTGCGGCGCGAGGCCAAGGAGGCTTGTAGGGAGGTTGGGGGCGGAGTGCAGCCCTGGTCAAACTGGACGGAGGGGACAGAGTCGGAGAGTAACTTGTGGGATCCTCCAGCCTGGAGAGCACTGGCCTGCTCCTGCGTCTCTTTGGAATCCAGAAAAAGGGGTGTGGAAGGCACAGTAGCTGCAAAAGAGGGAGTGGGGGCCGGTAATGACTTACTGGAAGATTTGGGGCCTGTCAGAGCACTGTTTTCTGAAAAAGAGGAGAAAACAGAGGAAAGACTGGACTTGGGAACTTGGAGACTTGGAAGGTGTTGGAACCTGTGGTCTGAGTGGCGGGGGCCTGCCTGGGAGACCCAGGGTGCAGCAGAAGAGACAATTAGAGCTTTGGTCTGGGAGGAAGAGGAGGAGAGGAGGAAATGTTTCCTTGGGCAGAGTTGTCCAGGAGCCAAAACTAAAGTGAAGACAGCTGGAGGACTTACACAAAAGTACAGTTGAGGTATTTAGGAAAAAAAGTTAGTGGGAAGAGAAGCGGCACCAGGGGTGGGTCGCAACATACAATGTCAGGGCCAGCAGGGACCTTGGAGGGGACCTCAAGCCCAGAGCAGCTGAGTGACTCGCTCAAGTAGCAAAGCAAGGTGCGGGCATTCTTAGCCTAGTACTCTGTTTTCCCTCGTACGTTTTTAGACGGCAGGGGCTGTGTCATTTGAACTTGCCTCTTTCCTAGAATATGCAACTGTATTCACAAATGTCAGTCTCCAAGATGCTTTGGATGATGGGGACAGGATCAAGGGGTACAAGGAGCCTTTAAGGCTGTGAATAGGCCCCCATGGTCTGAGTACAAAGGGGAAAGACATGCACTCTCTTCATGCTGGATCAGTGAAACCTTTTGGAAGGGAACACAGAATTGTTGGAGGGAGGTAGATGGCCATGTCTTTAAAAATGAAAATTATAACCTGGTTGTGAATGTTTACTGAATGCAGTTCGGCAGCTTTCAGTGTTCCTGGTGGGTTGCTTGTGCATCTGATTTTTTTGTTTGTTTGGTTTTGTTTGTTTGTTTTGAGACGGAGTGTCGCTCTGTCGCCCAGGCTGGAGTGCAGTGGCGCCATCTCTGGCTCATTGTAAGCTCCGCCTCCCGGGTTCACGCCATTCTCCTGCCTCGGCCTCCTGAGTAGCTGGGACTACAGGCGCCCGCCACCACGCCCAGCTAATTTTTATTTGTATTTTTAGTAGAGACGGGGTTTCACCGTGTTAGCCAGGATGGTGTCGATCTCCTGACCTCGTGATCTGCCCGCCTCGGCCTCCCAAAGTGCTGGGATTACAGGCGTGAGCCACCACGCCCGGCCTTTTTTTGCCTTTTTTTTTTTTTTTTGAGACGTAGTTTCGCTCTGTCGCCCAGGCTGGACTGCAGTGGCGCCATCTCGGCTCACTGCAAGCTCCGCCTCCCGGGTTCGCGCCATTCTCCTGCCTCGGCCTCCTGAGTAGCTGGGACTACAGGCGCCCGCCGCCACGCCCGGCTAATTTTTTTTTTTTGTATTTTTAGTAGAGACGGGGTTTCACCGTGTTCGCCAGGATGGTCTCGATCTCCTGATCTCGTGATCCGCCCGCCTCGGCCTCCCAAAGTGCTGGGATTACAGGCGTGAGCCACCACGCCCGGCCTTTTTGTCTTTTCTTACCAGAAGAAAGAGAGAGAGAGAATAAGAGAATGGAGGGGATAATGTCGTGGCCCTGATACAAAAAAGATTTCCTCCCTATGAAAGGTACAGCCAGAAAGTCAGTAGTTCAGCTGCCTGAAACCGTGAAGGTCATAGGGTTATTTTCTGTGCAGGTCTATAGTTATCACCATGGCCGTCTAACCTTGGCCAGCTGTCTTGAGAAGGTGTGTTATGAGTGGAACAGATAAAGCATTTATGCAAAACTATCTCCATGATCTGTTAGGGTTTGCCCTGTCTTAGCCATGAACACTGTAATCTACCCTCAAGCATGGCCCAGTCTCTCACCAGAGAAACTGATCCCTGAGCTCTGAGGCATCTCTATGGAAGCAAGTGTTTGAGAATTCATACCTACCTGGGAGCAGCACTCATACACTCATTCCTATCCTGCAACTGGTATCAGATCCTGAGTCCTGCTCTCATGGTTCAAATGTATGTCCATAACTTCTGGTTCTTTTTTTTTCCCCCTTGGCCAACTTTGGTGACTCATATTCCCTGGCCTGGGAAAAGGACAGAGCTGGAGCAGCCAGAGAGTCTGTCAGGAGAGGAGGCTGGGCTGCAGCCTGGTGCTTCCTGTGTTGGAACCGATCATTTTCATGTCATTTGTAAAAGAAGCACCTGTCCAGGTGCCTTCTTTTCAGGAACTTAATATTACCTTGCACATCTCAGTTGCTAGGAGTACTTCTGCATGGCGGCAGCCATCCCTGTCACAGTCCGCTGGGGAGTTCCTGAGCAGTTCAGGAAAGCCTACACCAAACCAGCACTTTGGTGTGCTGATTCTTGGAGAATGACCTGGTAAATAAAATCTGGAAGCTATCTGTGGGACAGGCAAGGTGACTGACAGTCGAGTCATACCCCAGATTGAGGCCACACAGGTTAATGTCCTCACCTGCAGTTATGGTGACACACAAAGTGAAGGGATTCTAGACTGGGGTTGCTTGTGCAATGTCCCTGGGGTAGTAGTCCTGCGGGTAACTCTTGAGCCATCATAACCTTACTTTTGCCTTTCATGGAAGAATCTTGTAATAGCAGTTTGGCTCCTTCAAGTGCCAGCAGCATTGTTTAATTAGCTCTGGCTCTGACTAGAGCCTGGCCTCTCCAAGCCGGACTTCTGCTTGTTCTTACAGCTTGGTGATAAAAAGGGATCTCAGGGACAAATTTATGCCACTGGGGTGAAACAGTGAAACTCTACCAAGGTCTTCAGCTAAGTCTCTTCAGCCTGCGGGATTAGAACTTGGGACATTGGCTCTAGTGGGCTGTGTGTAGATTCTTTGATTGATCCTTTTGCTTTGGCTGTTTCCACAATATCTTGAGAGTTTCCAAGGCTTTTCCTAACATGCAGAAAAAGCACGTAGGAGGCTGGTTTGCAGGCTTCTTGGAAGTGCAAAGAGAACTTGCAGATAACCTGTGCTGACTCAGTTGAGGAGGAAGCTGTGAAGAGGAACCCTTCCTCCCTCAGTTCACACCCAGATTTTTCAGGATGGGTAGAGTGGGGGGCACTGGGATGCCAGATATAGCCTCTTGTTTGGTTTTCGTACTTGTTTAAAAACAAGGCTGGGCACGGTGGCTCATGCCTATAATCCCAGCACTGTGGGAGGCTGAGGGGAGCAGATCATGAGGTCAGGAGTTCGAGACCAGCCTGACATGGTGAAACCCCGTCTCTACTAAAAATACAAAAATTAGCTGGGGGTGGTGGTGCACGCCTGTAATCCCAGGGGTGGTGGCACGAGTAGTCCCAGCTACTTGGGAGGCTGAGGCAGGAGAATCGCTTGAACCCGGATGGCAGAGGTTGCAGTGAGCTGAGATTGCGCCACGGCACTCCAGCCTGGGCAACAGAGCAAGACTCCATCTCGAAAAAAAAAAAATTAAAAATAAGACAAAACAAAAACACTACCTGTGTTACAGTTAGAGCTGAGGGTATAATTCCAGCACAGTTTTGCAAAGGACAAGAGTAACTAAAATTTAGATATTTTGTAAGTATAGGATTTTTTTTTTACATTGAACCTGTTAGTCAATCCGTGGAACCTCTGCAAACCTACCTTGCCTAATTCAGTCAGAACTTTCCTTTCCAGAACAGTTACGTGGCTATAAGAACAGATCATTGAAAGCAAATTTGCCCTTAAAATTTTCACTAGATTGATTTTCTTAAAGGGGAAACAGTGAGACAGATATCCTTTAAAATGAATGTTTAAGCACCTGCATTCTGGCCATAAGTTATTGTTTTATTTGTTTCCGAATATGTGTATTTCTCTGACTGGCCATCTGTAAGGGTTTCTTGCATCCCAGGGAAGTTCTGTACTTTTGGAAAAATGGGGTCAAATCTGATATGTGTTCGTCCGTTCACCTTTTTTCTTTACATGTTTGGTTAATCACAATCAGAAGGTGAAAATGAGAGGTTATTTATAGAACTGAACCAGTGGTCCCAGCTCTTTACAGAAGACACTTGGCATGTTGCCTGTCACTTCTCAGGGGTGGCCATGGCTGCTTGAGAGTGAGCTCCCCAACACGTCATCACACACCTACACCTGTGCCATAAGGAGGGGTAAGATAGGTTGAGGGGAGATAGGTTTGGGGACTCATCCAGATCCTGTGTTCTGTGATTCTCAGACTTGAGATTTTAATCCTAGTTTCGGCACTCATTTCCTTAATTTAGTCCATTGAAACTGTCAAATCAAAATATAAATTTGCCATGGTAATTAGAATGATAAAAAGTGCTCAGATTTTGGGAGGCTGAAGCGGGAGGATTGCTTGAGCTCAGGAGTTTGAGACCAACCTGGGCAACATGGTGAAACCCTGCCTCTATAAAAATTGAAAAATTAGCTGGGCATGGAGGTGCACACCTGTAGTTCCAGCTACTTTGGAGGCTGAGGCGGGAGGATTGCTTGGGCCCAGGAGTTTGAGGTTCCAGTGAGCTATGATTGCACCACTGCACTCCAGCCTGGGCAACACAGCAAGATCCTGTCTTATAAAAAAAAAGTGCTCAGCTTTAGTGAGGCAGTAGTGATGGGATGGGTTTTTGGCATATCATAAAATATTTGAGGATTTTTTTTAGGTTCATTTTGTTCTGATGATAGAAGCAATATTATTTTAGAAGATATAATACAAACCAGGATACCAGAAATTCCTGAAATCTTGTCACCTAGGTATTCTGATTTTAAATATATATCTCTAGTCTTTTTTCTCTGCATTTACATAATACAGTTGATCCTTGGACAACATGGAGTCTAGGGGAGCCTAGCCCCCACACAGTCAAAAATCCACATATAACTTTTGACTCCCCAAAACCTTCACTTCTAACAGCTTACTGTTGACCAGAGTCTTACCAATAACATCAACAGTCGATTAACACATATTTTGTATTTTATTTGTAACATATACCGTATTCTTATAGTAAAGTAAACTAAAGGAAAGAAAATGTTAAGAAAATCATAGGAAAGAGAAAATATATTTACTATTCATTAAGTGGATGCGGGTCATCATAAAGGTCTTCATTCTCATCCTCTTCACGTTGAGTAGGCTGAGGAGGAGGAAGAGGAGGAGAAGGGGTTGGTCTTGCTGTCTCAGGGCGGCAGAGGCAGAAGAGAATCTGAGCATACGTGGACCTACAAAGTTCAAACTCATGTCGTTGAAGTGACAACAGCATTTTTCCCCACAAGTCTAGTTTCTATGTACAATTTTATCTTCTCTCTCTCTATATATATATACATATGTAGACATAAATATAAATATATAATATTTTTTTTTCATTTCATTTGAATCTTTTTTAAAATAATGGCTTTAATGATGATATAAAATTACATCACATGGGCTGGCCATGATGGCTCCCCGCCTGCAATCCCAGCACTTTGGGAGGCCGAGGCGGGTGGATCACCTGAGGTCAGGAGTTTGAGACCAGCTTGGCCAACATGGTGAAACCCTGTCTCTACTAAAAATACAAAAATTAGCTGGGCGTGGTGGCAGACTCCTGTAATCCCAGCTACTCGAAAGGCTAAGGCAGGAGAATCACTTGAACCTGGGAGGTGGAGGTTGCAGTGAACCGAGATTGTGCCATTGCACTCCAGCCTGGGTGACACGAGTGAAACTCTGTCTCAAAAAAGGAAAAAATAACAACAGTAAAAATAAAAGTACATCACATGGATGTGGTACATTTAATTTAACCAGGTACCTGTTAATGGTCACCTAGGTTATTTTGTCATCTTTTTCCCCCTATAATGTGGCATTGAACATTTTAGTACCTTAATCTCTGTGTGTTTTTAATTCTTTACCTAGGATAAATGTCTCTATGTGATATTAGGATAAAAAATGATTAAAAAATTAGAAAGTTTGTACCAATTTTAACTAATGAAAATGTTTGCATTGGCTGGGCACAGTGGCTCATACCTATAAATCCCAGCATTTTGGGAGGCTGAGGTGGGAGGATTGCTTGAGTCCAGGAATTCAAGACTGGTCTGAGCAACATAGTGAGACCTCGTCTCTACAAAAAAATATTTTTTAAAAATTAGCCGGACATGGTGGCTCATGCCTGTGGTCCTAGCTACTCGGGAGGCTGAGGTGGGAGGACCGCTTGAGCCCAGGAGGTGGAGGCTGCCATAAGCCATGTTCATACCACTTCACTCCAGCCTAGGTGACAGAGTAAGACCCAGTCTCAAACAAAAAAAAAAAAAAAAGAAAAACTTGTATTATCTTTTCAATTTTTTTCCTAATTCAATAAATAAAAAACAGACATTGTTTTTCATCTAAATTTCTTAAATTAATAATAAGGTTGAACATTTTGCATATTTATAGGCCACTTTAAAATTTTTTTTCATGAATTTTCTATTCATGTTCTTTGCTTATTTTTCTATGTGGAATATTTGACTTTATTATTGCTTTGTAAGAACACTTTACATATTAAGGTATTAGCTCTGCTGCTATGCTTATTGTAAAATATTTTCACAGTTTGTCTGTAGTCTTTTTTTGTTTTACTTATCGTTTTTACTTAAAGAAAATATAGTTTTTGTTAACTCAGATTTATCCTCTTTCAGCATGATTCTCTTTGCTTTTTATTCTTATAGAGCCAATTTTTTACTTGTGGAAAAAACAAATATTCACCTATGTTAAAGGCTTAAGAATACGAAATTGCTGGTTGTTTTTATTTTATTTATTTTTATTTTTTTTGAGACAGAGTCTTGCTCTGTGGCCCAGGCTGGAGTGTGTGATCTCTGCACACTGCAACCTCCGCCTCCCAGGTTCAAGCAATTCTGCTGTCTCAGCCTACAGAGCAGCTGGGACTACAGGTGCATGCCACCATGCCCAGCTAATTTTTGTAATTTTAGTAGAGATGGGGTTTCACCATATTGGTCAGGCTGGTCTCAAACTCCTGACCTCAGATGAACCACCTGCCCAGCCTCCCAAAGTGTTGGGATTACAGGCGTGAGCCACCGCCCAGGCCTGCTGGTTCTTTTTAAAAGAATGGTATCCTGACATTTAAAAACCTACCATAAACTTAATGAAAGCAGGTTTGTGTCTATCTTCACTATTGAATCCCAGTATCTTGCTTGATGCCTGCCATATAGGAAACACCCAATCCCTATTTGTGGGATGAATCCATTTCTTTTTATCAGATTATAGCAAATATAAAGCCACAATGAGATGTCACGTCACACCCGTTAGGATGGCTATTTTCAAGAAGACCAAAGAAAATAAGTATTGGCAAAGACGTGGAGAAAAGGGAACCCTTGTCTCCTGCTGGTGGGAATGTAAATTAGTACAGCCATTATGGAAAATAGTAGGGAGGCTCCTCAAAAAACCACAACTAGAACTACTATATGACCCGGCAATCCCACTGCAGGACATATATCCAAAGGAATTGAAGTCAGTGTATCGGAGAGTTATCTGTACTCTTATGTTCATTGCAGCGTTATTCACTAAGCCAAGATACGGAATCAACCTAAGTGCCCATCATTGGATGAGTGAATAAAGAAAACATGGTATATAAACACAGTGGAATACCATTCTACCTGAAGAAAGAAGGAAATCCTGTCATTTGTGCCAACGGGGATGAACCTGGAGGATGTTAAGTGAATAAGTCAGGCACAGAGTGACAAATATAGCATGATCTCACTTATATGTGGAATCTGAAAAAGTCAAACTCATAGAAACAGAGAGTACAGGGGTGGCTACCAGAAAGTGAGGGTAGAGGGACTGGAGAGGTATCCTTTGGCCAAAGGATACAAAATTTCAGGTAGACGGGAGGAATAAATTCAAGAGATCTGATGTACAATATGGTGCCTATACTTGGTAATGATATGTTATATATTTGAAAATTGCTGAGAGTGGATTTTAAGTGTTCTCACTGCAAAAAAAGTGTGATATAATGCATGTTAAATAGCTCGATTTAGCCATTCCACAATGTATACATATATGGAAACCTGTTGTACACCATAAGAATATACAATTTTTACTTCTCAATTAATAAAGAGAGGCAGAGAGGCTCACACCTGTAATCCTAGCACCTTGGGAGGTCAAGGCAGGAGGATGGATTGAGCCAGGAGTGTGAGACCAGCCTGGGCAACATAGCGAGTCCTGTCTCTACAAAAATTTTTTAAAATTAGCCAAGCATGGTGACTTGCGCCTGTGGTCCCACTTTCTTGGGAGGCTGAGGTGGGAGGATCATTTGAGCCTGGGAGGTCGAGGCTGCAGTGAGCTGTGCTCACGCCACTGCGCTCCAGCCTGGGCACAGAGCAACACCCTATCTCTAAAAATACGTAAATAAATAGTGTCCCTCAGGACAGCTATCTGTGGAAGACACCCTTTTAGTCAAATAGATTTGGGAAATTTTAAAACAGTATATATGCCCTTTTGATTATCCTCTGTGGCACATTTGCCAACGGAAGGCCCCAAGAAATGCTGACCAAAAAACCTGTGCATTTAGTTTTAAAACTAGTGGGTTTCATACTCTTTTGTTTGTTTTAACCTTGAAGCACCCCCCACCCCCCACCGCATCTCGTCCCCCCACAACATAATCTTCTCTCAAACGCATGTTGTGCTGGACCACACCAGAGTTAATCCTGACCTGTAGCCAGGTGGGCATAGATAAAAGGAAATATTGTTTGCCAGTCCCTGCTGGAATGATGCCTTTACACATCTGTCTGATCTGATTGCTCCACTGTTTTCTTTCTTCTCTTCCCTTTCCACGGTTCTAGCCTGTTCATCTAGCCCCATGATGGCTGTGGACATCGAGTACAGATACAACTGCATGGCTCCTTCCTTGCGCCAAGAGAGGTTTGCCTTTAAGATCTCACCAAAGCCCAGCAAACCACTGAGGCCTTGTATTCAGCTGAGCAGCAAGAATGAAGCCAGTGGAATGGTGGCCCCGGCTGTCCAGGAGAAGAAGGTGAAAAAGCGGGTGTCCTTCGCAGACAACCAGGGGCTGGCCCTGACAATGGTCAAAGTGTTCTCGGAATTCGATGACCCGCTAGATATGCCATTCAACATCACCGAGCTCCTAGACAACATTGTGAGCTTGACGACAGCAGAGAGCGAGAGCTTTGTTCTGGATTTTTCCCAGCCCTCTGCAGATTACTTAGACTTTAGAAATCGACTTCAGGCCGACCACGTCTGCCTTGAGAACTGTGTGCTCAAGGACAAGGCCATTGCAGGCACTGTGAAGGTTCAGAACCTCGCATTTGAGAAGACCGTGAAAATAAGGATGACGTTCGACACCTGGAAGAGCTACACAGACTTTCCTTGTCAGTACGTGAAGGACACTTATGCCGGTTCAGACAGGGACACGTTCTCCTTCGACATCAGCTTGCCCGAGAAGATTCAGTCTTATGAAAGAATGGAGTTTGCTGTGTACTACGAGTGCAATGGACAGACGTACTGGGACAGCAACAGAGGCAAGAACTATAGGATCATCCGGGCTGAGTTAAAATCTACCCAGGGAATGACCAAGCCCCACAGTGGACCGGATTTGGGAATATCCTTTGACCAGTTCGGAAGCCCTCGGTGTTCCTATGGTCTGTTTCCAGAGTGGCCAAGTTACTTAGGATATGAAAAGCTAGGGCCCTACTACTAGTGACTGCAGGTGACAGGGCGTGGCGGAGCTGCCACAGACAAGCCTAGCTCTGCTCACTGTGCAGTGGAGATGGAAGGCCAGGGAGGAGCAACGTGGAACTTCCATGAGGCCCCGTTTGGGAAAATAAAAGGATCCTCTTCACTTCTTTCTTAAACAGCAAATCCAGCCAGGTTCAGATTACACAACCAGTGTCTCACTCAAAGGAGCAGTGGTGGCTGGCGCGCTTTCGCACTGTGGCAGCCACGAGAGTCTGTGCACGTCTGTGCTGGAAAGGGTATGGATGGGAATCAAGCCTATGCCAGTGCTGATGAAGCTGGAGGAGTCTCTCCTCTGCTCTCCACTCAGATGTGGGACATCAGTCGCCAAAAGCCACTCAGCCCCAGCCACCTCGCGTGAGACCCTCACTGTTCATTGTGTTCATCTTTGGGTGCTCTCTGCCAGCCAGGCCTTTCCTGCAAGCTGCTGTGCTTCCCCGTCCACGTGTATCTCTGCTGTGACACACTGAGCTGACGCACATTTCCAGTGCAGCTGCAGAAGAGAAATGGGATTGGCTCTTGTTTTCTGCAAGTTCATGTTTTGCATTTTATGTTCTTCCACAATTGATCTGATGTTCAGGAAAAGATAATAAAGGCAAATTAGTTAGTGGTTGAGACAGGCATTTCCTCCTCCCGCTTCTTGACCCCACAGATGTATTCCAGCAGAGAGCAACACACCAGTCATCAAAACCCACTGGCTCCTGTGCGGTGTCACAGATTGCAGGGTTCTGACAAGGCAGGACAGTCAAGAGTGGGGACACTTTCAGCTTCTACTTTTGCCTTCTAGGGGGAGCTTTCTAAGTCCCCACATTTACCCCGAGTCACCGGAAAAATCTGATTTTTCCCCCGAAAGCTCAATGACTTTAACGTGCTTGGCTGGTTTGTCTCATTCTTTATGAAAGAATTTTGGGGCCGGGCGCGGTGGCTTATGCCTGTAATCCCAGCACTTTGGGAGGCCGAGGCAGGTGGATCACGAGGTCAGGAGATCGAGACCATCCTGGCTAACACGGTGAAACCCTGTCTCTACTAAAAATACAAAAAAATTAGCCAGGCGTGGTGGCGGGCGCCTGTAGTCCCAGCTACTTGGGAGGCTGAGGCAGGAGAATGGCGGGAACCTGGGAGGCGGAGCTTACAGTGAACCGAGATCACACCACTGCATTCCCGCCTGGGCAGCAGAGCGAGACTCCGTCTCAAACAGAAAAAAAAAGAGAATTTTGAATCTCCTTTCCCAAAGAGTCATCTTTTCTGCTGTGTTTAGGACATTTGATTTGCATATCCAATATCTCCTCGAAACCTTCAGAAAATGGTTTTATCGTGACTGTGATTCACACTATCTAGAACACTTTACCAGCACCCAGGGACATGGACTTGGGTGTTCTTATTTATGGTGTGTATGTAAAGAGATAGGGGAGAAAAACCTCACCCAAGTTCTTATACGTTATTTTAAACGTTTGCCAACTCTGAAATTTCAGAGATTCATTGTTCTTAACCATATTGGACTAAAGTCTGTTGGTTAGTGCTGTTGTAAAAGAGACCTCTGGGGCCGAGTGTGGTGGCTTATGCCTGTAATCCCTGCACTTTGGGAAGCCAAGGCGGGCAGCTCACCTGAGGTCAGGCGTTCAAGACCAGCCTGGCCAACATGGTGAAACCTCGTCTGTACTAAAAATACAAAATTTAGCTGAGTGTGGTGGCAGGCGCCTGTAATCCAGCTACTCGGGAGGCTGAGGCAGGAGAATCACTTGAACCCAGGAGGTGGAGGTTGCAGTGAGCCGAGATCACGTCACTGCATTTCAGCCTGAGCGACAGAGTGAAACTGTCTCAAAAAAGAGAGACTTCCGGGACAGTCATTATCAGATAGGCCCCAAACCTGTGATTTTTCTTGGGCAAGATTGGTGTTTACTTAGGGGTGCTTTAAAAATATATTTTTACAAGTATACTTGTAGGAAGTTGGTTTTTTATTTTCTATTTTTGTTTGTTTTTGGAGTTTGGTTAAACGACTCTTTTATTTTCTGTTTTGCCTTATCTTACTAAAGTGAAGTTTTCCTAAGGCAAGCAAGAAGAGGAGTGGAAGCACAGTTGCCTGGATTTGGAGGCAGAGTTGTCAGGCTTTTCAAGCTAAGAGTCTTGTGCTTGGATTTTCCAGATTAATTTGAAAAGACCTCCCATTTGTGGCTTTGTACATAACCAACAGGCAGATACTGAGTGCCTTGGCTCCTAGAGTTTTGTGGTTGGGTTAGGTTGTTTTTGTTGTTGTTTTGTTTTGGTTTTGTTTTCATTTCTGAAGTTTAAGATGCCTTGACTTTTTAAATGCTCTTAAGGCTATTCGATGTAATTCTTACTCCTAAAACTGGCTGTTCTTAGCCTGAAATCTAATGCTTTGTTTTTTGTACCTCTCCCAGGTGGGTAACACTCTAGGATGACATGATGTTATAATTTTAGGGGAAATCACATTTTTACCTTATGCTGTTACTGGGCAGAACCACGTTTTATGTAAACATACCAGACATCGGGTAACAGACAGTACTTTAAATGTTATAAATTTGGTGATCAGAACTATTAATAGCATAAATCGAACTCAAATGGAAGCAAAACTGATTTCATGCAGGTCCTGAATTTTACTTTGCCTTAAGAAGTGCCCTCCCCACAATGCAGGAGAGGCACAGAGTGCACTGTCATTGACATGTTACCCGACTAAGGATCACTCTGTTCATAAGAAAAAGGCCTGAAGTGACTCTGTTTAATAAAGTCAGTTTAATTTTATCTAATAATGATCTTAAGACATTCCCATGTCAAAATTTGAAATATGGTAATTCAGTGATAACTATCTCTTCTAAAGCAGCCGTAAACCCTCCCCACTACCCGTCTTTCTCCCAGCTCACCCTGGCTTTTTTTGCTGGGGGTGCTGGATGCAAGCCCCCAGCCAGCACACCTGGGATGCTCACCCTGCCGCACAGTTCAGAAGGCAAGTCCTCACCTGCTCGCAAAGACCCTTCTTCTCCAATAAAAGACTCTACTTGCCTGAGTTTCCTCATCAGGGCTGTCATTCAGTGATGTATGGGGGTCTGAAGAATACTGCCTTCTATCTGTCTTCTGTTTACCACTTGCTCCTCTGCTACCCTCCTGCCGCAAACAGTCTTCTTCCTTTTGGCCCAGTTCTGTCCCGTGAAATTCTCAGAAGGCCTCGGGAGCTGCGCTGATGTATTCTCTCCTTGTTTGATAGCTCATCATCAGTAGATAAGCCTACACACTTCAGAGGGTGACAGGTTTCTTACTTGGAGACTTCACTGCACCTTGACTTGTAGATTTGCCTTCAGACAGCTCTTGGTTATGGTTACAAGTGGCCCCCGAGTCCCAGAATCTTTCCCAGGTTGCCCCAGAAAGACCAGCCACCTGTCACAGGTGCAGTTGTCCGGCAATAGGGAAGCAACTTCATTTTTGTTTTATATTTATTCCCTCAAGTGCCCTGAGGAGCATTTGCAAACTGGGTACAATAAATAAGCTGGATTATACAAAGATATTTAATAAATAAGCTTTCAGTATCTATTGGAAGACATGAAGCATTTGAGTGGGTTTCTTTATTTAAAAAATTATTCTACTGGAGCTGGTGAGAAATAATGAAGCTGTACAGTTCTCCAGAAATTAAAACAATGTCAGAGTCAATGGGAGAATTTAATTTACCTTTAAGATTTCATTTTAATGGTGGCAAAATTATACATTCTTAGAAGATGTAAATTTGGAACTGTTAGGAGATTGCTCTGTGGTTTTGATCTTTTCAAACCATTTTCTTTTTGAAAAAAGGCATTAGTTGTAGTCATGGACATTAAATGGGCCATATATGCTTATCAATCAAAAAAGTGTTCCTTTTTTGGAACTGCCCATTTTCTGGATCTTCCCTCTCAATGGATAGGGGATGAAAACCTTGGTTGCCTTTTATTTGTTTCCTCTTCTAAAATTTCTCACCTGAATGTAGTCCTGGGAGAGTCCCGATCACGTCTCTCCTGACATGTTCACTGAAATCGGAGACAAGAAGTTACATGGATGATGGGATCTTATAGGGTCACACAAAGACAATTTGGCAGCTTATCTTAATTTCCTGCAGTGAGACAACACATGTGGAACTGGGAAGGACAGCTGTTGTTACGAGCAGTTTTTCCTGGTCATGGTTGTAAAGCTCTGTAACCCACATTGTAAAGCCGTGAATGTTTTTAGTCTTGTTGACGAGTTTTTAGAGACTGCTGGACCTCTGAGGGCTTTGAGAGTGCAGCTGTGATGATGTTTCACTATTACTTCAGTGTGAATGTAGAACCAAGGACTCATCTTCATTTTATACCTAAAAGTGCCTTGTCAAGAAATTTTTGCATGTTTTAAAAGATAAATATTTTTGTACACAGAGTTCAAGGGGAAATGCACTTTAAAAATCCCAAGAATGGATGTTCTTTGTGTGGTATGAGAGGTTGGTTTGTATCTCAAAAGCAAAAATGTAATAAAGGAAGACAAAACAAAACTGAAAGTGTCCTTCTATTCTTAGAGCCAGAGTAAGTGGAGAAACATTTCAAATCGATATGTTTCCACATGTAGATCTTAGGTTTCCAAAGAAAAAGCTTGCAGTCAATGGCTGAGTTAAATGTGCAAGGCAGAGAGGAGTTAATTGCTTTAGCATAGCTGAGAAGGTAAGTGCTAGGGAAGAGATACAGGAGCTAGTGTTATTCTGCACCCATTTTTAATGATCCTAGGTCATAGGCATTCTTACCCTGTCATTTGCACTTGAAGTACAGTGCAGACAGACGTATTCAAACAAAAGCAGGAAAACTATAAATGGCTACCATAGCTTTTAACTGCTTGAGCAAACAAACTAAGCAGCAAAACAAAACAGCCCCGGATAGGTAGCGGATAGTCACCCTAAGTGAGATTTCCAGAGCTGCTTTTTTCCAAAGTTCAGGACAAGATGCAGGCAGAGTGGGGGTGGGAAGCTGCATCTAGAAGTTCCATGTCAACAAGTCCTCTGCCACCCTGGGGAAGTGGGCGGTGGCTCCAGTGGAAAGGCAGAGTGTATTAAAGTTTAGCAGCTAGTGTGTAGATGCAAAAAGTGAGCTCCGTACGTAACTTTCTCCAGATTTTTACACTCTGCCCACAACTTGCCTTCACAGACATAGGAAGGGTGGAGACGTTAACTCTGGCTTTCGTGAATGTCTATTTGAGGTTCAGTGAGGTTTTAATAATCATTACCTAATCATAAGTTGTGAGACCAACACCTCAGGAATGTCTGGAATAAAAATAAGAAAAAAACACTTTTCTAGAGCAATGTCTCCAGAATGGCAAATGTCCAGCTCTGAGTAATTCAATTGAACATTTACCACTCAGCTTCCATATACAAAGCAGTGCCAGGTGCTTTTCCCACAACCCCCACAGAGGACATTCACATATTCCGGGTGACGCCTCTGGTGAGCATGGAGAGCCACTGGAAGGTATTGGAATTCAGGAAGTCTGGCTTCCAATCCAAGCTCTGCCACCGACCTCTTTGGCTTCCCATCTCCTGTCAGTGGCTCTACTGAAGGGGCCCTGAGCATGTTTAGTAGGAATAAGGTAACCAGGGGCTCTAGCAGTGCCCTGAATGCTTTTGAGAGTCAGCCAACATGTTCATTTTTAAGAGGTTTCTAAATATAGACTCTCATAAGAAGTACCTTGTACACTATTTGTGTCCTCTCCAGGAATCACGGGAGTGAATCACATTCCAGACACTTGCTTGGACTTCATCACATCCTCAGTGACTGGGCTGGAAGAAATATCACAGAGCTCTCTTTTTATGGGTAAAGAGAGGAAGGTGGCTGGGCACAGTGGCTCACATCTGCAATCCCAGCACCTTGGGAGGATAGCTTGAGGCTAGGAGTTCGAGACCAGCCTGGGCAACATAGTGAGACCCCATCTCTTAAAAAAAAAAAAATTTAATAGCTGGGTGTGGTACCGTGTCTGTATACCAGCTGTTCAGGGGGCTGAGGCAGGAAGATGACTTGAATCAGGAGTTCGAGGCTTCAGTGAGCTGTGATTGTACCACTGCTCTCTAGGCTGGGCAACAGTGTGAGACTCTGTCACCAAAAAAAAAAAAAAAAAAAAACAAAGAAAGAGCGAGAGAGTGAGAGACAAAGGCCCTGAGTGAGTTTCTTCAAGTCCCAGAGCCCATCAGTGACTGAGCCAGGAGGACGACATAAGTCTTTGTTCCAAGAACTGTCCCTGTGAACCAGAATCAATCTCATAGAACTGAGAGACCAAGATGATGATTCTCAAAAGTTGTCCCCCATGCTGGAGAGATACAGTTTCCAGGAAAGGAGTGAACATAATCATTTTTCTACAGGAAAAGCTGCATTCCTCCCAAGGGCTTCCTCAGCACGTACTAGGACCACAGACCGTGTAGAAGTATGAAAGTTAGAATGAAATGATGTGGGTCTACGAGGGCCTGATTAAACCTCAGGCTAAATTGGTGGAAGGAAACCACCAAGGAACCGTGGCTGCAGGGGCATTCCAGGAGAGAGGCCGAATTCTTGGCCGCAGCATTCCCTTCCACCAGAATAGAAACCCTGTGTGGCACGGAAAGGCTTTAAGTAAACCTCATTCCTTCTTGTCACCTCCCCTTGGAGGAGAAGAGAGAGAGGGAAACTCAACAGATGCCTTTTGCTTTCTGCATGGGATTCTCTGGTAAGTGACATGCTTGCATTGATGTTGTTCATTCCACAAACACTACTTTGCCTCTCTAGCACTGGGGGACCCGGGGCTGGGCCTTGGATTTGGCAAAGGTAGGATGAGGATACAGAATCGTCAAAATTCTCTGGGGCCAAAGGCATCAATAATGATCCAAGATCTCAGCCCTCTACCCAAAGCTACAAGATCAAGTGGCCGGGTTGGGGGTCGGCAACCTTTTCCTGTAAAGAACTAGGTAGTGAATGTTTTAGGTTTTGCGGGCCACTTGTGGTCTCTGTCACATATTTGTTTTTATTTAAATGCCCTTTAAAAATGTAAAAACCGTTCTTAGCTCGTGGGCCATACTAAAGCAGGACCAGGGCAGACTTTGTCCCTCAGGCCATGGTTCGCCAGCCCCAAGCAAGAGTCACATAGGAAGAGAATTGAGAGCCGACTTGCTGAAGTCTTGAGGCCGCAGGTTATTTTCAGTGGCTTGCTTTCTTTTCTTTTTAAGATGATCATATAATTTATGATCTAAACTGGGACGCTTTCGAGAATGAATGAGGCTCCTGTGAGTTAGCCAGGAGCACCCGGTGTACACTAGGAACACCTTGGGCAAACCTGACAGCACGATCCCTGTCCGAGCTCACCTCTCCTCTGGGATCTTCTTAGACCTCTCCAGAGCTCGGAAAGACCAGGCTGGTCTTGTGCCGGGAATCAGTTCTGGCTGGATTGTGCTCTTTTTGGATGGGTTATCATGGAGTGGTGATTTAGTCTGTGGTTTAGATTTGTTTTTATCGCTTGGTTTTCTTTCCTAATTGTAGTGCTGGTGGCCAAAAGCCCTCTGGAAATTTCAGCCAATTCACTCTTAACAGTAGCTTCTTTAGGAGGAAAGGGGTGATTCATGGTTTGGGCTTATTTCCTACCAGTGCTTTTCCTCCACCTCTCCCCCGTGCCCAACAAATCGAGGCTGGCCAGGCTCCCGAGGAAGCTGCTCATTGTGGACAGAGACATTGAGGTCGGATCTTGCAGTATTCCAAAACCCAAGTCCCCAGAAAGTAACATCAAAGCGCTCCTAGGAATTTAACTAACTCCAGGGTCTCAGCTCATCTTTCTCTAGCCCAGCAAGTTCAAGAGGCCTTAATTAAGCACCGCAGGAGACCAAGGAGGTAGAAATTCATCTCTGAAGTGCTCTCTCTGGGCCCTGGCCCTGAAGACCCCCTGCTTTCCTGGTGGCACCACGAGGGGCAGGCACACATGCTCTTCCATTTCACCTCTGTTGCCTCCTCCCGCTGGTATTTACCGTTACTCCCATGCTGAAGGTGGGTCTGTAATGCCGAGGACCCTAACATTAGTGCTGAAGGGTCCTGGAAAGGCTTCAGGAATCCCCAGACATATCAAAGTGGAACTCTTCACCACCAGAGGAGGGTTAGTTTTCCAGCATCCATCCGAATATCACACATCACCACCTGCACTGCTAGAGCTGATCAGGAAGAAAAACCGGTCACTGCTTCAGACGGGCTCCCTTCCAGAGTCACTGTGTGGATTGCCTTCTGGTCAACATCTTGGTCTCATCTGAGTGTGGAATTAGCCAGTTGAAATTTCACTGATTTTATTATCATTACACCATTTTATTATAAATTATTATATTAATTCTTCATCATTAGTCAATTATTTATTGAACCTATTACTGAAAGAATTCTCCTAATTTTTGTTTTTTGTTTTTGTTTTCACATAGAGTCTCACTCTGTCACCCAGGCTGGAGTGCAGTGGCACAATCTTGGCTCACTGAAACTGCCACCTCCCATCTCCCAAATATTTTCATAAGATCTTTTTGAACACTGCTTTGCACGTTTGCTCATGCAACTAAGTGTTTGTTCACACAAATTTTCCAGGGGCTTTTCTCATCAATTGATCAATCACCTCACCACCTTGGGCTCTCGTCGCTTCTATTGGTCACACACTATATTACACACACAGACTTTGAAAACAAACATTTTTTAAACAGTATTTTCTCCAGAAAAAAGTCCCTCTCATCCTGGTTGATTTTCCCACTTTGAAATGTCATGGCTTTGCCCCAGGCCTTCTGTAAGGCAGGACACACTCTGTCCTCCCTGGGCAAGCAACACTGAATAAGTGACATTCTGCTGTCAGTGGCAGAAGCCAGACAGACAATGACAGGGGGCACTCATTCCAGCCCTCCAGGACACCACTCACGCCTCATCTCAGCCTCTGCACTCCCTCCACCAGACAGGGAATGCAGAGGCCCAGGTCTCCAGCTGCAACCTCAGTCCTGTGCAGCTGAACTCAGACATGAGCCGCTGGTGGTTTTCTAACATTTTATGAAGACATGGAATGTGTTCTTAAATCAAATCCAATGTGAAGCCATGGACAAGTAGGTAGAAAACAGGGCCGGGCGCGGTGGCTCATGCCTGTCATCCCAGCAATTTGGGAGGCTGAGGCGGGCGGATTACGAGGTCAGGAGATCGAGACCATCCTGGCTAACATGGTGAAACCCCGTCTCTACTAAAAAATGCAAAAAAATTAGCCAGGCGTGTGGCGGGCTCCTGTAATCCCAGCTACTGAGGAGGCTGAGGCAGGAGAATGGCGTGAACCCGGGAGGCGGAGCTTGCAGTGAGCCGAGATTGCACCGCTGCACTCCAGCCTTGGGGCCACAGAGCAAGACTCCGTCTCAAAAAAAAGAAAGAAAAAGAAAAAAAAGAAAATAGGCCGCCCAAGATAGAAATCGCACCCATTTCCCCCCTCCCTGAAGCATCTCCTGAGAGCCCTAGGGCCCCAGAAATACGGGTGTAAACCCTTTCCTTCCCACACAGGAATTCCACTCTCCCGCCTCCTAGGCTAATGAATGTGGTTGAAGGATATCCTATAGAAAAAGGCAAAAGCAAGTGAACAAGCAAAACCTGCATGGGAAGGAAACACAGCTGTGGACCCCAAAATAAATGTGGACTCTGGTTATGTTTTCCTTCTGTTCTCAAGGATACGTATCATGTCCTTTCACAAAAAAAAAAATTGGCTTGTTCACACAGAACCACACTTGAGCTGCCTATTATATATATGTGATTTATATTTACATTCATACATTAAACTGCTTGACAGGGCAACGTCTATTCCACACTAATATAACACATAAGACAAAATTATTGAGTGCCTCTATGGGCAAGGGTATGACTGGGAATAAGTACTCTATGGGCATGTAGAAAGAGATAGCATGTCATTGTCACCAAGCTATTTAGAATCCTCCAATAGTTACTTTAGTCTTTGCCCAAATTATACATTTTTTACTCCATTTGCTTGCATCTAAGACCAGAGAGTCCTCATGTTTCCTTTTTACAATTTAAACTGTTGTTTTGAAATAATGGCAGATTCACATGCAGTTTTAAGAAATAATACAGACAGGTTCCATGTAACATTGACTCAGTTTTCCCCAGTGGTAACATCAGGCAAAACTAGAATACAGTATCACAACCAGGATATTGACGTTAATCCAGTCAGGATATACTTTTTACTTTGTTTTTGAGAGAGAGGGTCTCAGTGTCACCCAGGCTGGAGTGTAGTGATGCGATCATGGCTCACTGCAGCCTCAACCTCCCAGGCCCAGGCAATCCTCGCACCTCAGCCTACCAAGTAGCTGGGACCACAAGTGTGTGCCACCATGCCTGCTAATGTTTTGTATATATATATATATATTTTAATGTAAATGGGATTTTGCCACATTACCCAGGCTGGTCTCAAACTCCTGGACTCAAGTGACCCTCCTGCCCCAGCCTCCCAAAGTGCTAGGATTACAGGCATGAGCCACTGCTCCCGGCCCCAGTCAGGATATAGAACCACAAGGATCTTTCATGTCCTTTGTAACCACAGCTCCTCTCCTCTCCCTGGCTTTTCTCCTCCCCCACCCCACTCCCACCATGGTCCTTGACCCTGGCAACCACGAATCTGTTCTCCATTTCTTTCATTTTGTCAGTTCAAGAATGTTATATAAGTGGAATCCTACATGTAAACTTTGAGGATTGGCTTTCCCCACAGTTTATTTCCCTGGAGATTCATCCAAGTTGGTCCATGTATCAACAGTTTGTTCCTTTTCATTGCTGAGGACTATTCCACAGTACAGATTAATAATATACTGATGAGCGTTTGAGTTGTGTCTAGTTTGGGTTTATTATGAATAAAGCTATTATGGACATTCATGTACAGCTTTTTGTGCAAATACACATTTTTCATTTCTCTGGGATGGATGCTCAAGAGTGAAATTTCTGGGTTTATGGCAGTCTCATGTTTAGTTTTATAAGAAACTGCCAAACTATTTTCTGGAGTGGCTATACTATTTTACAATGCCACCAGTAACGTATCCGGTTTCTCTGCATCCTCGTCAGCTTTTTGTGTTGTCACTGTTTTTATTTATTTATTTAGAGGCAGAGTCTCACTATGTTGCCCAGGCTGAACTTGAACTCCTGGGCTCACACAGTCTTATAGGTATGCACCACACCTGACCACTGTTGTGACTACTTTTTATTTTAGCAATTCTGAACGGCATGTAGTAACATCTCATCGTGGTTTTAATTTACATTACCTCAGTGGTTAATTATGCCAAAGCTTTTTGTGTGCTTCTTTGCCGAATGTATATCTTATTTAGTGAAATGTATGTATGTCTTTGGCCCATTTTCTAAGTAGACTGGGGTTTTTTTCTTTCACTATTGAGTTTTGAGAGATCTTTGTATATTCCAGGTGCTAGTCTTTTGTCATATGTGTTATTTGAAAATATTTCTCTCAGTCTGTAGCCTGCCTTTTCATTCTCCTCACATGGACTTTCTCATAGTAAAGTTTACTTTTTATCTATTTTTTCCTTTGTGGGATCACGCTTCTGATGTCAAGTATAAGAACTCTTTGCCTAGGCCTACATCTCAAAGATTTTTTCCTTTGCTGTCCTCCAAAAGTTTTATAGTTTTACATTTTAAATTTACAAATATGATGCATTCTGAGTTAAATTTGATAAGGTGAGAGGTTTGGGTTGAGGTTTATTTTTTTGCCTATACATGTCCACTTACTTCAGTACCATTTGTTGAAAAGGCTTTCTTTTGCGTCTTTGTCAGAAAGCAGCTGGAGATATTTACATAGGTTTATTTATGGGTTCTTTCATATTTATATAGGTTAATTTATGGGTTCTCTATTCTGTTTCAATTATGTATATACCTATCCCTGAACAATACCATAATATCTTGAGTACTGTGGCTATATAGTAAAACCTAATATGAGATAGAGTAATTCCTCACACTTTATTCTTTTTTTTTTTTTTTTTTTTGAGATGGAGTCTTGCCTTGTCACCCAGGCTGGAGTGCAATGGCGCGATCTCAGCTCACTGCAAGCTCCGCCTCCAGGGTTCACGCTATTCTCCTGCCTCAGCCTCCCGAGTAGCTGGGACTACAGGCGCCCGCCACCATGCCCGGCTAATTTTTTGTACTTTTAGTAGACACGGGGTTTCACCGTGTTAGCCAGGATGGTCTCGATCTCCTGACCTCGTGATCCGCCCTCCTCGGCCTCCCAAAGTGCTGGGAGCCCCAAGATTTTTTTTAAATTCTAGAATTTGTGTCTTTTCATATAAACTCTAGAGTAACCTTGTCTCTGTCTACAAAAACTGTTGCTGGGGTTTTGATCAAAATTGCATTACATCTGGCCGGGCGCGGTGGCTCACGCCTGTAATCCCAGCACTTTGAGAGGCTGAGGCGGGCGGATCACGAGGCTGAGGCAGGAGAATGGCGTGAACCCGGGGGGCGGAGCCTGCAGTGAGCCGAGATGGCGCCACTGCACTCGAGCCTGGGCGACAGCGAGACTCCGTCTCAAAAAAAAAAAAAAAAAATTGGATTACATCTGTCGATCAATTTGGGAAGAATTGACCTTTTTCTACATTTAGTCTTTTAATCCATAAACATAGTATGTCTCTCCATTTATCTAGATATTCTTTAATTTCTTTAATAAGCATTTTGTTATTTTCAGTACAGAAATCCTTCACATAAGTATTTCATTTTATTTGGAGTGACTTATGTTGTGTTCTAATTTTGGTTTCTGGATGTTCATTTTTATAAATAGAAATGCAATTAATTTTTATGTGTCAATCTTATATCCTGCAAGGTTGCTGGATTCACTTATTAATTCTAGGAGTTTTCACAGATTACTTGAGATTGTCTATGTAGATAATCATGTCGTCTGAAAACAGGGGCAGTTTAATTTCTTCCTTTCCAATCTTTACAGTATTCATTTATTTATCTTGCACTCTTGCAATAGCTAGAGTTTCTAGCACCATGTTGAATAAGGGTGGTGAGAGTAGACATCCTTGCCTTGTTTCTAACCTTAGACAGGAAGCAGTCTTTCACCATTAAGCATGATGTTACCTGTAGGCTTTTAATAGCTACTCTTTATCAAGCTACAGAAGATTTCCTTTATTCCTAGTTTGCTGAGAGTTTTTATCATGAGTACGTGTTGGCTTTTGTCGAATGCTTTTTCTGTGTCAATTGATATAACTGTGTGATTTTTTCTTTCTTTGCAGCGGATTATATGGATTGATTTTTTAAATATTGACCTAAATTTGCATACTTGAAATAAATTTTGTCATGGTGTTTAAGTCTTTTAATATACTTCTAGATTTGATTTGCTAATATTTTGTTGGGGATTTTTGTATCTAAGTTTGTAAGCCATATTAGTCTTTTTTTTTTTTTTTTTTTTTGTATCAGTGTAATACTAGCCTCATAAGATGAAGTGATAAGCATTCCCTCCCCTTTTGTTTTCAGGAAGAAATTGTGTAAAATTGTTAAATTTTCGCCGGGCGCGGTGGCTCATGCCTGTAATCCCAGCACTTTGGGAGGCCGAGGCAGGCGGATCACGAGGTCAGGAGATTGAGACCATCCTGGCTAACACGGTTAAACCCCGTCTCTACTAAAAATACAAAAAAATTAGCTGGGCGTAGTGGTGGGTGCCTGTAGTCCCAGCTACTCGGGAGGCTGAGGCAGGAGAATGGCGTGAACCCGGGAGGCGGAGCTTGCAGTGAGCCGAGATGGTGTCACTGCACTACAGTCTGGGCGACAGAGCAAGACTCCGCCTCAAAAAAAAAAAGAAAAAAATTTTATTTAAATGCTCAATGGAATTCACCATGGAAACCTTCTGGGCCTAGAAATTTCCTTTTTGGGAGCTTTTAAATTATAGTTGAATATCTTTATTAGTTACAGGACGTAATAAGTAGTATTTTCATTAAATATTTTTGCACACTTTCTCATACATTTGAACACTCAATAAATATTTAATCAACTGTTTTTCTCAGTGGATTTTGCAAAGACCCTTTCTAAATTAAAAGGGACATCACAATAACCAATCATATAAACTAATTCTTAGTAAAATAAAATGCTCTCGTCTCCTGTGCAAAGTTCTTGTTCTGTTTTTTGTAGTTTCTAACAGCTTTGATATTTTAGGCAAGTCAGAACTTGCCTAAACAAACGCTTCATTAACAAACCTTTTTTATGTGTGATTACTCTGGTATTTTCTACTCTATTCTATATTATTTTTAAAAAATACTGGTTGCAACTCATTAAATTGATTTCAGGACCCACTAATGGGCTACAACCTGCAATTTGAAAAACAGTGATTTAAATATTCTCTCATGTCCCTTCTACTTCAGATATTTGCTACTAAATGTGTCTACTGCTTTATTCTCTTGACTACAACACAAAGCATATTAGACACCTACAGCACTGTTATTTTACAATTTATTTTCAAATCACTTCCAAAGTCGATTTAAGATAGTTTACAATAAATGCAGAGTTATGTTTTTAAGGGAAAAGGGAAAAATGAGAAATGATGGAGAAAGTACTTTTCCACTTTTCAGGAATTAAAATAGTCATGGAAAGAAAAATAAAGTATCAGGAAATACAGGTATCAAGTCATTTAGTCTAAATTACTTCTCACTGTACTTTGTTAAAAGGAGATCAGAATTTCAAAGACCAGAAGAGGTTGCTGAGAGTGGAATTGTCCAGCCATTGCAGCCCTCCTTCCACGGGAGAAAAGAAAGAGGTCTTGGACAAATGTGGGATTCCTGTGGTCTGGAAGTAAATCTGAGGTAAATAGACCATCTCTCCACCACCAGAGCCTGAGCCTGGCTTATCCTCTTAGCTAGGAAAGCAGCAGCTATAAGTGCTGTTCGCTATTCTTCCTGTAATTACAAGAAAAAGAAAAAGACAAAAGACAAAACTCATTGAGAAAGAGAGGTTTGAACTGTGGCCAGAGAATGGTCTTTCCAGTGTTATCATAGGACACACTTTTCACTCTGTTTTCCCTGTCACTTTGCCATCCTTGTGACATTTCCTTATCACTTTGCCTATTGTTCAGGATGTGGCCATGCTTCATAGTTTTCATGAGGTCCAAGACAAAAAACTGTAGAACCACAGATGTGAAGAGATCGTGAGGTCCAACCTCCCGATTTTATAGATCCAGACAATGAGGCCCAGAGAGGTTAGAAGACTTGCTGAACATTGAACAGAGAGTTCATGGCAGAAGCCAGCCTACACCTATGACCCTTGCTGTCCTCCCAAGCCTGGATGTCCTGCTCTTCAGCTCTGAGCTTAAAGTAGCACGATTCAGCAGTAGGGTCATTTGCCCACATACACGGAAGTCATTCTTGCATCCACTTCTGTCAGCCTATAAATCAGAGGCAGGGAGGGAGAGAGAGTAGGTGAAAGAAAAAAGGGCTTTGCTGCTTCTGCCTTGCTTAACCAGTTCAGAAATTTACGGATTTCAGCCCTATCTAAAATATGAATTAGTGAGGTGTTGGAACACTGTAGAAAAATAGATGTGAGCCCTTACCCAGTGTTATGGTTAATGGTCCAGCTGGGAAAAATCAAACCTTGTCACCGGCTAGTAGTCACCTACTAATTGCAAGACACTGTGGGTAATTACATAAGCCTGCCATACTGCCTCTTGCCCTCAAGGAGCTTACAATCAATTTGGAAGTGCAAGCAAGTACTCCTTGACCAAGTGACTGGATGTGTGAGCTCATAAAAGGTAACCAGTCATCCTTGATCATAGAAACACGTTTATTTTCCAGTTGCTAATTTCAACAGCGGGCAAAACACAGGATCACTTAATGTCTTGAGTTTTATTCCAATGTCATGCTGCCCATTAGGACCAAGATCAGGCCTATGGGATTCACAAAGCTGCCACAGTTTCACTCATAACTGCACACAGTGGGTGGGTATCTAGAATATGTGGAAGCAGTTACTACAATCACTTCTATTTCTGGTAGTTATGGTTATTTTGCTCCCATCTGGTGGAGGCTGGAGACCATGTTCCCTCACAAACATGACAGCAGTAATGGCATTAAAGCATTACAAACTGTACCCCTGTGGGTGAGCACCTGTTTGTATCTCTTAGAGGGGGCTCCAGTGGCATTTGAGTGGGACAAGACGTTGTCATGCAGGACTGCCTTGTGCACTACAGAGCATTTATATCCCTGGCTCTTGCTCACCAAATGTCAGTGGGCCCCAGGCATTGTGACAATGCATAACACCCCCACGTTTCCAAATGCCCCTTGCCAGAAAAACCAATGTTCTATTTTTTCATCTTCTTTCATCAGGCATGATGCATGTCTAGACGAGTTGACAAGCATTCTGCTGATTTAGCGACATTAAACCCAGCACTGATAGCCTTATTCCCGCTGCAAAAACCAAGGCTGACGTGCACTGCAGGATGCACAAGCACCATCCCTCCCACCCTTCTGGCCATGATTACCATCCTGAAGTAGACTTAGAGATATGGAAGACCCTTTCATTTCAATGTTGATATCGTCCCGACAGACAGGCTGTCTTATCTGTCTCCTAAGGTGAAACAAAGGAGTAATCTTGGCAGGTAATCTCAGTGTAGCCTTTGCTTACTTCTTCTTCTAATTAAGAAACAAAAATCTGGCTTCCTTCCTCTCTTTCCTAATTCAGCCCAAGAGTCACTGAGCAGGCACAAGAAAGGGAGGTGACAGTGGCCTGGCAAGAGTGGTATTGGAGCAAGGTGGCAGAAGCAGCTGGTGGCACCTGGCAATGGCAACAATTATGAGGACAGATTCAGAGCAGGGTGAGAGGCCCCTCATGTAGTCGAGAGAATGGCTACCTACAGGGGCCAGTAAACAAACATACTAAGGATGATGCAACCCCAAGACGTCAAGACAGAAGTATAGATGTAAAGGTGTATGTGTATATACACACCTTTGTGTGTTTGCATATATGGACGGATAAAAATACATCTATTTCCTAATTCTGTCCACTGAGAGGGCCCAGGGAAGCAACAACTCTAGTAGCAAAGGGCCTACTTTGCATCTAGATCTTGGCTTCTAAATATCACTCTCCATGAAAAGGAACTAAGGCTCCTCAAAGAACTGGCTGATCCAGACCTGGAACAGAAAAAGCACCAGATATCCTTGAAGGGCTTTTTGTGAGGAAGTTCTCAAAGAATGAGAGGCACATGGCAAAAGGTGCAGAATCCAGCTTCATAGGAAACCAACTGTCAAAATCTGGGTCTACATGAACATCAAAGTAATTAATGAGAGTAAGGTTTGTAACCCATTGAATAATAGAAGAATAGAATGGATGATAACACATTTGTTTGTAAAAACGGGAGGTACAAAAGTTCTTCCTTACAATAGTATGCCGATTTATTAATGTAAGGGGAATAATACAATTAGAAAATTACCATTTGGCAAACATCACAGTAATAATTAATTCCAGCAAGAAACATCAATGAGTTCTAAAACAAGGAGGTAAAAATGGAATGAATAATGGAATATTTACATAATACTTATTAACTACAAAAGAAAAAAGATGGGGCAGACACCATCTTAATCAAGCAATCAAAGTTACCATCACCAATGGGGCAAAATAGCATCATGGGCTATTTGATAGTGGGCAGTGAGACCACTGCATCACTTCTGTGACATTCTTGTCCAAAAGGCGTGACCTGGTCTAACCATGAAAAAGCAGAGGACAACCCAACTTGAGAATCATTCTACAAAATGTAACCTTCATAAAGGTCAAGAGCATGGAACTCAGAGAAGGATCCAGATAGAAAGAGGCTAGATCATAGGATCATAATTTGGACCCATTGGTAGCAAGCACATCATGAGTAAAACTTGAAAGGAGTCTGAATGAAAGGCATACGGGGGCCGGGTATGGTGGCTCATGCCTGTAATCCCAGCACTTTGGGAGGCTGAGATGGGAGGAATGCTTGAGACCAGGAGTTCGAGGCCAGCCTGGTAAACATAGCAAGACCCCATCTCTATAAAAGAAAAAAAAATTATAAATTAAAAAAAAAAAGAAAAGAAAGAAAGGCATGCAGGAGTCTTTTGTAGTAGTCTTGCAACTTCTCTATACATTCGAAATTGTTTCAAAATAATCTTTTTAAAATTGAGACAGATTAATAATTATAGATTGCATCTTATAGATTATAAAGATGATGTAAATATATGTCAAGTATATGTCAGAGTGCCTCAAAGTGCAGTCTGTAGACAGACGTTGGTCTGCAGACGGTTACCTTGCCACATCAAGAGGTGAAGTTTGCACCATAATGTGTGTCAACCGCCTCACCAAGCACACTGTAGTTTAGCGGACAGGTTTTTAGTGCCTGACTTTCTCCATGAAGAAAGCAGTATGTTGATTTACAGTTTGCACCACGCTCCTCAAGCATCAGAGACCCACACTTTGAGTAGCGCTGGTGTAAATGACAATTAATCATGAGTTGAACTTCATAAACGGGCATGTTAAATTGGAGTGTTCTCTACGGTGAGAGTCACAGTTAAAAAATAGTCATAATCATATGAGCCCCAGGATCCCAGTTCAGAACATACTCATGGAGGCATTTTGGATGAAAAAGATAGACTTGGCATGCACATGACCTAGAATGGACCATAAATCAGTCCAATAACCTCATGGACCTTTTTGTTCAAGATTATTTCTATCTATCGGCATCTCTACAGTCCTCAAAGGAGGAGAATGCCTCCCACACGCCCTTAGTTCATCGTTGACTCTTCAGGAAATGAACACCAGTGAGACTCTTGCAATAGAGAAGAAAAAGTAATAATTTAAGACTCATTCATGTTTAAGTGAGTTAGTACAGAGGAAAAGCTGTTTCATACAACTTTAGGAAAAACATCTCTTCATCCTAAAAGAGATATTTCTTCAAGTGCTGGTGTCTAGCAAACTGGAAAACAAATGTCTGCACATGATTTTTTTTTTTTTTTTTTTCACAGGTGGGGTCTTGCTATGTCACCCAGGCTGGAGTGCAGTGACTATTCACAGGCATGATCATCGCACACTACAGTGTTAAACTCTGGGCTTAAGCCATCCTCCTGCCTCAGTCTCTCAAGTAGCTGGGACCACAGGCACATGCCACCATGCCTGGCTTGTACTTGATTTTTAAAGTTCTTGGCAATGTGTTTCTTAACAATTATCTTTGAAAAATTGTCTTTTGTTGGCATGTTCTTCTCATGCAATTGGAGACAGTTCTTCCTGCTAGTTTCACATTTTACCTTTTTGGTGGGTTCTACTTGCCCATTCCACACTGATAGGAGCATTTTTTCCCCCCTTTCTTTCCTTTTATTATTTTTATTTTTTAACTTCCTGTGTTAGGCACCAAACCATACTGCTCTGCCCCTGTTACCAAGAACTTATGTTGCCAGTATAAATAAGATCACCTGCTTTGTGCATTGCCGTTCAGAGTGGCAGGGAGTTCAAGATCCAGTGGTTTCGGGGTAGCACTCCAGGCTGGTATACATGGCCTTTTGGACCATTCAAGTCTACCAGCAGTAAGGAAGATTAAAGAAATTGGCAGGATCTTCAGTGTCAGCCAATATTATCAGCAACTGCTGCACATTCCGGAAGAACATCAACACCCCTACTTTGACCCACACGAATCAATCGTCCTTGCTGCACCAGTTCTTCTGTAGCACCTGGAAGTGCTGCCAAACAAGGGGCTGACTGGCCAGGGTTGGCTCTTCCAGCCAGCATTGTTTGTCCTGGGTCTCCAGAAACTGTCTCATCAGCACTGAATCTGCAAATATGAGTAACATACACCTGGACAGAGCCCTGGAGGGGGCAGAGAGGTGTTCAGGGATCAGCAGACGCGCTGAAAAACGGATCGTCTTGCTGCAGGTGTGGTGGCTGCCAAGGCAGGCAGAGCCCTTTGGATAGAGCCACATCTGAGGTATCTTTTCATTTCCAAGCTTTAAAAAAGCACGATGTTTCTTGATGTAGGTTCTCCATCGTCTGGCCTCTGCCTATTCCCATAGCACATCCCCTGCTGGCCACTGCCACACACTGTAGACGTCCACCAATGCCAAGTTGCTTGGTGGGCCCCACACACCCCATGCTATTTCCCACCTCCAGGCTCTGCTCATAAAATTCCTTCTGCCCTGTTGACTAGAGGAGTGCCCAGCATGGAGTAGCCACCCAGGCATGATTATGGAACTGAGCTCATGAGACTTCAGGTCCCTTCTCTTCATGTGGAGTCTCGCTGTGTCTCCCAGGCTGGAGTGCAGTGGCGTGATCTCGGCTCACTTGTCTCCCAAGTTCAAGCAATTCTCCTGCCTCAGCCTCCCGAGTAGCTGGGATTACCGGCATGTGCCACCACGCCCAGCTAACTTTTTATATTTTTTAGTAGAGATGGGGTTCACCATGTTGGTCAGGCTGGTCTCGAACTCCTGGCCTCAAATGATCTGCCCGCCTCGGCCTCCCAAACTGCTGGGATTACAGGCGTGAGCCACCACACCTGGCCTGCGCACTCTTTAAGGCTTCTCCTTGGTCCATTCCCCATAGACATGAGATCTGACCTGTCTCAGCATAGGCTAAGCCTATCCCAGAGGCATAGATGCTGATCAGAATTGTAAGCTGGAGAAGATAACACTTTCCATTAGATTAACCAACAACATGAATACAGCTTCTAGAAATATCTCAGGTAATGAATGAGACTGCCTCATCCAAATTACAAACATATCCAGGTTGTGATAATATCTGTTTCTGTTAACATAATGGTCCTTAGTTGCTATGGTAATCTTCTCCGTTGACCTGACTCTAGTGGATGAGGTTATCAGGGCCCTATCACTTCCCAGCATCAAAGCAATCTTCTAATCTGCCACACAAACTAGGGCATTTTTGAAGGTCAGAAGGATTGCTATTTATAATACACCAATGCAACAGGTATAAATAAGACAGTTCCTGGCAAATTGAGATACATGGTGACATTTCCTATCAGACTTTAAAGTATCTCACATAAATAGATCCTCAACAAGTGTTTCCTGGATGAATATATTTGTTTTTTCCTCCGTTGTAATTTAAGTTTCTTAAGAACAGAGGTGGCTGGGTGCGGTGGCTCACGCCTGTAATCCCAGCACTTTGAGAGGCCAAAGCTGGTCGATTACCTGAGGTCAGGAGATCAAGACCATCCTGGCTAACACGGTGAAACCCCGTCTCTACTAAAAATACAAAAAATTAGCTGCACGTGGTGGCGGGCGCCTGTAATCCCAGCTACTCAGGAGGCTGAGGCAGGAGAAGCGAAGCCCTTGAACCCGGGAGACAGAGGTTGCAGTGAGCTGAGATTGAGCCATTGCACTCTAGCCTGGGCAACAAGAGCGAAACTCTGTCTCAAAAAAAAAAAAAAAAAGAACAGAGGCAATGTCTAATGTTTCTTCTAGATTACTCATAATGATGGATATACCATAGCCACTCAAAAATATCTGTTAACTGTCTTATGATGAGATGTTCTTTCCAAGTGAAAATTCCCTATGGGCAACTGGAAGTACAAGAATAGAACTTTGCTGAGAAGTTAAAGCTAGAATATTTGGGTAGGTCTTTAGAGAATATAGGGTTAGCTTGGAATAGAAACCCTCCCAAGATACTATAGACACCTAAGAAAAATCAGTGAAGAGATCTGAAATATATCCATAGGAGGATGAAAGCCTCCTGTTGTTTGCTGAGCTAGAGCAAGATAGAAGTCATGAGCTTTTACTAATCATTGTATTTTATAGTGTGAAGGGGGAAGAGAACTGGAGATTTTTTTTTTAGCCAAAAAAAATAGTAATAAAATGGCTAATTTTAGGTAACATCAGCCTTTGGCAATAATACTTGAATGCAATAGAATAAAAAGACAGCTGGGTGCAGTGGCACATGCCTGTAATCCCAGCACTTTAGGAGGCCAAGGCAGGCAGATTGTTTGAGCCCAGGAGTTCGAGACCAGCCTGGTCAACATGGTGAAACTCTGTCTCCACAAAAAAATTTAAAAATTACCCGGGCATGTTGGTGCATGCCTGTGGTCCCTCCCAACTACTCGGGAGGCTGAGGTGGGACGATCGCTTGAGCCTGGGAGGTCAAGGCTGCAGTGAGCCGAGATCACATCACTGCACTCCAGCCTGGGTGACAGAGCGAGACCCTGTCTCAAAAATTTAAAAAAAAAAAAAAAAAAAAAAAAAAACAACAAAAAAGAATAAAAAGACTCTTACATAGCTGACTAGCTGACACAAGAAAGAACTGTGGAACACCAGTGACTCCTACTGCCTCATTTTACAGATGAAAGAATTAAGGCCCAGGGAATTTAATTGACATCCAGTTACCTGTTCCCCTTCTGGAAAATTCTTGCTGTGAAAATTTGACATTTGATTAGCCATTGGTGAGACTTCAGCAGTCCTGGGGAAACTTCAGTCTTCATTCCAAGGTATGGCTACAGTTTTGCCCCTTTAGATTAGAAACTAGAAACTTTTGAAGTTTTGCCAAGCTAAGGGCCTTCTTCTCCTTGTTTGGTAACTCTAACTCCCATGAGGTCTAGGTTAGCAAATGTGGATCTGTTCTCGCAAGCAGCAGGAGAAGTGGAAAGAGGGAGATGGTAAATGGAAGTCATAAGCAAAAGTGGTGCCACCTGGCCTTCCCATGTGTGAAAATCCAGCCCTCGTCATCACTGGCCCACAGTGTGTAAGATGCTGACATGTGATTTAGACACCCCCAGAACCAACTGGAGAGGTCGGTCTCACAGTAAATTGAGGCCATAAATTTATGACAAACAAGAAAGCTCCATTTTAAGTCCTGTTATAGTTTCAGCAGTGGCCAGAAATGTCACTTTTGCAAGGTCACTTTATTTTTGCAAGGCTCTCCTGGTATTTCAAGAATTCTCATTGTCACAAAATTATGGGAAGTAACACCTTGGACATTTGCACTTGGACCACTGCAAGGTTAAATTCACTCCCCAAAGTTATGCAGTGAGCCCAAAGGAAGGCATATTTTATGCCCATAACCTCATTCTAAAGCCATTTCTGAGAAGATCAGGAAGGTGAATTCTTCCATTGGCTGTGTCCCAAGCTGTCATTCTCAAAAAGACTGCCGTAGCACACTGAGTCGGCCCCATGCCTCTTCCTGCATTACTTCTTTTTTTTCCCAAGCAGGATGATTTTTCCAGCACAATTATTTAAACAAAAATAATACAGGCTGGGTGCAGTGGCTCACGCCTGTAATCCCAGCACTTTGGGAGGCCAAGGTGGGTGGATCATGAGGTCAGGAGTACGAGACCAGCCTGGCCAAGATGATGAAACCCTGTCTTTACTAAAAATACAAAAATTAGCCAGTTGTGGTAGCGGGCGCCTGTAATCCTAGCTACTTGGGAGGCTGAGGCAGGAGAATCGCTCAAACCCAGGAGGCAGAGGTTGCAGTGAGGCGAGATCGCACCACTGCACTCTAGCCTGGGTGACACAGCGAGACTCCATCTCAATAATAATAATAATAAGACTAGATGGAGATGAGGGAGGGGAGATGTGAACCCTTAGAGATTCCAGAAACTGACAAGTTTCTTGTGCCAAGAAGGCACTAGCAAGAGCCTTAGTTTAATTTACTTAATGAAAACTTATGGATTGATGAATTCTTGGGAGAAGAGGCCCTGTGTCCAATCTACCGTGCTGTTAATATAGGGCTAGGCGTGGTACTGAAGTGGCATCATGGAAACTGAGTTCCGCAAGGAAGTCATAAATGGAAACAACCTTTTCTGCCCACCTTGGACAGATTAGGCAGGGAGACAATTTTGGTAGGTGGGAAACATAAGCTGCCCAACTCCAGAGCACAGCCTCCCAAGATGGATGACTATCATACCCTTGAGTTTTCTCCCTTTGTAGGAATTAGTGCCTTATGATTGAAAAAAAAAAAAAAAGTGACCAGGCCAGGATCAAGGCACTCCTAAGGAATGGCGGGCCAGCAGCACGGACTAAAACTTGATAGATCTGGGGGAAGCGGGGTTAGACAGAGTCAGAGATCTCGAGAACACCACATTAAGAACCAGAGATCCTGGCTTTATTATATGAATTTCATTACTGGAAAATATCTGGGAATTAAAGATATCAGTGATACCATGGATACTCTAAGATTCATGGTCCATAAGCAAAATTTTGCTGAGAGATTTATTTCTGGTTCCTGGCCACCAGAAACCAACCATAGAATTAGGCTAAGTAATTTCAGGAAGAGATCTCAGTTCACTCTGACTTACTGAGGAGCAAGTAGAGGTAAAGACAGGAACAGTGAATTGCCCAAGATCACACAGGGGTTAACAACAACAGGGACCCACAGTCCAATCTCATGACTCTCAGACAAAAGCGTATCTTCCACATCCACAGGACTCCCTCCCTCTGGAGCCCCCTGGACTGCAGGCGTCTCTTGGATGCGGATGTTCCCTCTACACAAGGTGATCAGAAGGGTAAATATTCAGGGTGTGTATTTACATGACCATGAACCATGCTACTTTTTGTCTGTGAGGAAGGATGGATAAAACCTGTATCTACCACATTCTGATAAGAAAAGGGGCCTTCAAGTCAGGCAGATCTAGATTTTAGTCTTGCTTCCAAACACACTCAGCTGTGTGACAGAGAGACAACTTACTTGATCCCTTTAGGTTTCAACTCACTGATTTGCAAAATGAGAACAATACTTGCCCCTAATGTAAAGGTTTGGGGGAAGGCCAAATGAGATAATGTTTATGGAACATTTAGCACAGGGCCTTGCAAAGAATACATAAGCAATTATTATTACAGTTGACCCTTGAATAATGTGAAAGTTACGGAGGCTGACCCCCGCCATGCAGTCAAAAATCTGCATATAACTTTTGACTTCTCAAAAACTTAACTACTAATAGTTGACTTTTGACTGGAAACCTTGCCAATACTATAAACAGTCAATTAGCATATATTTTGCATATGTATTATATTCTATATTCTTATAATAAAGTAAGCTAAAGAAAATGTTATTAAGAAAATCATAAGGAGAAGAAAATACATTTACAGCACTGTACTGTATGTATTGATACCGTAAGTTTCCATTGCCTGTTCACAAGATGAATAATCTGTCTGAAATGGTGGCAACCACAGCTGCAGAGCTCAATCTATGGTACAGATCAAGCAAGTCAACTTTTTCTTGTAATGTCATGACTTTTCTCTGTTTCTTGGGAGCAATTTCAGTGTCACTAGGGGCACTCTATATGGATCTCATGATATTATTCAAGGTTTATGGTATTACACTAAAAAGAATGAAAAAGTTTGAAACATTGCAAGCATTACCAAAATGTGACACAGAGACACAAAGTGAGCACATGCATTTGGAGAAATGGTGATGATAGTCTTGTTTGATGCAGGGTTGCCACAAACTTTCATTTTGTAAAAAATTCAGTATCCGCAAAGCACAATAAAACAAGGTATGCTTATACTGGGAAGCTCTGTTATTTGGTCCATACACATACACAATTGTTATGTCTTCCTGATAAGTTGATACTTTTATCATTATGAAATGTCCCTCCTTATCTCTGGTAATAATTTTAGTTTCAAAGTCAACTTCATCTGATATTATTGCCACCCAGTCTTCTTATGTTTATTGTCTATGTGGTATATCTTTCTCTTTCTATTCTATTCTTTTATCTTTACTTTCAATCTAGTGTTTTTATATTTACAGTGTAACTTTCATAGGCAGTGTTCATTAGGTCTAACTTTTGTATCCATTATGACCATCTCTGCCTTTTAATTGGAATGCGTAGTCTATTAATATTTAATATAATAATAATAATTATTATTTTTTGAGAAGGAGTCTCGCTGTGTCACCCAGGCTGGAGTGCAGTGGCACAATCTCAGCTCACTGCAAGCTCCGCCTTCCGGGTTCATGCCATTCTCCTGCCTCAGCCTCCCGAGTAGATGGGACTACAGGTGGCCGCCACCATATCCGGCTAATTTTTTGTATTTTTTAGTAGAGACAGGGTTTCACCATGTTAGCCAGGATGGTCTCGATCTCCTGACCTCATGATCTGCCCACCTTGGCCTCCCAAAGTGCTGGGATTACAGGCGTGAGCCACCGTGCCCGGCCTATAATTATTGTTGTGGTTGGATTTAGGTCTACTATTTTCTATTTGTTTTCTGTTGGTCCCATCTGTGTTTTGTTCCTCTGTTCCTCCTTTCCTATATTTTTTTTGAGTTAATTGTACATTTTAGAATTTTATTTTAATATATCTATTGGCTTCTTATTTATGACTATTTGCATTAGTTTTTAGTGATTATTCTAGGGATTAATATATACACTCTTAACTTTCTTAATTACTTACGGCTACTTTTGCACCACTTTACATGAAATATACAAATCTTGCACTTGTACAGGTCCTTTTACTCTCCCATTCTTTTTGATATAGTTTTCATGTATCTAGATACATTTTACCAATATCCATATACATCTGTACACATTGTAAACAATGTCTTAATTTTTGCTTTAAATAGTTATATGTATTTTAAAGAAATTAAAGGGGAAAAGTCTTTCATGTTCACCCAAATGCTTAACATTTCTTATGCTCTTCATTCCGCCTTGAAATTCCAAGTTGCTATGTACTGTGGTCTGAATGTTTGTGTCTCCCTAAGATTCATATGTTGAAAAAACCCTAAGGTGATAGTATTAAGAAGCGGGACCTTTGGGAGGTGATTAGGCCATGAGGATGGGACCCTCATAAATGGGTTTAGTGCCTTTATAAAAGAGCCCAAGGAAGCTCAGTTGCCTCTTTCACCATATATATATGGTGGAGGATATAACAAGAAGACATCATCTGTCAAGCAGAAAGTGGGCCCTCACCAGACACCAAATCTGCTGACACTTTTAGCTTCCCAGGCCCCAGAATTGTAAGAAATAAATTTCTGTTTACAAGCTACCCAGTGTACGGTATTTTGCTGTACCAGCCTCAATGGGTTAAGATGTGATAACTTTTCCATTATTCTAAAGAACTTATATTGTAGTATTTCTTAGAGTTCAGATCTGCCAGTAATTAATTATCTTAGATTCTGTGTATCTGAAAAATGTCTTCATTTCACTTTCATTCTTGAAGAATATTTTTACTGGATATAGATATTCTGGATTGAGAGTATTTTTCTTTTATACTTTAAAGACGTTACTCCACTGTCTTCTGTCCTCCATTGTTTCTGCAGAGAAATCAGTGATAATTGACATTGTTGCTCTCCATTGTAAACTATGTTTTCTTTAGCTACTTTCAAGATTTTCTTTTTGCCTTTGGTTATTAGTAATCTGATGATTACTTAATTGATAAATGTTGTGTATGTTCTGATTGTTCCACTGACCAGCCATCCCCCAATCTCCCTCCCTCTCCTCAGTCCTCCCTATTCCCTGAGACATAACAATATTGAAATTAGGCCAATTAACAAAATTGCTATTGTTAACAATTTCAATAACAATATTGAAATTAGGCCAATTAATAATGTTACAATGGTTTCTAAGTGTTCATGTGAAAGGAAGCGTCACACATCTCTCACTTTAAATCAAAAGATAGGAATGATTAAGCTTAGTGAGGAAGCCATGTTGAAAGCTGACATAGGCCTAAAGCTAGGCCTCTTGCTCCAGTTAGCCAAGTTGTGAATGTGAAGGCAAAGTTCCTGAAGAAATTAAAAGTGCTACGCCAGTGAACACATGAATGATAAGAAAGTGAAAGAGCCTTATTGCTGATATAGAGAAATTTTTAGTGGTCTACTTAGAAGATGAGACCAACTACAACATTCTCTTAAGCCAAAACCTAACTCACAGCAAGGCCCTAACTCTCCTCAATTCTGTGAAGGCTGAGAAAGGTGAGGGAGCTACAGAAGAAAAGTTGGAAGCTACCAGGGGGTAGTTCATGAGGTTTAAGAAAATAAGCCATCTCCATTATACAGAAGGGTAAGATGAAGCAGCAAGTATTGATATAGAAGTTACAGAGAGTTATCCAGAAGATCTAGCTAACATAATTGATGAAGGTTGCTACAGTAAACAACAGGTTTTTGATGTAGAAGAAATAGCTTTTCATTGGAAGAAGATGCCATCTAGAACTTCCATAGCTAGAGAAGAGACATCAGTGCCTGGCTTCATAGGAGAGGCTGATTCTCTCATTAGGGGCTAATCCAGCTGGTAAATTTTAGTTGAAGCCAATGCTCATTGACAATTCTTAAAATCCTAGGGTCCTTAAGAACGATGCTAAAGCTACTCTGCCTGTGCTCTATAAAGAGAACAAAGAAGCCCAGATGATAGCACATCTGTTTACAGCATGGTTTACTGAATATTTCAAGTCCATTATTGAGAACTATTGCTCCAGAAAAAAAGTTTTCTTTCAAAATCGGACTTCTCATTGACAGTGCACCTAGTGACCCAGGAACAGTGATGGAGATGTACAGGAGATTAATGCCGTTTCATGCCTGCCAACACAGTGTCCATGCTGCAGCCCATGAATCAAGGAGTAATTTCAAATTTCAAGTCTTATTTAAGAGATACATTTTGTGAGGCTGTAGCTGCCATACATACCGATTCCTGTGATGGAGCTGGGCTAAGTAAATTAAGAACCTTCTGGAAGAGATTTGCCATACTAGATGCCATTATGTGGTCTTGCATGTCACGGGAGGAGGTCAAAATATCAACATTTTAAAGTTTTTTCTTTTTTATAAATATTTTTGGAGACAGGGTATCACTCTGTCACCAGGCTGCAGTGAAGTGGCACAATCATAGCTCGCTGTAGCCTCGAAATCCTGGCCTCAAATAATCCCATCTCTGTTCCCCAAGTAGCTGGGCCTACAGGCATGCATCTAAAATATCCACATTAACCGGGATTTGGAAGAAGTTGATTCCAGCCATCATGGATGACTTTGAGAGGGTCAGGACTTTAGTGGAGGAAGTCAATGCAGAGGTGGTGGGAATAGCAAGAGAATTCGAATTAGAAGTGGAACCTGAAGATATGACTGAATTGCTGCAATCTCATCATAAAACTTCAACAAATGAGGCGTTGCTTCTTACGGATGAGCAACGAAAGTGGTTTCTTGAGATGGAATCTACTCCTGTTGAAGATGCTGTGAACATTCCTGAAACAACAACAAAGGATTTAGAATATTACCTAAGCCTAGTTGACACAGCAGCGGCAGGATTTGAGAGGACTGACTCTAATTTTGAAAGAGGTTCTACCATGGGTAAAATGCTATTAAACAGCATCACAAGCTACAGAGAAATCTTTTGTGAAAGCAAGTGTCAATGAACGCAGCAAATTTCACTATTGTCTTATTTTCATAAATTGCCACAGCCACCCTAACCTTCAGCAACCACCATCCTGCTAAGTTAGCAGCCATCAATATTGAGGCAAGACTCTTCACCAGCAAAAACATTATGACTTGCTAAAGGCTTGGATAATTGTTAGCAATTTTTTAGCAATAAAGTATTTTTATTTTTATTTATTTATTTTTTGAGATGGAGTCTCACTCTGTCACCCAGGCTAGAGTGCAGTGGCGTAATCTCAGCTCACTGCAACCTCTGCCTCCCAGGTTCAAGTGATTCTCTCACCTCAGGCTCCTGAGTAGCTGGGATTACAGGCACACACCACCACACCCGACTAATTTTTATATTTTTAGTACAGATGGGGTTTCACCATGTTGGCCAGGCTGGTCTCGAACTCCTGACCTCAAGTGACCCCTCTGCCTTGGCCTCCCAAAGTTCTGGGATTACAGGCATGAGCCATCGCACCTGGCCTGAAGTATTTTTAAATTAAGATGATAGGTACATCTTTTTTTAGACATAGTGCTATTGGACACTTAATACACTTTAGTATAGTATAAAGATAACTTTTAAGTGCACTGGGAAACCAAAATATTCAGGTGATTTGCTTTATTGCAATACTTGCTTTATTTATTTATTTATTTTTATTTTTTATTATTAGATGGAGTGTCACTCAGACTGGAATGCGGTGGTGTCATCTTGGCTCATTGCAACCTCTGCTTCCCAGGTTCAAGCGATTCTCCTGCCTTAGCCTCCCAAGTAGCTGGGATTACAGGCGCCCAACACCATGCCTGGCTGATTTTTGTATTTTTAGTAGAGACAGGGTTTCACCATTCAGACCACGCTGGTGTCGAACTCCTGACCTCAAATGATCTACCCACCTCAGCCTCCCAGAGTGCTGGCATTACAGGTGTGAGCCACCGTGCCCAGCCTATACTTGCTTTATTGTAGTGGTCTGGAACTGAACCTACAATATCTCCAAGGTATGTCTGTACGTAACATCAGAAAGTTGCATGGGACATTTGATGATTCTACATGGGAGAGAAGGTGATAGGAAGTAAACTGTTGGTGGCAGGAGAATGGAGGTACTGGGTTCAGGTAAGCACTTGTGTGGCATTTCACCTCCCCCAACAGTAGAAAGTCTGGCTTATTCCTCTGACCTTTATGAACAAGACATTCCTATGTCCTTAGACGTTCTTTACTATGACTTCTACAACAACCTGGGCATCATATGGAAGGTGAGTGACCTTATGTATGATAACTAACAGTGTTATGAATTTGGGCTCAACAGACTTTCTTGAGATCTTTGAGAACTTGCCCTTGCCTGCCGTTGTGCCACATGCTATGAATCCTCTGCCTTCAAATAGCTTAAAATATATTTGGGGAGGTAAGTCAGAAAGACATAAAAACAATTCCTAACACTATAAGGCACCATTGAAGTTTCAAATAATCCATTCAGATACAAAGTCACCAGGGAAAGAGAGTATTTAAGAATAGTAGGATTTAGAAAGGAATGGGGTTTGGGACTCCAGGAGTGGGTGTGCTGTGAGCAAAAGAAGACTATGATCTTGATGATCTTGGCTTCCCAGGAAACAGAGAGCATGGGACACTGGCTGGAGGGGAACTTCACAGAATCATCCCGCCCTTCAGATGAAAGAAGCAGATGAAGACCTAAGGTTATTGTTGGCTTCCTCTTTTGCCATTCATAAAACAATATACATGTTTGAATAGAAGCTTTGCAAACAATGATCGGGATGGTTGGCCAGATGTACCCTACAGGAGGTGGGAGAAAAGCAGCAATCTGTCCTAGCCCCAGGCAGGGAATGTATTATTTTATGCCAAGCAGAGCCCCCAAAATAGTGTAAAAAGCCAAGATCTCCGCTGTTGGTGCGATGAATTTCCCAGGAAGGGGAGAACAGAGGGGCTCCTTCCTTCTCTCTAAAACAAAGGAGAATGATTTGGCCCCAAGCAGAAGCAAGCAGAGGATAAATATTTACTGGCAATTTAAGGAAACAAGGGATGATGTTGCTCTGTCCCAACCAATGGAGTTGCTTCTCTTTACTTGATGTTCTCTCAGCATTGTGTACACAGTTTCTACCTCCCTATGAGGCACTTGCATCTCTAACATCTTGGGATTTTTCTTCTCATTCTTTTGGATATGGGTGTCTCACTACCATATGATTACAAGCACCCCAGAGGCAGGAGCTACTTCCTCTTCCCCTTCAAGTGCCCCTGAGTTTCAGGATACTGCAATGCAATGAACGGGTGTATAGTTGATGTGCCTGTCTAGTTAATCAAATGAATCTGGACAGAGCTGCTTTCTCTGCAGCTTTTACTACCCAGACCCCCACGTGTAGGCTGACTGGGCACAGGCTGAGATAACCAACTGTCCTACAGGAACTCTGGAAGAAGAGGCCACTGATAACCTGGCCCCTGCTGTGCTGTTCAGTGTCTGTGACTCTGAGAGCACAATAGATTTTTCCTATCTCACTACAGAAATTCCATGGTGCCAGAGAGGAGGCCTTGGCTTGAGCCAGAGCCAGCTTTGTAAAAAGTATATAGTGGGACACAGAGGGTATTATGTTAAAAAAGAGAATACCATAGAAGGGGCAGAACTAAGCAAAAATGATACCACCTCACTATAAAGAACATTTTTCTAATCCATCATTTGAATGCAAAAGCTACAAATAGTTTGTTGAGTGTCTATATTACAAAGCACAAAGGTAGGGGCTAGCATAGGAAACTGCTAAAAGCTTAAAGTTTAACTTTGAAGAATGAGTAGGATTGGATTTCTAGGCCTGGCAATATGGCCAACTAAGAAGGTTTCAACAAAAATGTTTTTCAATGCACAGATGAGCTCTCAAGAAAGAAAATTACATCTCTTGTTTCCAAAAATGCAGACAGAAGTTTAAAACAAAGAGCCCAGAAAAAACATGAGAGACATTATAACTTCTCTAGGGGAGAGGTTGGAAGAATGAGCATTAAAAAACATGTGACCCGGGTGGTGCTTCTCAAACTGTAATGTACACAGGAGTCATCTATAAGTCTTGCTAAGATAAAAATTCTGATTCTGCAGTGGGGACTAAGGGTCTATTTCTGACAGCCCACAACATGCTGCTTCTGTGGCTGCTGGTTCAGGGCCCCCACTAGGGATCTATGTAGCATTGCGTCTTAAAGCCAACATTGAGACTACATGTTAACCTCAGCAAGGCTTTGAGCCTGATAAAACCATGGAGCTGGTAACTGAAATTCCTGCATTAAGCTGGAACCCTGCTAGAGCTGCCTCCTTGGTTATAAGATCAACTAGAAAAATCTACCCGTCAGTACCAAGGTATTACAAGAAAGTTTTTCTGTTTCTGGGTGGAGAGATAAAGTCTCTCTTGAAAAATTGGAACTCTAAGCCTATACCTTGCATGGATGAAGGATTCAAATTTATTTATTCGGCCTAGGAACCCGTAAGTTCAGGAACAAACATAAGAAAAAAAAAAAAACAGGTCTTAGGACTGGGCATGGTGGCTCACACCTGTAATCCCAGCACTTTTTGAGAGGCCAAGGCGGGCTGATCACTTGAGATCAGGAGTTCGAGACCAGCCTGGCCAACATCGTGAAACCCTGATTCTACTAAAAATATAAAAATTGGCCAGGCATGGCGGCGGGCTCCTGTAATCCCAGCTACTTGGGAAGCTGAGGCAGGAGAATTGCTTGAACCCGGTAGGCGGAGGTTGCAGTGAGCCGAGATTGCGCCACTGCACTCCATTCTGGGTGACAGAGCAAAACCCTGTCTCAAAAAAACAAAAAAAAAAAAAAAAAAAAGCAAGTCTTAGTTAAGTGATACCCATAGAGTCCCTGGCAGAAATAGAGATAATAACATTAGAAGGATATTCTCACAACCCATGCCATGAGAAATGTTTACACACACACAATGTATATAAGAGCACAAATTGAAAATTACAAAATACATAAGACAACAATTCACCATTCATTCACCAAGAATGAGCAGACAAAATAAACAGGAGAATTAGACTTGATAGAACAGAATGGCAATCAGAAAGACAATATGAAAGAAAAATGTTTGAAATGATTAAATACATATCTACAGAAGACAAAACCCCTAGAAGAGAACAAGGCACTATGAAAGTAGAAAAAAAGATTTAAAAAAAGAATTTTAATGAATAAGTCTCATCATTGAGATTAAAATGCAGGGCACAGCGTAACTGCAGATCAGCAAAACTGAATAGCGAATATGGGAATTGTAAAATAGATCATTGTCATCTGCGATTGTAAAATATATGCACAGATTACCCTCTGCAACCAGAGAGATAAAGAGATAGAAAATATTACAGCATGTTAAGAGTAATGGAGATGAAGAGTCGACATTTCACCGGATTTGAGTTTTGAGAGAATGAATAAGAATTCATACTTGAAGATGTTAGTCCCAGGCAGGACAGAGGAAACCAAATCTATAGCAAGAAGCCTTGTACTGAAGCTACTGAACACACACACACACACACACACACACACACACACACGATTTACAAAACCTTAAAAATATACAAGGGAAAAGGGAGAGAGAGAGAGGAGAAAAAAAAAAAAACAGAAGGGAGGAGAGGAGGAAGCAATGAGAGAAAAAGACAGATTACACAGAGCATAACAATTCGCCTGACAAAAGGCTTCTCAGCGACAGCGATGGACACCAGAAGATGGTGGAATAATATTTCCAGCTGCTCGTGGAAAGTAATTTTAATCTAGAAACTATAGAGGGCTAAACTATTGAATAAATATAGAGATGAAACAAAAAAATATTCAGATTAAGGCCGGGTGTGGTGGCTCACACCTGTAATCCCAGCATTTTGGGAGGCAAGGCGGGTTGATCACTTGAGGCCAGGAGTTCGAGACCAGCCTGGCCAAGATGGTGAAACCCCATCTCTACTAAAAATACAAAAATTAGCTGGGCATGGTGGTGGGTGCCTGTAATCCCAGCTACTCAGGAGGCTGAGGCAGGAGAATCACTTGAACCCAGGAGGCGGAGGTTGCAGTGAGCTGAGATTGTGCCACTGCACTCCAGCCTGGGCAACAGAGCAAGACTCCATCTCTCTCTTTATATATATATACAAATTAAGACTAAGATAATATATTATTCACAGGCCCTCAATGAAAAAGAGTATATTTTCTAAAGAAGAAAACTGAACCCAAGTGGAAAGAATCAGATACAAGAAGCATTGGAATCTTAATCAAAAACAACATGACAATAAATGTGCAAAACAAGGGTTGGGGCAGTGGTCTCAGGGATTTGTTTCACTTTTCCACACACTTAGGGGCAGGGGATGGTTTGGGGATGAAACTGCTCCACCTCAGATCATCAGAGATTAGATTCTTATAAGAAGCGTGTAGCCTACATCCCTCACATGTACAGTTCACAATAAGGCTCAAGCTCCTATGAGAATGGAATGCTGCTGCTGATCTGACAGGAGGCAGAGCTCGGGCAGTAATGCGAGTGATGAGAAGCGGGTGTCAATACAGATGAAGCTTCTGACTGCTGCTCACCTCCTGCCCTGTGGCCCAGTTCCTAATAGGCCATGAACCAGTACCAATCCATGGCCTGGGGCTGGGGGATCCCTGAGTTAGGGGACTTGGAGGGCTTTTATGGAAAGAAATAGTTGAAATGCATACACTTTGACCTTCAAGAGACTCTGTACTATGTGAGGCTGGATGTGAGCCTGGCTCTAGCAGAGGGCTCCTTTGGTGACTAAGTGTAAAGTAAAGATGTTAAGGCGGATGCTTAATCCTCTGACCCTGCTGCACTTTTTTCTTAGAACTTCTCATTACCTGGCATGGTACTGGTTCATGCCAGTACTGTGCTTTATTTGTTTCTTGACTTTCTCTCCTATTATAATGTCCATGAGGAGTTGGACATGTTGGTGAATGCCTGTAACCCCAGTTACTTGGGAGGCAGAGGTGGGAGGATTGCCTGAGCCCAGGAGTTGGAGGCTGGAGTAAACAATGATTGTACTGCTGCACTCCAGCCTGGGCAACAGAGCAATACCCTGTCTCTAAGAAATAAGTAAATAAATAACTTCTATGAGGGCAAGGACTTTGTCTATTGTGTTCCCTGGCCTGGCGCATAATTAGTGCTTACATATGATTGAACACAAGAAAGGGAAAAAATTGTGCAGGGTTTCAAATGTATGGGGTGCAGACTTTCTTCTATGGGGAACAGGTGGGACGAGACTAAGGAAAATAACCAGCATTTCTGAGTGTCCACCAGGTCCTGGGCTATACACACAACATATTATCTTATTTTGCATGGATTGTGGAACAGCAAAAAGCATCTATTAGTGATCAAAATGAACTGGACTTCCAATTTGATTTAAAACACAAGCCAAGAATATTTTATTAATCTCAATTCATTGTTTTTAGATGTTACTGTGTATTTCCAAGGGAGATGTGAGCTTTGAGCTTATGTCTAATGCAATATCATGTGTCCGACTGAGGCAGCGGAGATAAGCTCCTGCTCTGTGTTCCTGCTAAAGCTTTCATACTCTGGCATGGCCACACTCAACACCACTTAATGATCTAGTCATTCCAGTTTTCTAACACCTGCCTGGATAGACCCCAGGCTGCAAAAACCCTGAAATTCCGGTTCTAACAACAAATCACTGAAAATCAGAAGGCCCCACCTTGAGCTCACAGCCAGCTCCACCTCCTTGAAGACGGGAGGCCCCTCATGCTCTGTGTTCTTAATGGCACCAGGAAGATCCCCTCCTGGGGCCTCTTGAGGTTAATTGTCTGCAGTAGAGATGTTGAAGCCAGAGAGACTCTCAAATTCTGATGCCTCTACCCCACGCCACCCCTACCAGCAAACTGTAGCCAGTTTCAGATGTACCCTGACCGGAATAGTTCTTTCCATGAATGGCGTCGGACACTGTGTCCTCACTCAAAGTCCCGATGGCATGAGGGTGACCTTGTACACACAGGATCCAGGGCAAAGAACAAGACGTATTCCCAGTCCTCACCTACAGCCAACACGTGACCTAAGAAGACCTTTTGGAGAACAGCCTGAGCAGCTGGGCAGCCATATAGAAAACTGCTAGCTGTGCATCTACAGGCTGATGGAACAATCACGACCTGTCCTCATGGAGAAGCGTCCGAGGTGTGGCCCCATGTTCCTGCCACACTGCATTGACTCTTTCTCCAATGGAGTCTCGGGTACTCTTCCTTTCTGCCTTTTCTGGTATTTGCAATCTCCACCTTCACCACTTGCTTCTTTCCCCGGGGTTGAAACAAGTTCACAAATGAACACATAAATAAACCCTTCCTCTTTCCCCTGTACATCTCCTTACTCTATCATCACCCACTCTCCCTGAATTTGTGCCCGAAATAACCCCTGCTGCTGACAGCCCCCAAGAGCAGCCCAGTCGACTTATCCAAGGGTCCTTTCTTCTTCCTTTGAACATAACTTTAAATAAGTCTTTTGTCCTAGATAGCACGCTCTAGAAGTACAAGGAGTACATCTTAGACTTCTTGTTAACCCCGAGCTTTGTACGCAGCAGGTGCTCACAATTGCTAGAAGGGATGGAGAGAAAAAGGGATTGATTCAGAAAATGATGTCACTGCAGGCAGTATTCTTTCAAAGGAGTGAGTTTCTGAACTTGTAGACCTTGAAGAAATTGTAAAGGATCTGATTTCAGACCCAGTGGAAGCTGCAAGAACAATGTGGTTTCGAGTTCTGCTGTTTCATTATCCCGGGTTGATTCAGCTGGCTGGGCGGGTGCCCTCTTTTCTCTCTAGGAGCTCCAGCTGCCCCTCCAAGCCCCTCTTCTGGCCTGGCATTCCCCAGCCTGCAGTGAAGGTCAGAGCAGATCCTACCGTATTCAGAGAAGTAGGAAACGCGAGCTTGAATCTTCTTCAGTGTTCTCAAGAGAGTGAGATATTGGCAAGCACCTGTTTTCTCAGCACTGAGAAAAGGGATCAGGGATTGGTGAGTGGAAGACACTAATTCAAGTAATGAAGGGCTTTTGCTCTCATTTTGACAAGATGAAAAACCACACAATAATTTATGAACCACGCAGGCAACTTTTAATCACCACGATTACTATAGACAGGCAAGGGCAGTGTTGATAGGAGTGTGGGAGAGAGCTTCCTGGAGGAGGTGAGGTGGAAGCTTCTCCTGGTGCAATGTGCAGTGTGGGAACAATGTCCAAGAACCATGGTTTGCAGGTCTGTGGCATGACCTAAAGGCTTTGGAAGGCCCCAGAAGACAAAAGCACATGTCAAAGCTACAGACACTTTGCAGTTCCTTTCAAAGGGCTCACAGGATGGAAATGGAGTCAGCGAGAGGGGCATCTACCATGCTGTTAAACGGAGAAGAGAGGTTTGGAGATTTGGGGACTGGGCTTTTGCACACCAGGGACAAAGCATGAGTGCAGCTTGTGATAAGAATTGATTTCTTCCCGGCCCCAGTCACCCCTGCTTTTGGTGATAGTTTCCATTTAAAACCGAATTCCTATGAAAGGAGCGCGGGGGCCTGCCCCGTGCCTGCGACCTGGGGTGGAGCAGACAAACACTGAAAAAGGGCTGACATGTATGGATGCCTCTGGTGATAGCAGTGGTTATATTTAGTCCCAAGCTCAAGTTAAACAGGGGGCCTCCTGCAATATGTATGAAGAGAGCACCAAGAGCAAACACAAGTGCAGGGCCAGTAAAAATAAAAGAGCAAAGTGCAAGACTCGAAAGAGTAAATATGCACAGGCTCTGGCCCCAAGATATGCCAGGTGGGTGGAGCTAGACACTGTGAACAGGGCCAGGAGAGCCAGTGCCACTGCAGAGGGGCCCCTTCCCATTGTCAAGTGCTCATAGTGAGTACAACAAATCCTCCAAGGCCTCCTGCCTTTACCATCCACTCTCCAGCTGCATGCTTAAGAAAAGGCTGGGAAATAATCATCCTGGGTCCCAGTTTCTTCATCTATAAAATGAGAGGACCGAGATGCAAAAAAAACAAATTCCTCTCCTGCATTAGGATTTTTCCAACTCACCTTACTAGCTGCCTGGAAAGGTGTGAGGCTGAATGACACCTCCTTTGTTCTCCAAACACTGTTGACATAGTGACCCAACTGTTAGTTATCTTGATCATGTCCTCTAAGGGATCAACTGAGCAAAGAGCCAAAGAACCCACTTTTTTTTTTTTCTTTTTCAGAACTAGAGTTGATCTACTTTCAAGTTTAACAGCTCAGCTCCTAAAGGAAAATCTGACTCTCTGTGTAGCAGCAATACACTGGGCTGGCAGCCTCTTATAGCACCTTGAAGCATATTAGAAAAAGTTACTCTATCCAGGTAGGCAGAGTCTTCAGGGCCCCCAGCTTGGTGAAGGGAGCTCAAGCTGCATCTCGTCACCTCCCCACCCCAACCCTCTCCACTCAACCCTTGGCCGGCACTTCCGTGGGGCAGAACCTACACAATCCTACACCTTAATATAGCAGCTGGCTGTCAGTCAAAGTCAGGAAGGTTTATTTTCTTGATGCCTGTTCCTTGCTTACAGGGCCTCTTTTTCATGTCCACTCAACTGTCTGGATTCTTCTGCTTTTTGTTTCATGTACTCTCCTTTCTCTCTGACGTGTCATCTCCATACAAGTAAGCATGAAGTTGGTGCAAAAGTAATTACTTTCAATGGCAAAAGCCGCAATTACTTTTGCACCAACCTAATAATAGCGTGATAACACACAGATTCACAAAACAGGTCATACTTTTATTCACCAGTCTAGGCTGTACCTTCCTGAAAGTCAGGGACATGGTTTATCTGAGCAAAACGCTTGACCCATAGTGGATATTCAGTAAATACTGTTGAATGAATGAAAAACAATCTCCCAGTGGTTCTAAATTGCCTTTGAATCATGGATTTCTTTGAAATCTGATGGAAGCCAGGGTGATATGATTTTGCTCTGTGTCCCCACCCAAATCTCATCTCGAATTGTAATCCCCATGGGGAGGGGCCTGGTGGGAGGTGATTGGATCAAGGGGGTGGTTTCCCCTAGGCTGTTCTCCTGATAGTAAGTGAGTTCTCACGAGATCTGATGGTTTAAAAGTGTGGCACTTCCCCTGCATCTTGCCGTCTGCCTCACTTCCCCTTCTCCTTTTGCCAAAAATGTAAGTTTCCTGAGGCTACCCCAGCCATGCGGAACCGTGAGTCAATTAAACCTCTTTTCTTCATAAACTACCCAGTCTCAGGTAGTTCTTTATAACAGTTTGAAAAGGAACTAATACACAGGGATATTTTCTCGCAAAATGAACATGTACAAACATACTAAATTTTGCATACAGTTTGGGAAGGATCACCAACTCCTAGCAGGAAGGGATTTAGATTTTAAGCCAGGATAAAAAGGTGTGATCCCTTTAAAAAAAAAAAAAAAAAAAGGTTGCGGGGGGGACTAGAAATGAACTAGGACCTGACCCTCACCAAGAATCTAATGTGTCACCGGGTAACGGGTCTGTCATCTTCTTTAATCCTTACAACCACCCTTTAAATAGGCATTACTATCTTCATTCTACCAACGAGAAAATGAGGTTTCAATAGCTTTTCCACTGTGAAACATCAGACCGAATATTCAATCCAAGTCTCTTTTACCTGCAAACTCATATTCTTCTGCTATGTCATTATGCCTCCAAATATTACAAATTCTCAGGATTCTACAGTCAATTCCCATTTATTGTGTTTTGATGGATGAGGCCCTTTAAAAAAACTACCATCTAAACCAAGCAAACAAATGCATCTTAAATATAGTCATATATTTTAGATTAGACAACTTTATAAAGGATTCCTATGGAGTTTTAACAAAATCTATAAAATGATTGCCAAATGTATCTTGCACATTATATTTTCCTTAGATTCTTAGACTAACAGTAAAGCAAAATGAAACCAACATCTCAGCTAATCAGAATGCCCCTCACTGGCACCTGTGACTAGGTTAATGTGCTTCTGTCCATGCTGAAAGAAAGCAAAACAGAAGATAAGAGTCTTGACTTTAGCATACATTGACTCATTCACTTACACCGTGGATAGAAACACAAACTGCAGGGTCAGAAAGACCTAGGTTTGAGTTCTATCCTTTTCGCTAGTTGTTAAGAGACCTTAGGCAAGTTACTTAACTTTGAAAAGGCTTAGCTTCCTCATTTTAAATGAGGGTATTCACGGTAACTATTTCAGAGGAATTGTTATTATTATTATTATCATTTTTTGTATTTTAAATATACAGTAGGAACATTTATTTTAACACTTCTAAAAGATATTTCTCCATGCCTGATGATTTGATATAAAAATCAAACCCATCATACTTTCCCCATCAGTCTCTCTACATTTAGGGCAATCAGAAATTTGTACAACACGAATATTTGCTTCTGAAATGAAAATTACAAATTTTATTGAAGGGGTTAATGAATAATGCACTTAAACTTCATAGTGCAATGCTTGGCTTGTAGTAAATGTGCAGTAAATGTTAGCTACAATTTTTCATCTTTACCATCTTGGTCTTCATCGATGTGGTTCTACAACGAGCTGACATGAACAGAATGATGGCCCTGAGGTTCAACAGAACTGGTAGTTTGCCACATGACTCAGCAATTCCACTCACAGTTGTCTGCCCAAAAGAAATGAAAGCATGTGTCCATAATACCAATACCGTTAGCAAAGACTGCGGCATTATTCGTAATAACCAAAAAGTAGAAACAACCCCAAAGGTCCATTGATAGGTAAAAGGATAAATAAATTGCTGTATCATACAATGGAATGCTCTACAGTGGTAAAGAGAACAAAAGCCACGTGAAAAAGAGTATATAGTGTATGCTTATTTATTTATTTGGTTGGGGTTTCTGTTTCTTTCTTTTTTTTTTTTTTTTTGAGAGAGAGAGTGTCCCGCTCTATTGCCCAGGCTGGATTGCAATGATACCGTCACAGCTCACTGCTGCCTTGACCTCCCAGGCTCAACTGATTCTTCCAACTCAGTCTCCTGAGTAGTTGGGATCACAGGCATGCACCACCACACCTGGCTAATTTTTTATTTTTTGTAGAAACAAAGTCTCACTATATTGTCCAGGCTGGTCTTGAACTCCTGGGCTCAAGCAAACCTCCTGGCTCCCTAAGTGCTGGGATTACAGGCATGAGCCACTGTGCCTGGCCCTGTATGATGATTTATACAAAATTCTGAAAAAAGTTGAACTAATCAGTAGCATTGGAGTTCAAATCTTACTTGGGGAGAAGGAAGAAGAGAGCACAAGAACTCTTTGTTGGTTGGATGGATATGCTCATCATATCCTGGTGATGGTTTTATGGGTATATACAGATGTTAAAACTTACCAAATTGTGGCCGGGTGTGGTGGCTCATGCCTGTAATCCCAGCACTTTGAGAGGCTGAGGCAGGTGGATCATTTGAGGTCAGGAGTTCGAGACCAGCCTGGCCAAAATGGTGAAACCCTGTCTCTACTAAAAATACAAAAATTAGCCGGATGTGGTGGGGGGGCGCCTATAATCCCAGCTACTCGGGAAGCTGAGGCAGGAGAATCATTTGAGCTTGGGAGGCAGAGGTTGCAGTGAGCCGAGCTTGCACCACTGCACTCCAGTCTGAGTGACAGTGAGAGCCTGTCTGAAACAAACAAACAAACAAAAAACTTACCAAATTGTATATTTGAAATATGTGCAATTTGCTGTAAGTCAATTATACCTCAATAAGGCTGTTTAACATTTTTTTCTATTTCTTTATTAAAAATTTTTTTTTTATTTCAATAGGTTTTTGGGGAACAGGTGGTATTTGGTTACATGAATAAGGTCTTTTGTGGTGACTTCTGTGATTTTGGTGCACCCATTGCCCAAGCAGTGTACACTGTACCCAAGGTGTAGTCTTTTTATCCCTCACCTCCCTCCCAACCATTGCCTGGAGTCCCCAAAGCCCACTGTATCCTTCTTTTTGTTATTGTTGTTGAGATGGAGTCTCACTTATTCTGTCACCCAGGCTGGAGTGCAAAGGCGCCATTTCGGCTCACTGCAACCTCTGCGTCCCGGGTTCAAGCGATTCTTGCTTCGGCCTCCCAAGTAGCTGAGATTACAGCTCAAGCTACCACACCCAACTAATTTTTTGTATTTTTAGTAGAGATGGGGTTTCACCATGTTGGCCAGGCTGGTCTCAAACTCCTGACCTCAGGTGATCCACCCGCCTCAGCCTCCCAAAGTGCTGGGATTACAGGCGTGAGCCACTGCGCTCGGCCAATTATTTGTATTTTTAGTAGAGACAGGGTTTCACCATTTTTGCCAGGCTGGTCTCATACTCCTGACCTCAAGTGATCAGCCCACCCCAGCCTCCCAAAGTGCTGGAATTACAGGTGTGAGCCACTGTGCCCGGCCCACTGTATCATTCTCATGTCTTTGCATCCTCATAGCTTAGCTCCCACTTAGGAGTGAGAACATGCGATGTTTGGTTTTCCATTCCTGAGTTACTTCACTTAGAATAATGGTCTCCAATTCCACTCAGGTTGCTGCAAATGCCATTATTGCATTTCTTTTTATGACTGAGTAGTATTCCATGGTGTATATACATATACCATAATTTCTTTATCCACTATTTGATTGACGGGCATTTGGGTTGTTAAGCATTTTTTTTTAATTAACAAAAATTTAAACTTCTGCAATGGCTTTTATTGCTTTCAGAATAAAATCCACATTCTTTATGATGTATATAGTGCTTGTTTATGTCTTTTCTTCTTTCTTCTTTTCTTTCTTTTAAAAAAGTCTCTTAACTGCCTACTAAATGATAAATTACTCTTTTTTTTTTTTTTTTTTGACAGAGTGTCATTCTGTCACCTAGGCTGGAGTGCAGTGGCACAATCTTGGCTCACTACAACTTCTGCCGCCCTGGTTCAAGTGATTCTCCAGCCTCAGCCTCCTGCGTAGCTGGGACTACAGGCGCACGCCACCGTGTCTGGCTAATTTTTGTATTTTTAGTGGAGACCGGTTTTTACCATGTTGGCCAGGCTGGTCTCGAACTCAGCCTGTGATACTCAGGAGATCCACCTGCCTCAGCCTCCCAAAGTGTTGGGATTACAGGCGTGAGCCACCGCACCTGGCCCTAAATGATAAATTACTTCTGAAGAGAGGCCCTGTTTGTTTGGTTTACCACTGGGTCCCCAGTACCAAATGCAATGCCTAGCACAAAAACACTCGACTGTTAATGAGTGAATAAAAAACAGAAAATCATGAAAAGCCAAAGAGTAATACAAAAAATATAAAAAATATGTAGCATATGAAAGCGGGGAGAAAGCGCTGGGGATTGAATAGTCACAAAAGGCTTCATGGGGAGGCACACACAAAGGGTCCTGAAGGATGGAGGGGGTGTAAATGGGAAGAGAGAAGAAAGGGGGACTTCCAGAGGAAGCGGGAGAGCTAGAAGAGTAAAGGCAGAGAGGGAATGGGTTCGTTTGGGACCTGGGTAGGAAAGGTGGCTTCGTCTAGAGAGTGAAGAGCCCTGACTCCCATCATAAAGGCAATATTTAGGATCTGCAGGATGGGTGCGTGAGATTGAAGAAAAGAAGAATGTCAGGAGAAAGTCAGACAGAAAGTGGGAACAGAGGCCGGGCACAGTGACTCACGCCTGTAATCCAGCATTTTGGGAGGCTGAGGCGGGAGCATTGCTTGAGCCCAAAAGTCTGAGGCTGCAGTGAGCCATGATCATGCAATTCCAGCCTGGGTGACAGAGTGAGATCCCGTCTGAAAAGAAAAAAAAAAAAAAAAAAAAAAAAAAGATGGCAATAGAAGTAAAGAGATGGACATTTCATTTCATAGAACGGGACTTTGGATCACTTAGGCCTCTTCTCAAAGCATGCCTGAAATGTACAATCAACATCAGGCAGCTGGACCACACTTCCGAGGTCAGCCCCAAGCCACCGCTCCTCCCTCCTGATCATCCTCACAGTGAGCCCTTTCACAGTCCAGCAGTGACGTTGTCCAAGTTCTTTCATGGTGCCTCTCCTGTGACTACCTCCATGGGAAAGAAAGCATTGCTTCTGGGGTACTTGGCCCTGGTTCAAGGCTTGAGAGAAGGCCAATCCCTTGATGAAGAACCAAGGGTAGGTGTCCTCAGACACCCCTTGTTTTGAGGCCATACTCTTCCCCAGCCTCCAAGATCCTGGGAGCCGGGGCTGGATTTGTAATCCAGCACCTCTTTATAAACTCAGCAGGAAACCCTTAGAGGACCTGGCTTTGTTTTGAAAGGAGAAGAGAGGAAGCAAAGCAACTGAAAAGGCACTGTTGACTTTTCATTCAAGGCTAAAGCCAAATAGAATGTGTTTGCTCTGCACTGAATGCCATGCAATGGAGAGTTTGTACTTGAACCTCATGAATGGCCCAAAGTAAACGTCCTCTCTACCTCAGGCCCTCAGCAATACATTTAGACAGTGCTTCAGGCTTATCAAGTACTTTCACAGACATTATCTCATTTGATCCTCAGGTCAGCCTATGACGCAAGGGGGATTATTATGATTTCTATATTCCAGATGACCCAGTGCCCTGCAGCTAGGCGGCGAGGGCTCCCGAAACATTTCTTTAATGAGGCTAGTAAGGCCAAGTGCCTTGCCCCCCGACCCACCCCTACAGATGATCCTTAAACACAGAGCAAACTTCTATTATATAAACATCTGTCCTGGCCGAGCGCAGTGTAATCCTAACAGTTTGGGATTCCAAGGCAAGCAGATGTCTTGAGCCCAGGAGTTCAAGGCCAGCGTGGGCAACATGGTGAAACCCCATTTCTACAAAAAACACAAAAATTAGCTCGGCATGGTGGCATGTGCCTGTAGTCCCAGCTACTCAGGAGTCTAAGGTGGGAGGATCACCTGAAGCAGGGAGGCTTGAGCCCAGGAAGTTGAGGCTGCAGTAAACCATTATCAGGCTACTGCACTCCAGCCTGGGTTTCAGAGTGAGACCCCATCTCAAAAACAAACAAACAAACAAACAAACAAACAACAACAACAAAAGACCTGTCCCATGGATTTGGGCATCCTGTAGCCAATTTGAATTTGCAATGCTGAACTCCTTACCATTACAGAATTAGGTTTTATTAAGAGATAGCCCTCTACGGACTCCAAGTAGGGAGAGGTAGAGAGAACGGGAAGGACTGAAAAGATATCTACTGGGTACCATGTTCACTATTTGGGTGATGGGTTTAATACAAACCCAATCTATTCAACAGAACCCCAGCATCACCCAATACACCCATGTAACAAACCTGCACATGTACTCCCTGAATCTAAAATTTAAAAGTGTTTTCAAAGAGGTAGCACTCATGAAGCCCTACAGCGTGCCAGATGCTCTCATGCAGCATCTCATTTAGTCTTCACACCAGTCCTAAGAAAGCAGGTTATACAATCCTCATCTTGCAGCTGATGGAAGTAAAGCTGTTGCAACTGCCAGTAGGAAAACGGCAGGATTCATATCCCACCTTCTGGCTCCAAAGCCCATTCTCTTTCCTTTGTGCCATAATGGTTTTTAAGCTGAGAATTAATTATCTTTGGATCCTTCCTACCACCCATTTCAGGACTCTCCCAACCCCCGTAACACATATACATACTAGCTACATAAAAGGATTACGTTTTTTTAAAAAATAGGAAAAATCTCTCCAATCTTAATATTTGTCTGAGTCTTTAAATTTAGCAAAACACTTCAGGGTTTCCTGTCTTCAGACAGGCTGCCATTGTTAAGTGTTAGGGAAGGGCCCGTCCTACAGGAGATGAAATACCTTGTAATCCCCAAAGCAGTGAACTCCAGCAGGAACTCACATTGTAAAACAGACCAAATAATGAGAAACACATTTATGTTCCCCAACTAGCACACAGAGAAGAGAGAAAAGGAGATGTGGTCTTTGTTCTGAGCAGTTGGGTTGCTGGAAACTCATCATCCATCAACACACAGGACACAGAGAAGGAGAGGGAACAGAGCCAATCTCTCTACCCTGTGCGCAGAGCAAACAGGTGGGGCAGATGGTGGGGAGGGTTTTTGCCTCATCAAAGAGGTACGTGGATTGAAAAGTTTGAGACTCAGCCCTTGCAGCAATTGCAGAGAGAGGGATTGCGAGGCAAATATCAATGCTTAACTCTTGGAGAGGCTTTTGGAATGCTGCCCAAGTCTGCACTGAGAATGAGGGCATGATCCTCTGCCCCTTGAGGAGACTCTCCTGGTTGCTTGGATTTGTCCTGAGAGTCCACGACGATTCTCATGCTCATATTGTAATATGCTATTATTTTAGAAATTGGAGCTTGTCAAGAAACACCGTAGCTAATGTTTCAATTGTCCTCAATGCCTTGTCTGCTATTTGTATTTGATAATATTCTCCAGCAAAGCTTTTAAATTGCTGATAATTACTACTATACTTGTTATTATTAAAAAATTAGTTTATAACAATTATTAGTAATAGTTGAAGCTAGCTGATTGGTGTATAGGGTACCACAATAAAAAGATAAAATAAAAAAGAAGTTTCCTTTATTTGCTTTTGAATGATAAGTAACACTTTAAACACACAGGCTTCTTCCTGTAAAAGTCACACCTAGCTCTTCCATTGACAAAATAATTATTTTAAAGTCTTGGCCAGGCATGATGGCTCACGCTTGTAATCCCAGCACTTTGGGAGGCCGAGGCGAGTGGATCGTCTGAGGTCAGGAGTTCGAGACCAGCCTGGACAATGTGGTGAAACTCCATCTCTACTAAAAATACAAAACAAAAAAAAATTAGCTGGGCATGGTGGCATGTGCCTGTAATCCCAGCTACTCAGGAGGCTGAGGAAGGAGAATTGCTAGAACCCAGGAGGCAGAGGTTGCAGTGAGCGGAGATTGCACCACTGCACGCCAGCCTGGGTGACAGAGTGAGATTCCGTCTCAAAAATAAATAAACAGTCTTAAGCTGTTTTACAAACTTTCTTACTTTCTTCTTCTTCTTCTTCTTTTTTTTTTTTTTTTTTAGAGACAAGGTCTTCCCTTCCAAAAATATTATCCAGGTGTATGCATATACCTGTGTCTATATTTGTAATGGGTTGAATTGCATGCCCCCAAAATTCACATATTAAAGTTTCAACCCCCAGTACTTCAGAAGGCGACTGTGTTTCAAGCTTGTCCAACCTGCAGCCCTTGGGCCACATGCAGCCCAGGACGGCTTTGAATATGGCCCAACACAGATTCATAAACTTTCTTAAAACGTTAAGATTTTTTTAAAGCTAATCAGCTTTCATTAGTGTTAGTGTATTTTACGTGCGGCCCAAGACAATTAATTCTTCTTCTTCCAATGTGGCCCAGGGAAGTCAAAAGATTGGTCACCCCTGCTGTGTTTGGAGACCTGGTCTTTAAAAAGGTGATTAAGTTAAAATGAGGTAATAGGGTGGGACTTGATCTAATATGACTGATGTCCTTATAAAAAGCGGAAATTTGGAGACAGACATACTCACACGGGGAAAGCAGCACGTGAACGTGAAGGCAACCATTAGAGTGATGGGCCCACGAGCCAAGGAACGCCAAAGACTCCCAGCAAACCACCAGAAGCCAGGAGACAGGCCTGAACAGATTCTCCCTCCCAGCCCTCAGAAGGAACCAACCCTGCCGAAACCTTGGTCTCAGACTTCCAGTCTCCAGAACTGTAAGCCAATACAATTCTGGGACCTAAGAAGCCACCCGGTCTGTTACTTTGTTATGGCAGTCCTAGGAAACTAAGACAAAACACATCTCTAAAAATATAAATCCCTGGTCTCAAGAACTCAGGGTATGAAGAAGCATAAATCTGAATCTTGTCCAAGTGGCAAACCACTGCTCACAGCCCTGGTTCCTTCCTGCTCTCAGCGCTCTCAGCTCACAGCCGTCATGCATCCGAAGAGGTTGATATGTGTGAGAAAGACCGAAGGAAAACAATTGCTCATTTGATTCCCCGTAATCTTCAGTGATGTTCCCTATCTGTTTACCCATGACAAGAGCAAATCTTATTTCCTGACATCTTCACCTACTTAACCAATGAACCAGTTTGTGGCTATAAACAAGATATTTGCTCATTCCAGCCCAGACTCAGAGGTGAGCCTGACCACAGGCCATGTGTGCAATGGTGTAGACGGGAAGATTCTGAACAGAACGAGAAGCCAACACCCCTCCAAATCCTCTCCAAATAAGGGTCTTCACACTTAAGATCCTTCACACTGTGGGGATGCCATCGCTGAAACACATACACAGGCGGGGCACAGTGGTTCAGGCCTGTAATCTCAGCGCTTTGAGAAGCCAAGCCAGGCAGACTGTTTGAGCCCAGGAGTTTGAGACCAGCCTGGGCAACATGGCGAAACCCTTTCTCTACAAAAACTACAAAAATTAGCCAGGTGTGGTGGCACGTGCCTGTAGTCCTAGCTACTTGGGAGGCTGAGGTAGGAGGATCACTTGAGCCCAGGAGGCGGAGGTTGCAGTGAGCCGAGATTGCACCACTGCACTCCAGCCTGGGTGACAGAGTGAGACCCTGTCTCAAAACAACAACAACAAAAACACATGCACACACTTCAGCGTAAGTTCAGAAAGCTCTTTCCAACATCCACAAATTAACAATTTTGTTACTGGGTCTTTTTAGAGGGCATTTAGGAATGTCTGTCTCTTTAAAATATGTGGATGGATTCTGAAATACTATTGTAAATCCAGAAACTTGACTTGACTCCCAAATGTACATTTCACATTTTTGGAAACTGGGAATAATTTGTTCTTAAGTGCTGTCATATGCTAACCAGACAGATGCTTTCCCTTGGGATTCTTTTGAAAACTCTCATAACATTAGACCTTGACCTAAGAACCACAGTCAAATTTATCTTCCCTGATGGATTCATTTATAGAAAGGCAAAGTTCAGACTTCTGTGTTTGACATTGAAATGCAAAATAAGCAAAACATTTTTATTTGAGCACAATATCACCAAATAATGGCAAGAACTCTTTTTTTTTTTTTGAGACAGAGTCTCGCTCTGTTGCCCAGGCTAGAGTGCTATGATGCAACCTCCTCCTCCTCCTGGGTGCAAGCCATTCTCCTGCCTCAGCCTCCCAAGTAACTGAGATTACAGGTGCATGCCACCACACCCAGCTAATTTTTGTATTTTTAGTAGAGACAGGGTTTCACCATGTTGTCCAGGCTGGTCTTGAACTCCTGACCTCAAGCGATCCACCTGCCTCAGCCTCCCAAAGTACTTGGATTACAGGCGTGAGCCACTGCTCCCGGCCAAGAATTCTTTCTTGTGGTGTTGTTTTCTAACTTTCTTGCATGTGGTGATTAAGTCAGATGCTGAAGAAGGGCCGACAGGGAGATAAAATGCAATTTCTGGGTGTTCTTGAAAAATTAACTTGCAGCATTATTTTAAACTTACACATAAATAAAATAGGGGAACATATATGTGTTAATATAAAGACTGTTGATTTTTGGAAAAAAATATTTTCAGAAGATCATTGGTGTCCCTTGCTGAATTCTGAACTTAAATGCAATTTTCTAGCTCCTTAAATGCTAAGTATTAGAAAGTAATATTACACACTATAAAAAGTTTATAAAATACAGAAAATAAATATTACCCCAAATTTCATCACTCAGAAACAGCTTGGAATATTTCTTCTCTGTCTTACTCTCCTCTCAAGCCTCTCAAATTGCAATTATACTGGAAAGTTCATTGTTTTATTGTGTTGTTGTTGTTTTTTGATCTTGTGTCTTTCCTCCACTTATTATTACTTTGAAACCATTTTCTTGTTTCACCTATTTCTTTTCTAAAGCACAATCTATAACTGAGGACATAGTTTTATCTATAGAGGAGGACCCCAGAGAGAGTTTCCTTTCTCATTTCTTCTCTTTTGTCCTATTTAAACTTTTAACCGTGTGCATGTGTAACTTTTTCCATTTAAAAACGAATACTCCTAAAACATCATCTTCACAGACTGTGTAATTCCAACGTATTCTACTTCATTTTCCACTCCTGGTCATGTAGATTTTTTTCCAATATTTTACCATAATCAATAAGCTAGAGTAAGTACCCTTAACATAGATCTTCATCTGCATTGCTGATTATTTCCTTTGGCTGGATTCCTAGAACTAGAATGATTGGGTCAACCAATGAGAACTTTGAAAGGCTTTTACATCACTGGAGAAACAGAACAAGTTGGCACCAAGGTGTCCTCCCACCAGCAAAATGCACCTGAGCTCACCACACCCCTTCTCTGTCGGCCCCTCTTCCTTTCCTCTCTCACAGCATATCAGGAGGAGGAAGAAGCAGTGGAGTTTCTGCATAATTGGGTCAAGCAAGTGTCCTGGGTCCTTGGATAAGGTTTGCTTACAAGGAGAAGGTGGGATTTTCATTACTGGCTCTTGGTGCCTGTCTGTGTCTCCCGGTTGCACATCCGCACACGTGCAGATTGGAAACATGGCACAATGAGACTGATGACAATCCAAAAAAATGCAAATGTGATATCATCTCAGCCGTCATCCTTGCTTTGCAAGTAGCACACCCTCTTTGCCAACGGTCGAGTCAGGAGCCGTTCTCTTGGATAATTTCAGGGAATCTGTCTCATTGTTCACATTCACATCCTCCTCCTCCCAATCTTATTTCCATTCCCACCAGCAAAATGCACCTGAACCCATCCTGCCACACCTTTCATTTCTTCACTGAAAAGCTAAGCGGACTCTGCCACCTAATCCCTCTGTTTTTCCTAATGGTGGGAAACAACAAAAACCCAAGGCATCGCTCCGGCTACACAAACCTCGTCATTTTGTACAGCTAGTGAAGAAGAGGTGGGGAGAACAGCATAGGATTGGAATCTGTGGGCTCCGGGCAGGACTTTGATGGTGACCAGGAGTGGAGTTCTGAAGGTAGAGCCAGGAGTCTCCACTCAGAGCCAGTGGGGCTCCTCTCTGCTTCCTCCTCATAGGGCATTTTCTTCCCTCTGAAGTTTGCATCATCTAGGGGACCACAGTGAACCACCAGTGGTCTATGGAACATACTTTGCAAACCCTTGTGTCCAAGTCATTCTCAGAAAAGGAAGAAGAATCTTAAGTTCCCCACTGGAAAGAGATCCAGGCTGCGTGTGGTAGCTCACACCCATAATTCCAGCACTTTGGGATGCCAAGGCAGGAAGCCCACTTGAAGCCAGTAGTTCAAGACCAGCCTGGGCAACACAGCAAGACCCCATCTCTATTTATAAATATTTTTAAAATTAAATAAATTAAAGAAGGTGAGAATGGTCTGGAATATGCCAGAATCATCTTTCCCTTTGGCCTATATGTTTTACAGGCAACAAAGAAGCACAGGTGAGAGAAACTCAGTGAAGAAAAGGAAAGAGGAGAGTGAAGCGGGAACCATGTTATTTCCCTAATCTATTTGAGGAAACCGAGCCTTAGTGATGGCGAATAACTTGCCAAATATCACACAGTGAGGAAGTGGTTGAGCCACAGTTCTACCCTAAGTCTGGCTAACTCTAAAGCCAAGGCCACCACATAACACTGTACGTGCTAACCCTGCAGCTTAGGAACTAACGTCACGCTGCTCTCCAGGGTAGGAGGAGCACGTAGTGAACCTATTAACTCACCCGCATGACCTGGTCAGGGAATGTGTTTGGCCTGTTCTGCAGAGACACTCATTGTCAACTCCCTGGTTAAACCCTCCAGCATGCTACAATCCAAAGGCAATGACGTGCATGTGAGCAATGAGGTGGATTCTCTGAAATTACCCAGGAGAACAGCTCCTGACTCAGCTGGTGAAAAGGAAGTGTGCTGCTTTCAAACAAAGGATGACTGACTAGCAGCCAGCTGAGCCCACAACTTGCACTGGCTGAATGGGCATTGCTCCCCCTCTGCGCCATCTCTCCCACCACTTATAAATGGGTGGATGGGCAACACACAGAGAGATACTCACTGTTAATCTCCCAGCAGTTTACACAAACGTCCGCTTGCATCACATGTCAAATTTCCTTCCCACACAAGCTGTGGTTTGCCGGTCGCCACTCCTGGTCCTTTCCTCTTTCTCTTTAATGATAATAAGAATGTCGAGAGCTTTAGCAGAATGGGCACAACTTGAGCTAACGGAATACCGTAAATGCAATTTCAGCGACATTAAATAGTTCAATGTTTAACAGCAAAGAAAGTGGGAAATTGAGTCAGTGAATGGCTAATTTGACCTGAATTATTCAGAAAACACTTTAATTTTTTTTTTTTTTTAATTTACAGAGGCTCAGACACAGAACAAATGCATGCACTGGTGTTAAATGCAGAGAAGAGAAGGTGTTATCTCCTGAAATGGATTCTGCTTTCTTCGGGGTTAGAAGGCCTCCTTTTTGAACTGACCTCAACCCTGCTGATTTTGTCTCCTTTCCTGGCCATGAGGATCAGAAATCAGCAATGATTTCATAAGTAACTTCTCATGAAACCACATACCGCAGCGTGAGTCACACATGTAGCTCTGTGCACCTGTAGGCGTATATGCCATTCTTTTTAAATCTGCCAGGAATGTGATGATCAACTGGACCCAGTTTGCCTGGGATTTTCCTTATTTGTACTGAAAGTCTTGTATCCTGGGAAATCCCTCACTTCCAGGCATACTGGTGTGATTGACCATCCCACCCAGGAAATGAGGAAGAAGCAAGGGGTCCTTAATGTGTTGTCCCTACCTGAATCTGCCCCTTTCCCTCTCTGTGAAAGTAGGGAACCTCAAACCCTTGTGGGGCCTGATGCTCCCACCCAGCTGCATGGGGAGGACATTTATGTCAACTTGAGCAGAAAGTAGGGGATCTAAATTTATCTATTGAAATGTGTTGCTACATCTCCAAACTAAGATGTCTGTATCTGCGTGTGCATTAAAACACATATAATTACACAAGGAATACATGATCACTGTATAAAAATAAAAAATAAAAATCAAAATAAAAATAAGGGCAGGGTGCAGTGGCTCAAGCCTGTAATCCCAGCACTTTAGGAGGCCGAGGTGGGCCTAAGGTCAGGAGTTCGAGACCAGCCTGGCCAACATGTTGAAACCCTGTCTCTACTAAAAATCAAAAAAAAAAAAAAAAAAAAAAATAGCCACATATGGTGACATGCACCTGTAATCCACAGTTACTAGGGAGGCTGAGGCAGGAAAATGGCTTCAACCCGGGAGGCGGAGATTGCAGTGAGCCAAGATCGCTCCACTACACTCCAGACTGGGCAACAGGAGTGAAACTCCATCTCAAAAATAAATAAATAATAAATATAATTTAAAAATAAATAAAAATAAGATGAAGGTGGGGGGCAAGGGGAGGGAGAGCATTAGGACAAATACCTGATGCATGTGGGGCTTAAAACCTAGATGATGGGTTGGTGGGTGCAGCAAACCACCATGGCACACATGAACCTATGTAACAAACCTGCACATTCTGCACATGTATCCTGGAACTTAAAGTAAAATTCAAAAAACTTAAAAAAAAAATAAGATGAGAAGGTGAGAAGGAGGTCAAAGTTACTCAGAATCCTACCGCCCAGCACTAACTAGTTTAAAACTAGTTAAAATTTTGAGAATTTTCCTGTGTACACTTATAGATTATAATGTAGGCATATAAATGGGTATACATAATAGTAAGTCCATTGCAGGAAAACATACAGAATAATGGTTTGACACTCTTGCTCAGTCAACAGTATGAGTATTTATCCAAGCCAATATGTATGTTTTTACAACATCATGTTAATGGCCACATAATATTCTATAATGTGTGTTTATCACAGTTAACCACTTTGATTAGGTAGGACATTTAGGCTGCTTTTCATTTTTTACTGTTATAAACAGTGCTGAAACCAACAGGCTTCTTGCTATAATATTGAACACATCCTTACTTATTTTGTTACAATGCATTCTTAAGAGTCAAACTATGGGTCAAACAGAATGAATTGGTTGGTCGGTTGCCTAGTTTTGAGACGGTATCACTGTGACCCAGGCTGGAGTGACGTGGCGTGATCTCAGCTTGCTGCAGCCTCGACCTCCCTGGCTCAAGAGATCCTCCCACCTCAGCCTCCAGAGTAGCTGGGACTACATGTGCACATCACCACACCCATCTAGTTTTTGTATTTTTTGTAGAGACGGGGTTTTGCCATATTACCCAGGCTGGTCTCAAACTCCTGGGCTTAAGTTATCCTCCCACCTCAGTCTCCTGAGTAGCTGGGACCACAGGTGCAGGCCACCATGCCCAGCTAATTTTTGGTATTTTTGTAGCATTGGTGGTCTCACCATCTTGTCCAGGCTGGTCCTGAACTCCTGGGCTCAAGCAATTTGTCCACCTTGGCCTCCCAAAGTTCTGGGATTATAGGTGTGAGCCACCACACCTGGCCCGCTATCCCTGTTTTTTTAGCATTCATGGTAAATGCCGCAGTCTAGACAAACAAATTAGGACTTGAAAGAGGACGGGAGTTATTTCCTAATAGTAGGATAAAATTCTCTTTTCTGTGATTCCTCCTGGTTGCTCAAGAGATTATCTTCTAGATACACACAAACCAACACATGCATGCTTATGCACACACTTTAAAAAAAGCATCTTGATCATATAAGAGTTTGCTAAATTTGTCCTCAGCATGGAGACTGCCATTAACAAGTTAGAAAAAACCTGCTGTTCTGCGTCTCACAGACCTCAGCTAAGGAAAGACCACCATTTTATGGACACCAATCCCAACAGCTATACTTTGTTATAAATTAGCGTCACATATTCCTGTTTAATTCTTATTGACTCCTCCTCTAACTTTTACTGTCTCATCACTTAGAGTGAATCTAAATTAGGGGCCCTGAACTTTCTCTGTTAAGGGCCAGATAGTAAATACTGTAGGCTTTGTGGGCCATTACAGTCTTTATCACAACCACGACACTCTACAAGTTTAGTACACAAGCAGAGAGAGGCAATACATAAATGAATGAGTGTGGCTGTGTTCCAGTAAAAATTTATTTATAAAAAAAGATGGTAGGGCCGGGCGCGGTGGCTCAGGCCTGTAATCCCAGCACTTTGGGAGGCTGAGGCAGGTGATTACTTGAGGTCAGGGGTTCAAGACCAGCCTGGCCAACATGGTGAAACTCTGTCCCTACTAAAAATACAAAAATTAGCCAGGCATGGAAGTATAAGCCTGTAATCTCATCTCCTTGGGAGGCTGAAGCAGGAGAATCACTTGAACCCAGGAGGCAGAGTTTGCAGTAAGTCGAGACCATGTCATTGCACTCCAGCCTGGGTGACAGAGCAAGACTCAGTCTCAAAACAACAACAACAGCAACAAACAAACAAAAACAGAAAGAAAAACAAAAAAAGCGGTGGGCACAGAATGTAGCCCTCAGGCTGGAATTTGCTGATGTAAATCACCTAGGGTTTGTTACAAAGCAGATTGGTAGGCCCCACCCCCAAATTTCTGATTCATGAGGTCTTGGGAATAGGTCCAAGAATCTGAATTTATAGAAGTTTCTAGGTGATGTTGATGCTGTTGGTTGGTGGGCTGGAGGGGGATGCAGGGGGGATTACATTTTGGAAACGACTGCTATAAGGTGGTCCCATAAACCCATACTTAATAAATCATCATATTCATACAAATCACAACATTTTTCTCCTGAGCGACTGAAGTGCTTGTGTACACCTCTCCACTTCAGCTTCTTCAGAAGGTTAGAATGATCAGCTTTTGTATCAGTCCAGCTATCTGGTAAAAGTCAGTGGAATCTCTCTAGCTAGTGTGTAAAGGAAGGGCTTTATTAATGTAGTTAGGGTACTCACAAACTCCTTGGAAAAAGAGGGAGGAATATTTTCCTGGGTCATCTTCCAGGAGCAGCCCCCAGAATGCCATTGCAGAGCTGACCTGATGGCATGCACCCAACCCCTCCCGCTTCCTCCAAGCCCGAGTCCTAGTCAAAATCTTGCAGCAAGAAGGTCTGACTTTCCAAACTGAAGTTGAGTGTCTGAGCTGTGGAGTTAAGGGAGGCTGGAAAATGCAAATTTGGGGATTTGATATCGGGAAGGCAGGCAACTACACAATGATAAACGTGGGGCAACCAATGTTCAGGTTTAGGGCAGCCACTGTCCATACAATTCCACTACGGGCAAAGAAAAGGTACAGTGAGAAGTAGAAAGTTACAAAGCAATAAAGTCCAGCTCTCTGGAATTCATTTCAAAATAATGTAGTTGGAATGGACAAAAATGTGGTGGAATAGATGAGGCGGTATTCTTTGAGACAGGGTCTCAATCTCACTGTTTCCCAGGCTGGAAAGCAGTAATGCCACGAAAGCTCACTGCTGCAACCTCCGACTCCTAGGCTCAGGTGATCCTCCTGCCTCAGCCTCCCAAGTAGCTGGGACTACAGGTGCACACCACCACACCAGGCTAAATCTAAAAAAAAAAATTTTAGGCTGGGCACGGCGGCTCACGCCTGTAATCCCAGCATTTTGGGAGGCCGAGGCGGGTTGATCATGAGGTCAGGAGATCGAGACCATCCTGGCTAACACGGTGAAACCCCGTCTCTACTAAAAATACAAAAAATTAGCCGGGCATGGTGGCAGGTGCCTATAGTCCCAGCTACTCAGGAGGCTGAGGCTGGAGAATGGCGTGAACCCAGGAGGCGGAGTTTGCAGTGAGCCAAGATCACACCACTGCACTCCAGCCTGGGCTACAGAGCGAGACTCTGTCTCAAAAAAAAAGAAAAAAAAATCATAGAGACAGGGTCTTGCTTTGTTGTCCTGGCTGGTCTTGAACTCCTGGATTCAAGCAATTCTCCCACCTCAGCCTCCCAAAGTGCTGGGATTACAGGCATGAACCACTGTGCCAAGCATGAAGCAGTATTCTTCCCCCCCGCTTTTTTTTTTTAACATGGACCATGCAAAACTCTGTATCATTTCAATTTTAGTATATGTGCTGCCAAAGTGAGCATCATGAGGCAGTATTGATTATGAGTTGATGATTGCTAAGGCTGGATACTGAGTACAAGGTGGTTCATCGCACTGTTCTCTCTTCTTTGGTATATGTTTAAATTTTTCCTTAATAAAGAGATAAAAGTTTATAAGGCATCGAAAGCAGAAAGAAAAAGAATGGAGATAAACATCAATTTTTGACCCCTAGATGGTATGCTTTCTCTTGTTACGGTATGCTTTCTTTAGGGGGCAGATACCATGTAATAAGAGATCTTTGGATGGAAGTTACCGTCAGAGCACAGCCATTGTTTTAGCAACATTCCAAAAGGAATAAAAGAAGTAATATTTTTCACTGAAAGTAGATCAAGATAAGGGATTATTGCCACAGTCATTGACTTTGCTTCCCCCTGACAAATGCACAGTGACCACTTGTTACATTCAATGGAGCGATAAAAGCTCTGTTTGGCTGGGCTTTTCTAGGGTTATCAGCAAATAAAAAATGCAGGGCCCCAGTTAAAATTAAATTTCAGATAAATAGCAAATACATTTTTTTAGTATACTTATGTCCCATGCAATATTGAGGAAATGCCTATGTTAAAAATTTATTTGTTGTTTACCTGAAGTTCACACTAAGGTAGATATTCCATATTTTATCTGGTAACCCTACTTTTATGACTTACAAAATTTAGGATATTCCATCATCCCCACTTTTCTCCAATGCATTCCATGTCTTAGTTCACCCTGAACTGACTAGACCGGACTCTTGCTATTATGACTCTTCGGGCATCTCATCATTCACTTTCTCTATGTTTCTAGAAAGACTTTCTCCTAGACGTTAGATAGGTTCAAGGGTGGACTTTCTGTCCGACCTTCTGGCCCCTGAAGGGAAATGGGGAAGGAGAGAATCCATTTGCCTAAGTGTTCCCAAGCAGGTGCCTACTTTCTAAGATGAGGAGCCCAGATGTAGGTCCTCATCCATTTCTTTCAATATCCTTTCAACACAGCAGAGATTAAGACCCCCAAGAAGTACAGATCATTCCTGCTGTTGCATCTTTTACACAGATATGGACTTCAAAGGAAACAAAGGAAGAATGATTTCATGCCAGAAAGCAGGAGATACCTTCTCATCCAGCTTAACTCTCATTTTGTGAATGTCATTTTCAGAATATTAACACCAGATGATCAGGTTTCCATGGCAGAGAAGCCCTTCTGTCTTTTCCTGCCTACTGGTGACTTGGCAACTCATTAGCATGTCTACTGGACGTGAGCCAGAGGAAGGAAGTGATAAAACACCATGAGTCAACATGTTACTTGCCAGAAGTTCTGGTAAAAGGAGTAAGAGGAAAACAAGAAAAACAAAGAAAACAAGAGTCTTAGGACATTGTGAGGGTCTCCATTCTCCTTCCCCTCTAAACCAGGCTCATAGTGGACCTCACCTGATGGAAGGTTCTAGAAAGAGACTAAACTTCACTTCCTGGAGTCGTAAGAAATATCTGCCATTCATGCTTTCCATTCTACTCTGAGGTTAAACAAATATTAAGAGTTCTAATGGGGTGGGGGGACACAGTGACTTTAAAAGTTGGCTGCAGGGTCCAGATGGACTAAGATGAAGGCAGAATTCTTCATACAGAGAGAACAACTTTTGCTCAGAAAAACAATATTAATGGGTTTATTTGGTCTTCCAGTGCAGGCTAATGAGAAGTCTAGACATAGAATAATTAAATTGCTTATTTTTCATAAGAAATGGGAGTTGTGGGGGTTCCCTCTCTTGGCTTTGGAGCACCCCTCCCTTTGTCTCTGTACAGGGGAGCTTCTTTCTTTCTTCCCCCTTCTTTCTTGCCTATTAAACTCCCTGCTCCTTAAAACAAACAAACAAACAAACAAACAAAAACCAAAAAAAAACAAAAACAAAAGAAGAAGAAGAGGAAAGGAAGAAATGGGAGTTGTTTTAAGTGTTCCCTTTAGGTAGGGAAGACAAGAATTCTGAGAGCCATAGAAAGAAAGAGAGTGAAGAAATGGGTAGCAGAGGGGAAGAGGGATCCCAGGGAACATATCAGGGGAAGGATGGCCGGAGAGAAAATGGCTGAGCTGGCAATGCCTGAGGGATTCCAGCATCCACTTTAAAAAAATAATAATTTATTGTGGGAAATTTCAAGTATGTACAAAAGTAACCAGACTAGTATAAAGAACCTCAATGCACCCTTGGCAGCTTCAACAATTATTAATGCACAGCCAATCTTGTTTCATCTAAAATGCCCCACTCACTCACCTTTCTCCCATTAATTATCTTGAAAGAATCTCCAGTGATATTGTTTGGCTCTGTGTCCCCACCCAAATCTCATCACAAATTGTAATCCCCATGTGTCAACAGAGGGTCCTGGTGGGAGGTGATTGGATCACATGGGTGGTTTCCTTCAGGCTGTTCTCATGATAGTAAGTGGGTTCTCAAGAGATCTGATGGTCTTTATAAATGACAGTTGTCCCTGCTTTCTCTCTCACCTGCTGCCATGTAAGACGTGCCTTGCTTCCCCTTCACCTTCCACCATGATTGTTAAGTTTCCTGAGGCCTCCCCAGCCATGAGGAACTGTGAGTCAATTAAACCTTTTTTGTTTATAAATTACCCAGTCTCAAGTAGTATCCTTATAGCAGTGTGAGACTGGACTAATAAATCCAGATAGCATATTTTGTCAGTGAACATTTCAGTATAGCATTAAATCTTAAGTAGTAGCCAATTCTGGGCTGTGCTGTCTGCCCCATTCTTTGCACCGCTGCCCTCCACCCCCCATTTAGCTGATATCTGCACTAAATGCTTGTTCCTGCAGGAGCCGAGAGAGTGGTGCCTTGGGGGAGGGGCAAATGAAGAAGTGGCCAAGGTCCACACTGGTGACGATTCCACACTCAGAGCTCTGTGCTGCTAGAACCCAAAGACACGTCTAGAAAACAAGAGACAATGGGGAATAAGGCAATAGCAAGGTGGAACGGGTGAACGTGAACCTTGTGAAAACCTGCAGGAAAATCAGGGCAGGGGTGCTGCACTTCACAAAGGTGTGCAGTGTGGCCTCAGGAACTGGAGAAGTGTCAGGGCCTCTCTGCCTCATCTCCTCTAGGCAGCCTAGCATGTGTGCTGTTCACGTCTCTGTCTGCTAACTGGTTCTTACTGCCAGGCTGCAAGGAGAAATGTCACTGTCACTCAGAGGGCAGACTCATCACAAGCCATCCTGTCAGGACATCACATGAACATGGACAACAGAGGCTCCTAGACACTAGCAGGGCACATCTAGTCAGGCTACTTGGGTTATACAGTTGAGAAAATAAATGGACTTTGATCTGAGGAATGCAAGTCCTCTTAAATTATCAGGCCCAGGGAGACATTAAAATGAGACAGCAATCACGTCCTACTCCCCTCTTAAAACTGCTTTCTATTACCACAAGTCGCTGTAAAATAACCTAATAATGCCACATCAAACACTATAACCACACCCTATAGCCTAACAATGTACAGCCAATCACTAATCAGTGTTATTCCTGTAAGCCAGCTCCTGACAAACAACTTTGTATCAGCCTACTCCCTGTCACTCAAACTTTTTTTTTTTTTTTTTTGTCTTTAAAAACCTGCTTGTGGGCCAAGCATAGTGGCTTACACCTGTAATCACAGCACTTTGGGAGGCCAAGGCTGGAGGACTGCTGGAGCCTAGGTGTTCAAGACCAGCCTGGGCAACATGGCAAAACCTCGTGTCTACAAAAAATACAAAAATTACCCAGGCCTGGTGGTGTGCACCTATAGTCTTAGCTCCTCTAGAGGCTGAGGTGGGAGGATCATCTGAGCCTGGGGAGGTCAAGGCTGCAGTGAGCCGTGATCCACTGCACTCCAGCCTGGATGACAGTGAGACCCTGTCTCAAAAAACAAACAAACCTGCTCGTAACAAAGATCGAATGGAATTCATATCCAAGGCTACCTGGGGCTGAGTCTTCCCAGCAGCTGTCCTCACTTCGGCTAAACTATTCCAGTTATATTTTAGGCCTCAGCTTCTTTCTTTTAGATCGACACAGTCATTTGAACTTTAGCAAGCTCCTCTTTTTTGCTAGCCCATTCTGGACACATTTTAAATGAGAGTCACAACCAACATTTTTGCATTATTTAAAATAGCTTCAAGAAACCAGGAACCCTTCACATGTATTTGTTTTCTTCTTTAGAACAATGCATTTGTTTAGGGAAAATGAAAACGGTCTATAGCTGAACTCATGTTAGTGTTTTCCGGAATCAAATGCTCACAGGAACTCAAAGCTCTTCTCCGGAGATCAGGGCTTACCCTTGCCTTCAGTGCTTCATCTTCTGCTCTCAACATCTGCTATTCCTCCCCATTGTTCCACCCTTTTACCAAAGGCCTGCTGTCAGCAATTTTCAGTAAATAGCCTTTTTTACAAAAGTGTCATTTCTTTCTCATATTAAAATTCCCTAATAAATCTTTTTTCCCCTCCCTATGAGTTTTTCTGACACCCATAAAGAATTTTCCTTTCAACATCCTGTCTTCTTGCCTTCTCCACTCAAAGCTTCACTTGACACCTGCCTTCCAGGTAAGACAACACCCCTTAGAGCTCATAATCTTGCCAGGTTAGTCTTTACATTTTTTTTATCCTGATAAAATCTTTGCTCACTCAGCACTAGTAGCGATTCTCTCCTCTGAGAATTGAGGTTTGTGTACTTGTTAATGATCCCATAATGCCCCTGTAGTCTCTGTAGGACAAGGGCCCCACAAAAACAAAAGAAGAGAAAAAAGATAATCTTCTCTTACAGTTTTGGTTCTCTGACTTTGAGCATGCAGCAGATACCTGGAAGGCTTTGTTGTAACAAAGTCTGCTGGACCCCACCCTGGAGTCACTGATTCAGCAGGTCTGGGTGGACCTGAGAATATGCATTTATATGCACAGATGAAAATGACTTGGTCTCTGGCTTCCACAAGGCTGCAGTCTAATGGATAAAACCCTCTTTTGATCTGGGTAGCACTTCAGAATTTGAAAATCTCTGTCATATTGATTAGACTTAAAAAACACCCTCACAACAGTGTGAGGGGAAGCAGAGTCTGCACTTTGGGTTAAAAAACTTGAGTTTGAATTCCAACCTTACCAAGTATTAGCTCTATGGTTATGGTTAAGTCGCTTAAACTCTCAAAACCTGAGTTATCTGTGAAATGGGAATACTACTCTCCCAGGGAGGTAATACTTGTGTTTGTAAAAATACTGTATGAGCTAAAAAAAAAAAAGTGCTATACAGATACCTAATTAGAAAAAACACAGGGCGGTAGGGCAGGTGTGGTGGCTCACACTTGTATTCCCAGCATTTTGGAAGGCCAAAGTGGGTGGATTGCTTGAGGTCAGCAGTTCAGGACCAGCCTGACCAACATGGTGAAACCTTGTCTCTACTAAAAATACAAAAATTAGCCAGGCGTGGTGGCGCACGCATGTCGTCCCAGCTACTCGGGAGGCTGAGGCGGGAGAATCACTTGAACCCAGGAGGTGGAGGTTGCAGTGAGCCGAGATCACTCCACTGCATTCCAGCCTGGCTGACAAAGCGAGACTCTGTCTCAAAAGAAAAAGAAAAAAGAAAAAAAGATAGGCTGGATCAGTGTCACCAAGACCATGAGAGTATTCTGGGAACACAGGAAGAAAGCAGCGCATTCCCCTGGCAGAAAGAAAGGTTGGATGGGGTTGGTGTTGGGGATCAGAAAAAAATTCCCCAAATATGCTGCTTTGGACCTCAAACAGAGAGTACCTGCGGAGGGGCAAACGCAGAGAAGAGCTTTCTCTAGTCCTCTCTTATCTGACTAAAGGGGAGTTCCTCCAGAGGAATGCAATCATCAGCCAGGGAAGCTTAACTCAGGAAAATAGACTAAAGGTCTGACCTCTTGCTCAGAGAGACTTTTACCATAGGCTACCAATGTATTCCTCTGAGGTCTGCTGCCTGAGACACTTTCTCTGCATTATAAGCAGATAAAGCAGCCTTTGTTCACAGTGCATTTCTGCCCCTCTGTCTCCCACATCTCATCACCACCACCCTCCAGGAGCCCCCAGCCCCTATTTTTTTTCTGTGGGGTATAAAAGCGTCAGTCAGCTGGTCCTCCTCTGAGTCACAGTTTGTGCGGCTCCTGTGCACATAGGCACATGATAAATTTGTATGCCTTTTCTCCTGTTAACCTGTCTATTGTCAGTTTCTTCCAGGGACTCAAATTATTGAACCTTCAGAAGGTAAAAGGAAAGTTCCCTTTGCCTCTACATAGGTTTCATGAAACAGGTGGAATTTTTGGTGGGCCCTGAAGGTTTTCAACAGGCAGGGAATTAAGCAGGGAAGGAATGTGGCAGGGAAATGCATGTCACATTTAAGAACTGGAGAACATGAGAAAATTATTAATCTGATGATATGGCTGGAAAAGAAGTGTAAAACCACAGAAAGCTTTGAATACCAGGAAAAGGAGTTTCAGCATACTTCAGTAGGTAATGGGTAGCTAATAAACATTCTGACCAGCAGATAAGTAACACTGGCATGCGTATGAGGTACATTGGAAGGGGAAGAGCATGGAGGCAGCGAAAGCTGTGAAGTCCACATTCTTTAACAGCTATCTCTACCTCACCTTTGGTTTTATTCCCATGTCCTCACCTTCCACTGGTGTGGCCTTATAATAAATCTCTATCTTCTAAATCATCAACTCTGCCCCAGAGAGCTCCTTCAAAGGTGGGGCAGCTCTCCTGTGGTCCTAGCCCTGCCTTCTGCAGCACTGCAGGAGAACACACATCCCCGCTTCCCCCTAAAGATTCTTGGCAGCCCTCCTGTCCTCATTCAGATTTCTCTTCTTGTTAAATATGCCCAGTTTTTCAGCCATTTCTCACTGAAGTGGCTTTTCCACCATTCTAGTTACCCTTCTCTGGATATTATGTAGTTTCTCCCACAGAAAGAGAAGCACATGGTATTACCAAAGGCAATGGATAATTTAAAGAAACAAACTCTTGATGGGCCAATAAGAACTTAATCCCCCACCCACCTCTTTTCCTTACTGGGTAACTTTATTGGGAGTACTTGAGAGAAAGTCAAGTTCAAGGCCCAGATGAGTTCTCACTTGTCTATGGTATCATTTACATGTTGGCACCTTGGTCATATTTAAATCCTTCATCTCATTCTGACTTGGGTTTGCTTTGACTTACAGATGAACCCTAGATGTTGTATATCTTTCCTTTAGGGAATTTTATGGATGCCAGTCCTGTAATTTATACCCTCTCTTCTGTACCGTAGTTTTAGGGGACAAAACTGTGTATACATGGCTTGCTTGTATTTTTTCCTTCAGATTTTCTTTTTTCTGGCTGGGCACAGTGGCTCACACCTGTAATCCCAACACTTTGGGAGGCCGAGGTAGGAGGACCACTTGAGCCCAGGGGTTTGAGACCAGCTTGGGCAATAAGTGAGCCCTCGTCTCTACAAAACAACAACAGCAGCAAAAATTAGCTGGGCATGGAGGAATACACTCATAGTCCCAAGCTACTTGGGAGGCTGAGGCAGGAGGATCACTTGGACCCAGGAGATTGAGGCTGCAGTGAGCCATGATTGCATGATTGTGCCACTGCACTCCAGCCTGGGTGACACAATGAGACCCTGTCTCCAAAAAAAAGCCAAGTGCAGTGACTTACCCCTGTAATCGCAACACTTTGAGAGGCTGAGGCAGGAGGATGGCTTGAGCCCAAGAGTTCAAAACCAGCCTGGGCATATGGCAAGACCTTGTCTCTATAAAAAATAATAAATAAAAAATTTTTTAAGATTATTTTTCCCTTTCACTGTAATAGTAAACCTAATAGTTAACCTCTGGGTGATCATTACATTTTATTTCTTCAGTTCATGTTCATTTTCCCTGAGCCTGAAGGGTTAACCTGTCTGTGGTTGATGTGTGCACACCGTGGGGATTCTTTGTGGCTTTCCTAAGCCCCCTGTAAGTCTCTTTAGAAGCAACAACAACAACAAAATGCATGGCTAATAGATTTCCACTTCTAATAATAGGGTCAGTGCTATTCCATGTAAAGACCGTGTTCATAATGAAAATAAAGCATTGCAAAAAAAAAAAAGGCATGTTCAGCATGTGATATTAACCTAATGTTTACATGGAGGCTCTCAAAAGTGAATGTCTTTAGCTGTGTTCTTATTATTGTACACAAACTCCTCGGTAATCTCTCATCAGTCTCCAAACCCTGAAAATATTTCCCAATACATGTCTCCCTCATTTCCTCATAGTATATAACACATGTATCCAAGGAAAACTAAGGAGAGACTGGGTTTTCGCTTTGTGTGGGAACGCATTTCACCTTGCTTGCAAAACTGAAAGGTCTGTCTGGGCTCAGCTGATAAGATGTTTTGGTTTGATAAGACTTTTCTTCTGTGTTGCTTGGTGTGGAGACATAGTCAGATTCATTTAGAAAACATTTTTTATTGACTGTGACTCATTAGAAAGAATGTCATGTGCTGGCATTTCATCACCGAACAGGGAATCTTGGCCATATAGGGCCTTTGGCTCAGATACGATTCAGGAAAGGAATAATGGGCTTCCACGGGACCAGAGGAATGCAAGTAAACACGTGGTGCCCGGCGCTCTTCTGTGTCACCTCACTGTGGCGCTGGTGGGGGCAGGCTTGCTCTTGTGACACTGAAGATTAAGACCACACCAGACCACACCAGGAGATACTGCTTTTCCCTTAGAAGGACTCACAACCTAAGAGGACGATGTGCTCTATTAATTAAGGTTTTAGGAATTTAGAAATTTTTAAAAAGGAAATATGACAGGAAGTTCCCATATAAATGCAGGCACAATAAATATAAAGTACTGGCTGGGCGCAGTGGCTCACGCCTGTAACCCCAGCAACTTTGGAAGCCCAAGACGGGAGGATCACTTGAGTCCAGGAGTTTGAGACCAGCCTGGGCAACAAAGTGAGACCTCAGCTCTACAAAAAATTAGCTGGGCATAATAGTATATACCTGTAGTCTCAGCTACTCAGGAGACTGAGGCCAGAGAATTGCTTGAGCCCAGGAGGTCAAGGCTGCAGTGAGCCATGTTCTTGCCACTGCACTCCAGCCTGGGTGACAGAGCAAGACCTTGTCTCAAAAATAAAAACTTAAATTTAAATTTAAAAATATGGATCAGGTGCAGTGGTTCATGCCTGTAATCCCAGCATTTTGGGAGGCTGAGGAGGGCAGATCACTTGAGGTCAGGAGTTCAAGGTCAGGAGTTCAAGTCCAGCCTGGCCAACATGGTGAAACTCTGTCTCTACTGAAAAAAAAAAAATTAGCCAGGCATGGTGGCGGGTGCCTGTAATCCAGGCTACTCGGGAAGCTGAGGCAGGAGAATCACTTGAACCTGGGAGGCGGAGGTTGCAGTGAGCCGAGATTGCACCACCATACTCCAGTATGGGCAACAGAGCAAGACCATGTCTCAAAAAAACAAAAACGAAAAAATAACACACACAAAAAAGTATGGCTGGGTGCGGTGGCTTATACACCTGTAATCCCAGCATTTTGGGAGGCCAAGGCAGGAAGATTGCTTGAGCCTGCGAGTTCAAGACCAGTTTGGGCAACATAGCAAGACCTCCTCTGTAAGGATAAAAATTAAAAAATAAATTTTAAAAATAATAAAATTTTTGTAAAGTACAATGTTTACTTAGTCTTTTATAAGGTATTTTATAGGGTTTGACTTTTTTAAGAAGCTAGTTGTGAATAAGTAAAAGACCCTAAACAGAAGGTGTACTGGATTCTATGTAGTTTCATGTCAGTCCTTAGAGTCCTGATTGCATAGAGAAAGATTAATTGAAATAGTTTAAGCCTGTTTAAGAAATAAGAGGCTTTCTAATATCAGAAGAATATAATTATTTCATACCAGAAGCATATAATTATTTCATACCAGAAGAATATAATTTTTCAGCGACATTTTAAAATTATTTTTCTCCCTCCTGCACACTGATTCAGCAACATTTTTTAAAGCCTGAGTTAATGCCTCTTCAAAACAATATTTGAATATGGAATGGTTAAAAATTGAACTGGAAAACTCACCAAAATTCTACCTGTTATTTTATGAAAATCTTACTTCACTGATCTCCTTTACAATGCTCTATTTGCTAACCTGTCCATCGGTAACCTCCCCCCAGACACCCCCAACTGTATCTTCTCTCACGCTTACCCTTCTTGGAAGTATTGGGGATCATAAGTTGAGATACTTTACTAAGAGTAGACAATATCCTTCCATAAAGAAGTCTCCTCTTCAATAACAAATAGTGTCTTGCATGTTCGGGACGATGTGACAGATTAATGCTACTATGTGGTGGTTAAGATACTGCCTTCTGCAAAGATAAATAATGTTGATTCACTGCGCTTCCAAAATCAAGGACAAAGCCGAAGGCATGAGGCCAGGTGATAAAGTTTATGGCTGAGAAGGCAACCAAGATTCAAACTGACTGACAGCAGAAGCCAGATGAAGGATTATGCATTTGTTCCCTGATGAGTGTGGTGAATAAAAATAAAAAAATCCTGAAGGCCAGCAGAGTAGAAGAGGGGTGTAAATTAAAGAAAACCACAGAGTGAAAATACAGTGAGCAGCTAGACCACAAAATGTTTTTGTATTTCAGAGGAGGCCGAAAGACGCATCCCGGCAGGTGTTGCTGAAGGAAGGGGTGCAAGACTGAGGAGGTCCTCAAGACTAAGTCAAGACTTGCAGTTCACCCGAGCACACTCGGTGCTGACCCTGACCCTGACCCTCTGCTTCTCTCTCTGGGGCTGCTTCTGTCGGGAGTGGGGTGGGGGGTCACTCTGTTCCTTAGCACTGTGGCAGAGCACATGTCAAGATGAAGCTCTGGTGAAGAATTGATCAAAAATAGTGGCGGAGTGAGATGGAGATTTAAATCAAAGGGCTGATTTATGAAGGCTTCAAAGATTTTTTTTTTTTAAAGAAAGAACATAGATTAGTTGTTTCTGAGGGCTGGAGGGGACAGAGATAGAGGCGGCGACGGAAGGATCCTTCAGGTTTCTTCTTGAGGTGATTAAACGTTCTGAAATCGCGTGTTACAGCTCTTTTGGAATTTGTCTAGCAGGTTTTCTGGTTTTCACTGCAAAACCCCACAGTAAAAAACAGAAAGAAAAAATTATCCTAAAATTGGCTGTGGTAATGGTTGCGCATATGCTGTGAATAGGCTTCCAAATATTGAAATGTCCACTTCAAATGAGTGAACTGTATGGTATGTGAATTATATATCAATAAAGCTTTTCAAAATAATAACAAAAACCTTCAGGCCACTAGAAAGGACCGTCAATGTGGTATGAAAACAAGACTCAACACGGCAACCTCACAGGGCTATGAGGTAAAACCAAAGGACACTGATCACCCAAAAGGAAAGCTATTGTCAAACGTTAGGGAAAGAACTACAGGAAAACTAAATCATGGTATTCTGTATTTCATTTCCACTTAGGAGAATTCTGCCTCTCTGTCATTTTTGCGTGTGTGTACGTGTGTGACAGGGTCTTGCTCTGTCACCCAGGCTGGAATGCAGTGGTGCAATCTCCACTCACTGCAGCCTCGACCTCCCAGGTTCAAATGATTCTCCCACCTCAGCCTCCCAAATAGGCGGGACTACAGGCACGCACCACCACGCTTGCTAATTTTGTTTGTCTTTTGTAGAGACGAGGTCTCACTATGTTGCTCAAGCTGGTCTTGAACTCCTGGATTCAAGCAGTCCTCCCACCTTGGTCTCCCAAAATGCTGGGATTACAGGCATGAGCCACTGCACCCAGTCTCTCTCTGTCATTCTATTTCCAAAGTTGAATCACCTTGCTCTGTTGGAGCTCAAAAACCAAAGGTGTGATGAAGGTGCTACAGTTTGAACTCTTTAAAGGAAGGCATCGGCCATATAGAGTGAGCCACAGGGGAGGACTTCTCCCGTTTCCCTGTAGAATGGGTTACCAAGTTAAAGGAGTCAATTATCCCGTCCTATCTGGAGAAAGCATTCCTCAGATGAATAAACTGGAAACGGAAAACTGGAGAAGGTGTTTTTATTTCTTTTCGTAATTAGGACATCATTTACAAGACTTATATTTCTTGGATGTTCCCCAAATTTTTCACATAGAGCTGGCATTACTAGAAACTTAAATACTTGTTGCTTTTAATTATATTGAATTCCACCGTGGGAGCTTAAAGGCTAGGCATTTTGTGATGGGTGTGCATTCTACTCCCAAATGTAATAACTAGAATAGAAATTCCAGAAAAGGAAAAGTATTTATCAAACACTGAAGCTGCTTTGAGAAATGGCTTTGTCAAGTTAACTGGTTATCATTAGATTTATTACAGTGGTTAGGAAAAACTGACCTCGTAGATGTCTGTCTATAACAATGCAATCATCTGCTTAGAATAATGCCCCGCGTTAGACAGCTGTAAACACAAGAACTTTCCCTTGCGAGTTCAATAATCTTAGCAACAGTTCTCTTTCCAAACAGGCCAAGAAAGATATGTTGCTTTGGGAAACTGGAAATCAACAGACCAAAACAGCCAGAAGAAATGGGTGGAGAGAAGATAGAGCCCGTTCACTCTGCAGTCTCCGCAGGGGTACAGAGTGATGGCAGCCATGGGTGCCCTTGTAAGTCTCTGTCCCAGCTCCCAACCCTGCCACCTGGGGCCACCACCATGATTCCCTGCCCGGCCCTGCACACATGGGCTGCAAAAATGCTGAGGAAAAAGGAGATTTCAAACTAATTCATCCCCAAGTTACAAACGTGGTTCATGGAGCTTTAGTAAAAATTATTTTTAAATTTTTACTTTGATCCACAGACATGCGACTTGAACCAGATTCTTTCAGACGCCAAATGTTCTCTTTCTGTGTGCATTTGCAAGGATGGACTCCACTGCGTAAGTGGACTAATTGAACCTTATGAGCAATGACTCCTGTGTGTGTTCATTAGGAATGTTCCGTGGGTGAATAAGTAGTTGGGAAATGAGTCAATCAATTTCTTCCTTTCTGTTCCATACTAGTAGTTCTGAACCTGCCAATGTATCCCAAATATAACTAGGTATCTTTAGAGTCCTTTTTGTTTTTCTTGAGACAAGGTCTTATTCTGTTGCCCAGGCTGGAGTTCAGTGGTGGGATCATAGCTCATTGCAGCCTTGAATTCCTGGGCTCAAGCCATCCTTTGGCCTCAGCCTCCCAAAGGGCTAGGATTATATGTGGGAGCCACCACACCCTGCTTCTTTAGACTACTCCATTTTTAGACATATATGTTATTTCTTTTTTATTTTTGTTATTTTTTAATAGTCTTTTTAGTTTTGGTTTGGTGTTTTGTTTTTTTTTTTGAGACAGCGTCTCACTCTCACCCAGGTTGGAGTGCAGTGGTGCAATCTCAGCTCACTGCAACCTCTGCCTCCCAGGTTCAAGTGATTCTCCTGCCTCAGCCTCCAGAGTAGCTGGGATTACAGGTGCCTGCCACCAAGCCCAGCTAGTTTTTGTATTTTTAGTAGAGGCAGGGTTTCACCATGTTAACCAGGCTAGTCTCAAACTCCTGACCTCAGGTGATCCGCCCACCTCAGCCTCCCAAAGTGCTGGGATTACAGGTATGAGCCACCTCCACCCAGCCATAATAGACTATTTAAAATTAAGCAAAACTAATCAATAATCAGAATGACTGGAGCGACTTTCTAAAACCTGCAAATTCCTCTGTTGACTTACAATAGTTAAAATACTCAGGGAGGAAATAATATGTTCAATAGTATAATCATTTCCTTCTCTATAATTCCTCCTGTTGCCACATTTGTAAAGTAATACTTTACTTTTTTTATTTACCTATTTATTTAATAATTTCAACTTTTATTCCAGATTCAGGGGGTACATGTGCCGGTTTGTTACATGTGTATATTGCACGATGCTGAGATACGAATGATCTTGTCACTTAGGTGGCAAGCATTAGAGTAATTTTCAAGTGCTATTTGAGTGAAAGCATTGTCTTCTATACTCTCATCTTGAGCAAAAGAAATCATTCTGATTGCATAACTTGTTTATACTTCTCAAAATACCTTCAAACATGTTTGATGCCCATAACTAAGAGAGGGTGATACAGTCCCCTTTGATCCATCCAGCATTGTCAGGGAAGATTACCAAGGAGGTACTGACATAATGGAATGTTACCACACCTTTTAAAAATCTGTTGGAATAAAAATCTTTCTAAAATACATTGCAACAAAGAAATGCAAATTAAAACATAAGTGCTTTTAAAAATTTTTCCTATCATATTAACAAGGATTTTAAAAACTATCATACCCAGCTTCAGAGAGGATTCAAGTGAAAAGATCCTCCTAGACATTCCTAATGGGATTGTGAATTCTGACATTTTTGGGAAGGTGATCTGAGAATATGGATCAAGATGTTCAAACCGTTAACCCCACAACCCTTTTGTCCTTTTAATAAATATTTAAAATGGCCGATGTGGTGGCTCATGCCTGTAATCCCAGCACTTTGCGAGGCTGAGGTGGGAGGACGGCTTGAGCCCAGGAGTTCGAGACCAGCCTGGGCCACACAGCGCGGCCCTCATCTCTATAAAAAATAAAAAGATTAGCCAAGCATGGTGGTGCACACCTGTAGTCCCAGCTACTAGGGAGGGCTGAGGCAAGAGGATTGCTTGAGCCTAGGGAGTCAACGCTGCAGTCAGCCATGACTGCACCACTGTACTCCAGCCTGGGTGGCAGAAAGAGACCCTGTCTCAAAAACCAATAATAAAATTTAAAAAATTTAAAAACAGTGCCAATCACTCTCTGGTCACTCAAGGTACGCAGGTGAACAACACAAGCCAGCTCTCTGCTCTCAGGAAGCTTACATTCTAATGAAGAGAGAGTAAGACAATACATATGTACACAGATAAAGAAAGAAGATAAACTCAGACACAATGCATCCTAGGAAGAGAAGCAAGCATGGATATGAGGACCCTAAAGGCGAGGGAGGAGGTTGCTTTGCTTGGTGCTCAATAAAGACCCCTATGGCAATTGGCCAGTGCTCCCACCAATCCAGCCTCCACTCAGCATTCATAAGACAGTCTCTAGCCAGGCGTCATGGCACACACCTGTACTTCTAGCTACTAGGGAGGCCAAGGCAGGAGGATCACTTGAGCCCAGAGGTTCTGGCCTGCAGCGAGCTATGATGCTGCCACTGCACTGCAGCTTGGGCAACAGAATGAGACTCTGTCTCCAAAAAGGAGAGAGAGAGAAAGAGAACCTCTACTAAAAGCAAACTATGAAACCCAAACTACTTTCCCCAAGGGCAGGAGAGCCACATGAGGTGCGAGGGAAGGTGTTGGGCGAGATTTCCAGAAACGCTTCTTTAAATCTGAGACAGTCTCAGGTCAATTGTATATAATACTATTTTAGATATATCTGAAAAAATTTTTGAATTTAAAAAGAAGTTAATTAAGGGCTAAGGAGAAAAGCAATTCTGGATTAGATGTTGCTCTGAAAATATATGTTCTCTGCTTCCTCCACTTTTTTAGCCATAAAGCTTTGAGCAAAATTGTTCAAGGTTTAGTGGAAACTTCTTGCTTGGGGGAAGGAGACTGTTGAGGAAAGAATGTTATATAATATTTGTGTGTGTATATACATATATGTGTGTGTGTGTGTGTGTGTATTTGTAGCATAACTCTCTGTGCTCATATGTATGGCAAAATTGTAGAAAATGTGAAAGAAGGAAAAGGAGGTAAAAAAACCTGCTGGGGCAGGAGTTTGTTGACTTGGGGACCTGTCCCAGTTCTGCTCAGACTAGCTGTGTAATCTTGAAATCATTCAGTTAATACCGTGGAACCCAGCTTCTTTAAAACTTGAGGAAATTGGACTGGATCATCTGTAAGGCCTTATCCATGTTATGGAAGGTCTTGTCACCTTTTTTTTTTTTTTTTTAGAAAGGTTCTCACTCTGTTGCTCAGCCTGGAGTGCAGTGGTGCGATCTTGGCTCACTGCAGCCTGGAGGTCCTGGGTGCAAGCGATCCTCTCACCTAAGTCTCCTAAGTAGCTAGGACAATAGGTGTATGCCACCATGCCCAGCTAATTTTTGCATCTTTTGTAGAGATGGGGTTTCTCTATGTTGCCCAGGCTAGGTCACCTTTCTTTTTTCCCTTCTACTATTGATATTGCACACACACACACACACACACACACACACACACACACATGCACACAGGTTAAAAATGAAATCCCATCATGACCTTTATAATAAACAAGTGCATAGAGCAGGAAAATTCCAGTCATAAAATAATGGACTCTTTATATCTAGAAAACTTAATACAGATTTCAGGCTGATACAGGAACGTGTATACAGTCTTTGAGTATAACATACTTCATGTGTATGAATGACGTACCCTGCAGCTAAATCAATAATGGGGGCTTATATTTGTATAGGTCTTTAGTGTTCCCAAAACGATTTTATGTCATATCACTTGCAATTTTGGAGACTCATGCGATTTTTAGAAATAGGTAGGGCAATGAGAATGATTTCTTTTTTCCTGAGGCTTAGAAGTGTAAAATGCCTTGGCCAGGTTTACACAGCAATAGGCAGCCGTCAAATCTTCTCCCAGTTCATGGGCGTTTATTCCCATCTGCCACATTGCAAGGTAGCTGGAACGACTGTCACCGTTCGTGCTTCCTCCACCCCTCACTCCACTGCAGCTCAGCTGAGGCCACTGAGAACATCAGAACAGTGAGGCAAGGCGATCACCAACTTTCCCAAAATAGAAGCCACCACAGAGACAAACCAGCCAGCTGTTTCCCTCTCAACTCACCCGCCTGTCACATTTTAGTCTCTGCAGTGGGGGCTGCCAGACCTCTTATTTCTTCCTTTCTTTTAAATTTCAGGTAAGAAAATAGAATACTTAAAATGTTAAGTATGTCCCTTCCTTTAAAAACAATGACCGGCACTCATAACTGAACATTCCTTGAATAACAAAATGTCCTACATCTTCACAAAATCATGCATCTGATTCCTTTCTGCCTGTCATTTGTCACCCTCCTTCACCGTGCCCAACAACCCAAAGGCCAGGTGAACACAAAATCAAATCACTGCCAGTGTTGGTGAGTTCAAAAGTCATCAGGTGCCCACTGGCCGCTCTGAAAAGCCATCTTTGCATTGTCCCCATTTTATTGGCAGAGTCCTCAAACTCTTGCTTTCTTCTTATCCAACACATGGGATCACCGGGGAGCCCGCTGTGTCACAGACATCCATCTGTGGACACCAACTCTGAGATGACCACCAACCACTTAAAGGAGAAGAAACAAGTTGTGCAGGTGGAGAAAGGGGAAGAGATGCCCCTGCTAGTGGGAACCCCAATGAAGAAAATGGGGAGATGAGGCTGACGATAAGGAGGACAAAGAAGAGGAAGAAGGTGGGGAGGAAGAGGAGGAGGAAGAAGGTGGAGGCAAGGAAGAGGGTGGAGATGAATGAAGAAGCTAGAGCCCCTGGTGGCAAACAGGGCACTGCAGATAGAGAAGATAGTGGTGTTGATATCGCAAAGCAGAAGATGAGGAGGATAGCCAGGCAGCAGAAAAGTCAAAGAAAAAAAAGGCGGCCGTGACCTATTCACCCTCCACTTCCCTTCTCATAAACTAGACATGGTCACCTTGGAGAGAGAGGCCCAGCCACTGCCGACAGCGCCACCTGCTGGTGACACACTCTCCACCACCCACCCAAAACCACAACATGAGTTTGCAACAGGAGAGGAAAAAGGAATCAAAACTTCCAAGGCCCTGCTTTTTATTTTTATTTTTTTAAGTAATTTTAAAAGGAGATTTGTTAGTATTTTTTAGTTTCCTTTTATATTTTTGCACGTATTGTCAGGAGTCAGCCTTTTTTTTTTTTTTTTTTTTGAGATGGAGTCTCGCTCTGTTGCCCAGGCTGGAGTGCAGTGCTGCGATCTCAGCTCACTGCAAGCTCCGCCTCCCGGGTTCATGCCATTTTCCTGCCTCAGCCTCCCGAGTAGCTGGGACTACAGGCGCCCCCCACTACGCCTGGCTAATTTTTTGTATTTTTAGTAGAGACGGCGTTTCACCACGTTAGCCAAGATGGTCTCGATCTCCTGACCTCGTGATCTGCCTGCCTCAGCCTCCCAAAGTGCTGGGATTACAGGTGTGAGCCACTGCGCCCAGCTGGCAGTCAGCCATTTTTAATGATCTCAGGTGATCAAACCAGCCTACTGAGCATCCTCTGCCTTACTTCTGACTTTACTTGTGGTGTGACCAAGTTCATCATCACCTCAAAGAACAAAAGAAACCTCGTAGAAAGAAGCAAAAACAACTAAACAATCTTATTCTGAGCATTCCAGTAACTTTTTTTGTACATGCACTTAGCTGTACTATAGATAGTTGGTGTCAGGCCTCTGAGCCCAAGCTAAGCCATCATATCCCCTGTGGCCTGCACGTACACATCCAGATGGCCGGTTCCTGCCTTAACTAATGACATTCCACCACAAAAGAAGTGAAAATGGCCTGTTCCTGCCTTAACTGATGACATTATCTTGTGAAATTCCTTCTCCTGGCTCATCCTGGCTCAAAAGCTCCCCTACTGAGCACCTTGTGACCCCCACTCCTTCCTGCCAGAGAACAACCCCGCTTTTTCCTTTACTTACCCAAATCCTATAAAACAGCCCCACCCCTGTCTCCCTTCGCTGACTCTCTTCTCGGACTCAGCCCGCTTGCACCCAGGTGAAATAAACAGCCCTGTTGCTCACACAAAGCCTGTTTGGTGGTCTCTTCACATGGATGCGCATGAAATTTGGTGCCATGACTCGGATCAAGGGACCTCCCTTGGGAGATCAATCCCCTGTCCTCCTGCTCTTTGGTCCGTGAAAAAGATCCACCTAGGACCTCAGGTCCTCAGACCCACCAGCCCAAGGAACAACTCACCAATTTTAAATTGGGTAAGCAGCCTCTTCTTACTCTCTTCTCCAACCTCTCTCACTATCCCTCAACCACTTTCTCCTTTCAATCTTTGCACCACCCTTCAATCTCTCACTTCTCTTAATTTCAATTCCTTTCATTTTCTGGTAGAGACAAAGGAGACACGTTTTATCCGTGGACCCAAAACTCCGGTGCCAGTCACGGACTAGGGAAGGCAGCCTTCCCTTGGTGTTTAATCATTGTAGGGACGCCTCTCTGATAATTCACCCATGTTTCAGAGGTGTCTGACCACTCAAGGACGCCTGCCTTTGTCCCTCACCCTTAGCGGCAAGTACCGCTTTTCTGGGGTGCAAGAACCCCCCAACTCCTTCTCTCCATGTCTCCACCCCTTCTCTGCTTTTCTGGGGGGCAAGAAACCCCCCCAACCCCCCTTCTCCTTCACCCTTAGCGGCAAGTATCGCTTCTCTAGGGGGCAAGAACCCCCCGATCCCTTATTTCCATGCCCCGATCTCTTATCTCTGTGCCCCAATCCCTTATTTCCATGCCCCGACCTCTTATCTCTGCACCCTGACCCCTTATTTCCACACTCCAACCTCTTATCTCTGTGCCCCAACCCCTTATTTACACACCCCAACCCCTTTCCTGCTTTTCTGGAGGGTAAGAACCCCTGAACCCCTTCCCTCCGTGTCTCTACTCTCTCTTTTCTCTGGGCTTGCCTCCTTCACTATGGGCAACCTTCCACCCTCCATTCCCCCTTCTTCTCCCTTAGCCTGTGTTCTCAAGAACTTAAAACCTCTTCAACTTACACCTGACCTAAAACCTAAATGCCTTATTTTCTTCTGCAATGCCACTTGACCCCAGTATAAACTCTACAGTGGTTCCAAATAGCCAGAAAACGGCACTTTCAATTTTTCCATCCTACAAGATCTAAATAATTCTTGTTGTAAAATGGGCAAATGGTCTGAGATGCCCGATGTCCAGGCATTCTTTTACACATTGGACCCTCCCTAGTCTCTGTTCCCCATGCAACTCATCCCAAATCTTCCTTCTTTCCCTCCCGCCTGTCCCCTCAGTCCCAACCCCAAGCATCGCTGAGTCTTTCTAATCTTCCTTTTCTACAGACCCATCTGACCTCTCCCCTCCTTGCCAGGCCGAGCTAGGTCCCGATTCTTCCTCAGCCTCCGCTCCTCCACCCTATAATCCTTTTATCACCTCCCCTCCTCACACCCGGTCTGGCTTACAGTTTCATTCCATGACTAGCCCTCCCCCACCTGCCCAGCAATTTCCTCTTAAAAAGGTGGCTGGAGCTAAAGGCATAGTCAAGGTTAATGCTTTTTCTTTATCTGACCTCTCCCAAATCAGTTAGTGTTTAGGCTCTTTTTCATCAAATATAAAAAACCCAGCCCAGTTCATGGCCCCTTTAGCAGCAACTCTGAGACGCTTTACAGCCCTAGACCCTAAAAGGTCAAAAGGCCGTCTTATTCTCAATATACATTTATTTTATTACCCAATCTGCTGCCGACATTAAATAAAGCTCCAAAAATTAAATTCCGTCCCTCAAACCCCACAACAGGACTTAATTAACCTGGCCTTCAAGGTGTACAATAATAAAGTAGAGGCAGCCAAGTAGCAACATATTTCTGAGTTGCAATTCCTTGCCTCCACTGTGAGACAAACCCCAGCCACATCTCCAGCACACAAGAACTCCAAACACCTGAACCGCAGCTGCCAGGGGTTCCTCCAGAACCTCCTCCCCCAGGAGCTTGCTACAAGTGCCAGAAATCTGGCCACTGGGCCAAGGAATGCCCACAGCCCGGGATTCCTCCTAAGCCACGTCCCATCTGAGCGAGACCCCACTGAAAATCAGACTGTTCAACTCACCTGGCAGCCACTCCCAGAGCCCCTGGAACTCTGGCCCAAGGCTCTCTGACTGACTCCTTCCCAGATCTTCTCAGCTTAGCGGCTGTAGACTGACACTGCCGGATTGCCTCGGAAGCCTACAGGACCATCACAGATACTCTGATTAACTCTCACAGTGGAGGTTAAGTCCGTCCCCTTCTTAATCAATACGAAGGCTACCCACTCCACATTACCTTCTTTTCAAGGGCCTGTTTCCCTTGCCTCCATAACTGTTGTAAGTATTGACAGCCAGGCTTCTAAACCTCTTAAAACTCCCCAACTCTGGTGCCAACTTAGAAAACATTCTTTTTTGCACTCTTTTTTAGTTATCCCCACCTGCCCGGTTCCCTTATTAGGCCAAGACATTTTAACTAAATTATCTGCTTCCCTGACTGTTCCTGGACTACAGCCACACCTCATTGCTGCCCTTTTCCCCAGTTCAAAGCCTCCTTCGCATTCTCCTCTCGTATCCCCGCACCTTAACCCACAAGTATAAGATACCTCTACTCCCTCCTTGGCGACTGATCATGCACCCCTTACAATCTCATTAAAACTTAATCACCCTTACCCACTCAATGCCAATATCCTGTCCCACAGCACGCTTTAAAAAGATTAAAGCCTGTTTTCCCTCACCTGCTACAACATGGCCTTTTAAAGCCTATAAACTCCCCTTACAATTCCCCCATTTCACCTGTCCTAAAACCAGACAAAGTTTACAGGTTAGTTCAAGACTGTGCCTTATCAACCAAATTGTTTTGCCTATCCACCCCGTGGTGCCAAAACCATATACTCTCCTATCCTCAATGCCTCCCTCCACAATCCATTATTCTGTTCTGGATCTCAAACATGCTTTCTTTACTATTCCTTTGCACCCTTCATCCCAGCCTCTCTTCGCTTTCCCTTGGACTGACCCTGACACCCATCAGGCTCAGCAAATTACCTGGGCTATACTGCTGCAAAACTTCACGGACAGCACCCATTACTTCAGTCAAGCCCAAATGTCTTCCTCATCTGTTACCTATCTCGGCATAATTCTCATAAAAACACACATGCTCTCCCTGCTGATCATGTCTGGCTAATCTCCCAAACCTCAATCCCTTACAAAACAACAACTCCTTTCCTTCCCAGGCATGGTTAGTGCGGTCAGAATTCTTACAAAAGAGCTGGGACAGCACTGTGTAGCCTTTCTGTCCAAACAACTTGACCTTACTGTTTTAGCCTAGCCCTCATGTCTGCGTGCAGCGGCCGCCACTGCCCTAATACTTTCAGAGACCTTTAAAATCACAAACTATGGTCAACTCACTTTCTACACCTCTCATAACTTCCCAAGTCTATTTTCTGCCTCACACCTGATGCATATACTTTCTGCTCCCCGGGTCCTTCAGCTGTACTCACTCTTTGTTGAGTCTCCCACAATTACCATTGTTCCTGGCCCGGACTTCAATCTGGCCTCCCACATTATTCTGGATACCACATCTGACCCTCATAACTGTATCTGGCTGATCCACCTGACATTCACCCCATTTCCCCATATTTCCTTCCTTCCTGCTCCTCACCCCGATCACATTTAGTTTATTGATGGCAGTTCCAGCAGGCCTAATCGCCACTCATCAGCAAAGGCAGGCTATGCTATAGTATCTTCCACATCTATCACTGAGGCTACCGCTCCGCTCCCCTCCATTACCTCTGAACAAACCGAATTAGTTGCCTTAACTCAAGCCCTCGCTCTTGCAAAAGGACTACGCGTCAATATTTATACTGACTCTAAATATGCCTTTCATATTCTGCACCACCATGCTGTTATACAGGCTGAAAGAGGTTTCCTCACTACGCAAGCGTCCTCCATCATTAATGCCTCTTTAATAAAAACTCTGCTTAAGGCCGCTTTACTTCCAAAAGAAGCTGGGGTCATTCACTGCAAGGGGCATCAAAACGCATCAGATCCCGTTGCTCTAGACAATGCTTATGCTGATAAGGTGGCTAGACAAGCAGCTAGCTTTCCAACTTCTGTCCTTCACGGCCAGTTTCTCTCCTTCACATCGTTCACTCCCACCTACTCCCCCGCTGAAACTTCCACCTATCAATCTCTTCCCACACAAGGCAAATGGTTCTTAGACCAAGGAAAATATCTCCTTCCAGCCTCACAGGCCCATTCTATTCTGTGGTCATTTCATAACCTCTTCCATGTAGGTTACAAGCCGCTAGCCCGTCTCTTAGAACCTCTCATTTCCTTTCCATCATGGAAATCTATCCTCAAGGAGATCACTTCTCAGTGTTCCATCTGCTATTCTACTGCCCCTCAGGGATTGTTCCGGCCCCCTCCCTTCGCTACACATCAAGCTTGGAGATTTGCCCCCGCCCCCCACCAGGATTGGCAAATTGGCTTTACTCAACATGCCCCAAGTCAGAAAACTAAAATATCTCTTAGTCTGGGTAGACACTTTCACTGGATGGGTAGAGGTCTTTCTCACAGGGTCTGAGAAGGCCACCGCGGTCATTTCTTCCCTTCTGTCAGACATAATTCCTCGGTTTGGCCTTCCCACCTCTATACAGTCCAATAACAGACCAGCCTTTATTAGTCAAATCACCCAAGCAGTTTCTCAGGCTCTTGGTATTCAGTGGAAACTTCGTACCCCTTACCATCCTCAATATTCAGGAAAGGTAGAACGGACTAATGGTCTTTTAAAGACACATCTTACCAAGCTCAGCCTCCAACTTAAAAAGGACTGGACAATACTTTTACCACTTTCCCTTCTCAGAATTCAGGCCTGTCCTCGGAATGCTACAGGGTACAGCCCATTTGAGCTCCTGTATGGACGCTCCTTTTTATTAAGCCCCAGTCTCATTCCAGACACCAGACCAACTTGGACTGTGCCCCAGAAAACTTGTCATCCCTACTATCTTCTGTCTAGTCATACTCCTATTCACCATTCTCAACTACTCATACATGCCCTGCTCTTGTTTACACTGCCGGTTCACACTGTTTCTCCAAGCCATCGCAGCTGATATCGCCTGGTGCTATCCCCAAACCGCCACTCTTAACTCTTAAAGTAAATAAATAATCTTTGCTGGCAAGGCTATGCTGAACCTCCTTAGGCACTCTCTAGGTAGATGTCCTAGGTCCTCCCAATTCTTAGTCCTTTAATACCTGTTTTTCTCCTTGTCTTATTCCCTTCTTTTTTCACTTCATACAAAATTGTATCTAGGCCATCATCAATAATTCTATAAGACAAATGTTTCTTCTAACAACCCCACAATATCACCCCTTTCCACAAAATCTTCCTTCAGCTTCTCTCTCCCATTCTAGATTCCCACGCTGCCCCTAATCCTGCTCGAAGCAGCCCTGAGAAACATCGCCCGTTATCTCTCCAAACCACCCCCAAAAATTTTCGCCACCCCAACACTTTACCACTATTTCATTTTATTTTTCTTATTAATATAAGAAGACAGGAATGTCAGGCCTCTGAGCCCAAGCTAAGCCATCATATCCCCTGTGACCTGCATGTACACATCCAGATGGCCGCTTCCTGCCTTAACTGATGACATTCCACCACAAAACAAGTGAAAATGGCCTGTTCCTGCCTAAACTGATGACATTGTCTTGTGAAATTCCTTCTCCTGGCTCATCCTGGCTCAGAAGCTCCCCTACTGAGCACCTTATGACCCCCACTCCTGCCCGCCAGAGAACAACCCCGCTTTTTCCTTTACCTACCCAAATCCTATAAAACGGCCCCACCCCTATCTCCCTTCGCTGACTCTTTTTGGACTCAGCCCACCTGTACCCAGGTGAAATAAACAGCCTTATTGCTCACACAAAGCCTGTTTGGTGGTCTCTTCACACGGACGCGCATGAAAGTTGGTTTGTATGAGACGGTTAAAAAGGCCAAAGATAAAAGATTTATTTATTTATTTATTTATTTATTTATCAATGAAGTTGCTGTTTATTTATTTATTTTTTTTGGCCTATTTCACAGATGTGTGAAACAATGTTGTCCAACGATGAAATGGAATTTTATTTTGCTGAGTTGTTCTAACAACAACAGCAAAGACATCATGCATAAATCTTGTATAAGATCCACACATGGTTGCCAAGATAGGAAATACCTATGCCAATTCAATTAAGTCAAGTTAAACAGAAGACGATACTTTCAGGGATCATTTCTGTAGTTTGCTACTAGAGAAGTTCCTCTAAACGTGTAGAGAAAAAAATGTTAAACAGGAATACATGAAGATCATCAAAGAATGGACCAAATGCCACAATGTCATTATCATTTTTATTCATCACCTCATTAACATGGAGAAAACCATTGCCCCTTCTGAATTCTCACGGCAGGGATTAGTTATCATGCCCTTCATACCAGGAGCTAGGCCCATGAGTAAATGTGTTCCTGGTTTAACTCTGGAAATGCTCAGACATTAGTTAAGGGACCATGGGGCACATAGCAACCTACGAGGTCTTAAATAGAAACTGCCCGTGGCTCCACCCTTTCTCTCAGCGCACATTCACTCCATCAGGAAATCCCATCAGCTCTGCCGGATTCCTGGATCTTTTCACTCACCAGCTCCAGGGCCACGTGAGGGCTCTGGGTAATTTGCAGCAGTCTGTCTGCTCCGCCCTCTCCTCCAGCTCCTGCCTTTGACCCCCTGCAGTCTGTTTTGAATGCAGCAGCCAGCCACAGCTACTCTTTTCAAACGGCAGACAGATCTCATCACTCTTGTGGCTGAAAACTTTCTGGTCCTCCCATCTCACCCTTAGGAAAGCCCAAATGCTTGCAACGGCCCCCAAGACCCTATGAGATCCACCCCCTGGACTTCTCTGACATCAAGTCCTATTACTCCGATTGCTTGCCCCGTTTCGGCCTTCCTGGTTTCCTACTGTTCTTCCCCATGGTTGGTGCCTCTGCCAGACGCAGTGTCCCCAGGCAGCTCCCAAGGCTCTCTCACCTCCTTGCTGGGCTCTGTCCTGACCACACTTTACATCTGCAGCAGGTTTCACCCTCCAGTTTTCTCCAAACCACCCCCTACCCTTGATGCTCATTTTCCTAAAGCAATGAACATCTTTTAATTTATTTGACAACAGACTTAAGGATGTTTACTTTCTTCCTCTCCTCACTAGAATGTACAGTCCGTACAAAGAGGGATTTTTGTCTTTTTCACCAGGCCTAAAATAGTGTCTGGCTCATAAAGGGCCCATAAAAAATATGTGATGAATCAGCAAATGACTAGATGCCTAACACTTGTTTTGCAAACCACACACTAGTTAACAACTGTGATTTCTAAACTTGGACCGCAAAAGTGATTGGGTCTGTGAGCTACGTGCTGGGTCATCTAGGTGGCGATTGGAGTTGTTGCCAGTCCCTAGTGCGTTTCATTCTGCAATTACAAGTTGTGTGAGGCAGCACAGCCCAGAGTTGGGCAAAGCACCTGAAAAAAATTAGTGGCTAACACGTACACAGGAGCCAGGGACAGTGGCTCACGTCAGTCATCCCAGAACTTTGGGAGGCTGAGGCAGGAGGATCACTTGAACCCAGGAGGTCAAGGCTGCAGTGAGCAGTGATTGCACCACCATACTCCAGCCTGGGCGACAGAGCGAGTCCCTGTCTCAAACAAAACAAAACAAAAAAACAAAAAAACAGGCCGGTGTGGTGGCTCAGGCCTGTAATCCTAGCACTTTTGGAGGCCGAGGCAGGCAGATCACTTGAGGTCAGGAGTTTCAGATCAGCCTGGCCAACGTGTTGAAACCCCACCTCTATAAAAAACACAAAAATTAACCAGGTATGGTGGTGCTGCCTGTAGTTCCAGCTACTCGGGAGGCTGAGGTAGAAGAATCACTTGAACCCAGATGACAAAGATTACAGTGAGACGAGATCTTGCCACTGCACTCCAGCCTGGGTGACAGAGCAAGACTTTGTCTCAAAAAACAGACAATTACATGGGGAAAGTGTTCCCACGTAATTGATGGGATAGTCAAAATTGACGGGTAATCAAAAGTGTTTGATTACATCAAAAGTAATCAGGGAAGTATTTATCAAATCAATACAACAATTTTCCAGCTACTACATTGGTAAAGGTTTTTAAAAACTATAATAGTGCTGGCAAAGGAACGAAAAAAATGCACTTTAGACTTTGCCCTTTAGAAAACCGAGCCCTTCGCGAAGTTATTTCGAAAATGGGCCAAAAGCCTTAAGATGTTGAGGAATTCATTTGTGGGAATTTACCTTAAATGTGGAAACATCTTTTTTGGACAAATATTTTACTTACAGATGCATTTATAAAAGCCAAACTTGAAAACAACCTGCATGACTGGCCATAAGAACATGGTTAAGCAAACTATACACGGCTCATCAACTCGATTCTGTTTTAGGGACTCACTAATAGTTTAACAACGTGGGCAAGTCCTAATATGATGCTGTATAACCCCTTACCCCAACAGATAAGGGGAAAAGGCAGGTCAAATCACAACAGAGGTAGGAGCAGGACAGAGCTGTGCTCCTGCATTCTCTGACTTCAGGGAGTGCCCCATCCAGCTGATCCCAAATCCGCAGAGACAGTGTCTTCCACTTCCAGCGGAGCTGGGGATCACAGCTCCAAGGCCCAGAAACCTTTCCATTTCCAAACTCTTCTTCACGATGTCTCCTCGAAGCTCCAGGAACCCATAGCACATAGGCACCCTGTGAGATCCCAGAGCTTCTGAGGGATGTGTATGAATTAGGATCCAAGTAACAATGTTGGAGCTCAGAAAGTGATGCCCCAAAGTGAAGGCTTAGGAGTGAAGTTTCTCTCTGACCTTCCCCTGCCTTTCTGTCTCTTGCCCCTCATTTTTCCCTGAGGCAAGCCACAGAAACTAGTATTCCTCTTCCCCAAGGTAGGTCATAGAAACCAGAACCCCTTTCCCTCAAAGCTAGCTATAAAGCTTAAAAATATTCCTCCCGGGCACAGTGGCTCATGCCTGTAATCCCAGGGTTTTGGGAAGCTGAGAAGGGAGAGGATCACTTGAGGCCAATTCAAGACCAGCCTGGCCAACATGGCAAAACCCCATCTGTACTAAAAATACAAAAAATTAGCCAGGCATGGTGGCGGGTGCCTGTAATCCCAGCTACTCAGGAGGTTGAGGCACCAGAATGGCTTGAACCAGGGAGGCAGAGGTTGCAGTGAGCCGAGATCGCACCACTGCACTCCAGTCTAGGCGACAACAACAAAATATTACTCTCACCTTCCCCCACCTGTCAATGTATCAGCCGGCCATAAATAAAGACCCTCATTCCAGAGGGGTCCTGCCCTACACCAAGGAAGAAGAAATGCTGCAAACGAGAGGCCAAGAAGAATCTGAACAGGCAAGCCTGGCTAGGTTTCCCCATTCCGTTTATTACCATCAGTTCTGTTAAGTCAAGTTTGGCTTAAAGCTCTCTCCTTACATATTTTAAGTTTGACCTAAAGCACATCATGAACTATAACCTCAATGGAGTTGTAAATAGACTGTAGTCTTCTCTTGTGCCAATCACTGAGTTTTGGCCAATCAAATGTGGCCAACTGTTTAAATTGCATTCAAATAACGCAAACACTAACCTATACCCAATCTGCCTGTTTCTGTGCCTCACTTCCGTTTTCTGTATGTCACTCTCTTTTTTCTGTCCACAAATCTTCCACCACGGGGCTGTGCTGGCATCTCTGAGCCTACTCTGGCTCAGGCAGCTGCTGATTCGCGAATTGTTGTTTACTCAATTAAACTCTGTTAAATGTAATTCAGCTGAAGTTTTTCTTTTAACAGTTCATACCCTTTTTGTCCAATCACATTTCTATTTATTATGTGTTGATTTTATTTATTTATTGTTTATTTTTGAGACAGAGTCTTGCTTTGTCACCCAGGCTGGAGTGCAATGGCACGATCTCTGCCCACTGCAGCCTTGACACCCTGGGTTCAACCGAGTCTCCTGTCTCAGCCTCCTGACTAGCTGGGATTACAGGTGCCTGCCGCCACTGCGCCTGGCTAATTTTTGTATTTTTAGTAGAAATGGGGTTTTGTCATGTTGGCCAGCCTGATCTCAAACTCTTGGCCTCAAGTGATCTGCCCCCCTTGGCCTCCCAAAGTGCTGGGATCACAGGCGTGGGCCATGGTGCCTGGCCCAATCACGTTTCTACGTGGCTGTCCCTGCTTCCTTGAACCTAAATGTAAACACGGATAGTTTACTCTGGGTCTTTGGGTCTTTATCCTGAAGCCTCCTGTGCCACATAAAACTAGAATCAAATAAATTTGTTGTGCTTTTTTCCTGTCTTTTGTTGTAGGGGTGTCAGCCGTGAGCCTTACGATGGGGAGGAAAGGGATCATCCCCTTTCTGTCGCTACAATCCTCACTCCAATTACATAAAGAATAGAAACAAAAATGTAAGAAGTATAAAAAAGAGAAGAAATGTATTTGTAGAAAAGGAAAGCTGAATCCTACAAAAAAGTGCAGCCGAATAGGACGAAGTGGGTACATAACTGATGTATTTTGATGGGGATAATTTTGCCCTCACAACTGTTTTCTAATGGGAGCCTGCCATGAGTCCAAAATAGGTTATTTAAAATGTGCTCTAAAACACCATTCCCACTACAATTTATATCACCTTTAATGTATGCAATCCCCTGATGTTGCTTTTCCATGGTAAAAGAGTTGGACCATCTCTGGGGAATTTCAGCAGAATAAATCACAAATCTGGTCAACTTCATATGTGAATGTGGAAATGGGAGTTCTAGCCTATCAGGCCTTAGAACTTTGAATGCCACAGGGTGTTGTTTACCCCCCTATCACAGACATATTTCCTTTCACTTCCAAACAACCTGTTGAAAACCACCAAAGAGAGGAAGAAAGCAGAGAAAGAGAATACTATACTCTGTTATCAATGATTTGAACGTGGTTCTCTGGAGGCAATAGAGGACTTGGCTGCTTTTCAGAAGAGAATTCTTACAATCAGTTCCTCCAAAGTTCTTAGGGTTTCAACATCAATTCTCTAACATTCACTGGGTGTCCTACAGTTCAATTCTGGTACTATCAGGAGTTACTGTCATATCACACAAACCAAGGCCTCAGTTCCACAAAACGTCCAGGGCCAGTGGGGTCCCCAGGCTACCTGCACTTCTACCTGGCTGACTATAAATTGAGGAGTTTCCATGACTGCTTCAGGTTCATTAACAGACTACGGTGACTCATAGAACTCAACAAAGCACTGTATTGATGATTCACATACAGTTTCCCATAAAGGATACGACTCAAGAACAGCCAAATGGAAGAGACGTGTAGGACGAGGTATGGGGCTAGTGGCTGGGCTGTGGAGCTTCCATTCCCTCTCTGGGCATGCCATCCTCCCAGCACATCATGAGCTTATCAACCCAGAAGCTCCTGGAAGCTTGTTGCTCAAGAGTTTTTATTGAGGTGTCATGACTTAGGCATGATCAGCTAAATCATTAGCCACTGGCTGGGCGCGGTGGCTCTTGCCTATAATCCCAGCAATTTGAGAGGCCAAGGCAGGCGGACCACTTGAGGTCAGGAGTTCGAGACCAGTGGGGCCAACATGGCAAAACCCCATCTCTACTAAAAATATGAAAATTAGCCAGGTGTGGTAGTGCATGCCTGTGGTCCCAGCTATTCTGGAGGCTGAGGCAGGAGAATCTCTTGAACCCGGGAGGCAGAGGTTGCAGTCTGCTGAGATTGCGCCATTGCACTCCAGCCTGGGTGACAGAGCAAGACTCCGTCTCAAACAAAAACAAAAACAAAAACAAAAATAAATAAATCATTAGCCACTAGTGATTGAACTCAATCTCCAGTTCCCCTCTTCTCTCCAGAGGTTGAGGGGTGGAGCCAAAAGTTCCAACCCTCTAATCATAAGCTTGGTCTTTGTAGTGTGGCCAGCCTCTCTCCTGAAACTATTTAAGGGCCCACCTTGATTCACCTCAATAGCATAAACTTAGTTATGATCAGAAAGGATTCATGTATAACAACAGACATTCGAACCACTCGGAAATTTCCAAGGGTCTTTGATGCTCAGTGCCAGGAGTCAGGGATAAAGACCAAACATATTTTTTATTATACCATAGTTCTGAAATGTGTTTTCTGGGTAAATCTCTTGATTGCAGTTTCCCTAAATGTATCCTGAAGTTAACATATTTAACCTCCTTGCCAACTGTGCCCCAGTTCTGTGTGCAAAAGATGTCCCTTCATACGTGTGCACCTAGCATGTTCCTTGATTCGTTCACGGGTAATAGTGGTATATGCTGCTTACCCAGAATGCTGCTGGTGTCAGTGACGGTACCTTGCCAGAATCCCAGAGACTCAGTGCTCTAGGCGAGTTCAACCAATCAGCACCAGAATAGGAGGTGACTGTTCTCAAACTAGTGGAGTTTGTCCAGTTCTTTTGGTAGCAAGAGACGCCTGACTCAATTTTGCTTAAAGGGGATTTATTGGAAAAAAAAAAAGTATATCTAGTCCTTTCCATGGACACGGAAGAATGGAAGAAAGCAGAGAAATAGAACACAGAGAGAGACAAAAACACTGCCAGGAAGTGTACTAGGAGCAGTAGCTGAAACTCACAGAAAACGTCCCATAGAGGATAAGCCCCAAGTTTCAGCCTTGGGCAGACCCGTGTAATAAGAGCTAACACAAATAGGGTCAGTACAATAACGGCTAACATTTACTGAAGGGTTATTATTCACTAAACACTATTTTAAGCACTTTATAAACATTAATTCTTTCATTTCTCACTACGACCCTATGAGATCTGGGCTGGCATGCCCCCGTTTAACAGAGCAAGGTCACTTATTTTGTGGCATGGCATCTGAGCCTGGGCTCTCAATCCTTACACCATACTCACTCTCTAAGGATGGCTACAAAACGACTCTGCAGCTACAGTCTGAAGTTTAAGCAATTATAGTCCAAATGACTGAAAATTCTCATAAGTGAGTGCATTCGCCTGAGAAAAGGAAGTGATCATTCAAACTCATAATCAAGGAAAATGTATAACTACATAGGACACTTACAAAGATCTAAACATACAAACTCAGAAAAACTAAAGAAGTGGTTCTAGGCAGGACCAAGAGGAAGGCGTTTCCCTTAGTCGTGCTTCTTTTTTTTTTTTTGAGACAGGGTCTCAGCGCTGTCACCCAGCCTGGAGTGCAGTGGTACAGTCTCGGCTCACTGCAACATCTGCCTCCTGGGTTCAAGTGATCCTTCCACCTTAGCCTCCCAAGTAGCTGGAACTACAGGTGCATGCTACCATGCCCTGCTTATTTTTGTATTTTTAGTAGAGATGTGCTTTCACCATGTTGGCCAGGCTGTTCTCGAACTCCTGACCTCAAGGGATCTGCTTGCCTCAGCCTTCCAAAATGCTGAGATTACAGGCATGAGCCACCACGCCCAGCCCTTAGTCATGCTTCTTAAAAACACCTCCAATTTGAGCATGTTAGCAGTTTCAGCCCCCTCACCATGTGATGCTGTGAGCCACCTCAGGACTCCACAGAGTCCCCACCAGCAACAAGGCCCTCACCAGATGCAGTCCCTCAACCGTGGACTTCTCAGCCACCATACTGTAAGAAATAAACTCCTTTTCATATATATATATATTCATATATACATACATATATATATTCATATATACCTCCAATTCCCTATGGGAAAGTAATATAATTAATACCAGAACTAATATCTATCGTACCTACTTTAAATAATAATTTGTTACTTTCAGCTAATTCTTTCTGCTATCATTTTAAAGTCCAGAATAAAGAATCTACCTCCAAAGATCATTAAGTTCAGGATCAGAACCAGATGAACCAGCCCAGACAAAGAAATGAGCCCACTGAAAGAACAACGCCTTAACAAAGCTCATTTCCATCCAAAGGTGCTGCCCTGAGTCACTTTTGCACCTTATTATCTCTTTGGTCCCCACAGCAGAAGAGCAATAGGAATGATGCTGTTATTTTTATTGCATAAAGAAGGAAGAGGCCCGGAGTTGTGGTGGGATAGACCTAAGTTCCCACAGCTAACAAGTCCTGAAGCTGAGACCGGAATCCAGGCTTCTCCATTCCTTCCGTAACTCTGACTCATTTTAGGGACAATTTCCCAGATTTTATATTAATACGCATCAAAGCTCACTGGCTTGGCCTACACTCTGGTGACTTATCAGTCAGCAGTGAAACGTTCCCAATGAGGACTCAGACAGGAATAGACCTAGAAAATCTCTTTTTCTGTTCTAGCTTCAAGAACAGACCTAGAATTTTTTTTTTTTTTTTTGAGATGGAGTTTCACTCTTGTTGCCCAGGCTGGAGTGTAATGGCACCGTCTCAGCTCACTGCAACATCGACTTCCTAGGTTCAAGTGATTCTCCTGCCTCAACCTCCCAAGTAGCTGGAATTACAGGCATGTGCCACCACGCTCAGCTAATTTTGTATTTTTAGTAGAGATGGGGTTTCACCATGTTGGCCAGGGTGGTCTCGAACTCCTGACCTCAAGTGATCCACCAGCCCCTGCCTCCCAAAGTGCTAGAATTATAGGTGTGAGGCACTGCGCCCAGCCTTGACCTAGAAAATCTAATAGTAAGGCGAAAATAGCTATCTTTTTTTTTTTTTTTGACCACTTAGAATGTACCAGGCACTCTGTAAAGTGCTTTATATATATTCTACCTCACTTATCCTTAAAACATCACTGTGAGGGGTATAGTATTAGTTCTATCTTACAGACCAGGGAGCCGAAGGTTAAACAGGTTAATTTACCAAGGTAACAGTGGGTAATCCTGTATGATGGGGAGGACGTGTTCAGGTCTAGAACTCATCCTAGCCAAATGAATCAACAGAGGGAGGAACTCTGCAGGCTGCCCTTGGCATGGGCTGATGGTCATGCACTCAAATTGCCTTCTCTGGGCATTGCTGTCCACTGTCCCTCTCTCCTCACCTGCGGCCTCTGAATGACTAGGTTATCTCTCCGTTGATGTCTTCTCTTTGATGCAGAAATCCCATCCGGCCTTTGGGAGGGCTAGTATTCTTTTTTGCGGGGGTTGTGGGAGGCACAGGAGGATGCCTAGTATTCTGATACTTTTCAAAGGGCATGCTTCTGAGATGTCTCCTCCCTCAATGCAGAAGGATCAGCAAGTCAAAAGTTGTTTAACTCCTTTAAGTATTTCCTAAAGGAAGTATTTATTGGGACTCACTGTTAGGCACACAATTTAAGAAAAATAATATTTTCATGCTTTTTTTTTTAAAGTCAAAATTAATGCCAAAAAATCCACAAAATTCAAATAAAGACAAGATCCAAAGGTCTAGTTGCAGGACTCCCCGCACTCCCTTCACCCCAACCTCAGCAACCCTGTCAGATGCTATCCATATTTCAATACTTGACATTTTTTTTTCACCATTAATTTTTTTGCATTAATGTTGCTCTTTTTTTTTTTTTTTTTTTTTTTTTTTTTGGAGACGGAGTCTCACTCTGTCGCCCAGGCTGGAGTACAGTGGCGTGCTCTCGGCTCACTGCAAGCTCTGCCTCCTCAGTTCAAGCGATTCTCCTGCCTCAGTCTCCTGAGTAGCTGGGATTACAGGCTCCCGCCACCACGCCGGGCAAATTTTTGTATTTTTAGTAGAGACGGGGTTTCACCATGTTGGCCAAGCTTGAGAACTCCTGACCTCAGGTGATCCGCCCACCTCGACCTCCCAAAGTGCTGGAATTACAGGTGTAAGCCACTGCGCCCAGCTGCCCTTTGTAAAGATGGCATTCAAACATTATTTATGTGGACGGCTGCATTTACATCTCGCTCACCTCCACCTATCTTGATCCTGGACTGGGTGCATAAAGAACAGAATGCTGGCCGAGCGCGGTGGCTCACGCCTGTAATCCCAGCACTTTGGGAGGCTGAGGGGAGAGGATTTTTTGAGCCCAGGAGTTCAAGACCAGCCTGGGCAACATAGCAAGACCCCATCTCCACTAAAAATAAAAATAATAATAATTAGCCAGGGGCACGTACCTGTGGTCCCAGCTACTCAGGAAGCTGAGGTGGGAGGATCACCTGAGCTAGGGAGATTGAGGCTGCAGTCAACTATGATTGCACCACTGCACTCCAGCCTAGACAACGGAGCAAGATCCTGTCTCAAAACAAAGGACAGAATTATGACAATGGGCTTTGATTTCCACTGGACCTTTTCCCCATGTCCTTCCCTGCCTCCTTCACACATCAGCTGTTATCTGCTGGCCCCACCAGAAGAGTGACCACAGTTTATAGCTGGGCAACGCCTCACTCCACCAGGCCCTGGGGGAGATGGAGGAAAGGAAAAGTCTTCTCCATTTTCCACCAGAGCTGCAGAAGGAGTTTGGCTGTCTTTCTTCTTCTTAAGGACGTTTTTTAAACTATCAATTGAGTAATGTGCCAGGAGGGAAATTCCTATCTTGAACCCTCACATCAGTGCTGACATGTAATTCGAATTATTGAATTCTCATCACTGCTTCCCTAATGCAGTGATTTTCAGTCTTAAAAAAAACAAATCCCTATGCCCAAGCTGCTCTCAGATCGATGAAGCAAATCAGTGCCTCCAGAGATGACAGCCCAGCGTCTGCGCTGGTCGCAGCTTCCTTGATGACTCCAGTACGCAGACAAGGTTGAGCACAGTTGCTTTAGAGAAAGACTGGGCTTTGTTTTTCTTCACTCAGGTGGTTGTGGCCCTTCCCAGAGGACAATGCAAGAAAGGCTGCAGAGTCTGGGGGACCTAGGTTCAAGTCCTGGCTTTCCCACTTACTGGCTTTGTGGCCTTGGACAAGAGAGTTGACTTTCATTTCCTCAGCTGTGCTATGGACATAATAACAGAATCTCCCTCTTGGACTTGTTTGAAGAGATCAAGCCAAGGCATCTGGAACACCTGGCATGGTGCCTGGTGGGCGTGTGTGCACTCGTGCACCCCAACACACAGCGTGAACGATTAGTATTAGCAGTGATGAATCCCTTCTTCAAACAAAATGATAGGAAGCTCAATTAATAAATAGGTATAGGTGGAACTGCTCTGTTGGAAGGGGAGAGGGGAGGGAGAGATGCAGGCTTCACTCTCCTTTTCTTTCTTTTTAAGAGACAGGGTCTCTCTCTGTTGCCCAGGCTGGAGTGCAATTGTGCTATCATAGCTCACTGCAGCCTCAAACTCCTGGGCTCAAGCCATCCTCCCACCTCAGCCTCCTGAGTAGCTGGGACTGCAGATATGCACCTGTGTACAGGTGTGTAAAAATTAGCCTGGCTAATTTTAAAAACTTTTTTTTTTTTAGAGATGGGGTCTTGCTATGTTGCCCAGGCTGGTCAGGTGACATTTTCAGCTTCAGAACTTCTGCAGCCCATTTCCCATCTCCTAGTGGCAAGCATCTGCCAGCCAGCTGACTGGCTAGGCCCAGGGACCACTCTGTGGCCACAGAAGTGAGCAGAGAAGGGCTCCTTAGCCTAAGTGGCTTTCTGGCCACAGGCTAATTAGTGGAGTAAGCCACCACTAGCTGAGCTCACCAACTCACCCGAAAGGCACTGCTATAAACTCCCAGTCCCCAGCCAGATGAATGTCTCTGTTTGATTTTTAGGTGTGGGATGGTGGCTAGAGGCTGGAATGTGTTTCCTAAGTAGGTGAATATCTAAGTGCCCTGTGCAGGAAGATGGTCAGGGCATGCAGGCTTGGCAAGGAGTGCTCCTTCTGGGAAAGAGCAGCTTGCCTGTTTTCCCTGTTGGGAACAGCCGTGCTTTATTCGGTTCTTGGGCAGTATTGATTGTTTCTGCCATATGCTAAAACCTAACAGGTCAAAAAAATCTCAGCCCAGTTCACAGACCTCTGCCAGCCTCAGGCTGATTCGGAGGGTGAGGCAGAAGGTACAGGCTGCAATCAGCGTGTGTGAAATTGGCTCTGCCTGGAGCTCATCTGTGCCACAAAACTGATTGTATTTCCTCTTCCCAAGGGGAGGCCGATGTGGGCCCTGCTTGTGAGAGTGGAACTTCCACTGCTTTCTTCCATTTCTTCCAATCCAGACAGCATCTTGAATTTCTCTTTTCCTAAGGGGATGTTCTTTGTACCAAGCTAATAGCTGCATAAAAGACTCAATAGTAAAGGTGTTTTTGCTTTTTCCTTCCTGAGCAAGAGCTCATTTCCAGAGTTGTTTGGGGAGAAAGTTGATATTTCATACCTAGCATGTTTAAAGTGTGTCCCTTCATTGTTCTTTAGGGATGCTATTTGAGTAAGAGTCGTAGTCACTGGGCTCTTTAATTGCAAGTAACAGAAACCAACTTGTGCTGTCCTTAGCCGGAGAGGGGAATTTCTCAAAGAAATAAAGGAGCATCTCATGGAAGCAAGGAGAGGAGTGTGGCCGTGTGCAGTGTGGCCTCAGGAACTGCAGAGGTCTCAGGGCTGCTCTGCCTCATCTCCTCTAGGCAGTCTCGCATATGTGCTGCTCATGTCTCTCTCTGCTGACTGGCTTTTACTGCCAGGCTGCAAGGAGAAATGTCACTGTCACTCGGAGGGCAGACTCATCACTGCCACTCAAGAGATATGCTCAGAAGAACTAGCATCTTTCAGAACCGCTTCTCAGGACAGAGAACCTCACTGGTCACATTCCATCAGCAAGACCAATGGCGATGGCTGATGGCCCAGCAGCGGTCCTCTCAGCCAAGGTCTCCAGATCTAAGGATCACAGTTACCTGTGGGAATTTGTTTTCTTAATTTAATTTTTAAATGAATTTTCTTTAACACAGGCCCAACTCCGCCCCCTAGAATCTCTGAGTGGGGTCTGGGACTCTGTATTAAAAATTCATCTATAGATATGGCCACGTGCAGTGGCTCACACCTGTAATCTTAACACTTTGGGAGGCTGAGGCAGGTGGATCACTTGAGGTCAGGAATTCAAGACCAGCCTGGCCAACACGGTGCAACCCCATCTCTACTAAAAATACAAAAATATTAGCCAGGCGTGGTGATGCATGCCTGTAATCCCAGCTACTCAGGAGGCTGAGGCAGGAGAATCACTTGAACCCGGGAGGTGGAGGTCGCAGTGAGCCGAGATTGTGCCACTGCCCTCTAGCCTGGGTGACAGAGTGAGACTCCATCTCAAAAAAAAAAAAAAAAAATTCTATAGATTCTGATGATAAATTAGATTTATTTATATTTTAATACAAATAGGGGTCTTGCTATGTTACCCAGGCTGATCTCAAATTCCTGGGCTCAAGTGATCCTCCTGCCTTGGCCTCCCCAGTAGCTGAGATTACAGGCATGAGCCACCATGCCCAGGGTCAATACATCAGATTTGAGAGCCACTGAAACACAGTTTTTGGTATCCATGAATGTTTCTACTAAAGTCTAATGAGAGCCTGCCTATTAAGCTATCTATTCGTGGAGGCTAGACCTATACAGCTGGAGTGAGCAATTCGTTTCAGTGCAAGTATACGTAAGTGGGATGGGGAAGTCCCTACCCTACAGAGCACTGGCTGTAGAACCAGTCTAGTGGAAATCTGAGAAGCCAGCTTAGGGCTGAACGTAATATTACTACTTTTTTTTTTTTTTTTTTTTTTGAGACAGAGTCTCACTCTGTCGTCCAGGCTGGAGTGCAGTGGCGCGATCTCTGCTCACTGCAAGCTCCACCTCCCTGGTTCACGCCATTCTCCTGCCTCAGCCTCCAGAGTAGCTGGGACTACAGGTGCCCGCCACTACGCCCAGCTAATTTTTTGTATTTTTGTAGAGACAGGGTTTCACCGTGTTAGCCAGGATGGTCTCGATCTCCTGACCTCGTGATCCGCCTGACTCGGCCTCCCAAAGTGCTGGGATTACAGGCTTGAGCCACCACGCCTGGCAATATTACTACTCTTAAGGGCTTCGTGGTCAGGACTCTAAGGCGAGATTTCAGAACAGTTCTCACCATGTGAAATCTGGCTCAGTGTTAGCAAGATGATGATGCAGGTGTGGCAGGTCAGGGTGAGAGTCAAGGGCAGGTTTGGAATCTCTATCTGCACATTGAGGAAAAGGAGAACTCCACTGGGAAAATACCGTCTTGGAGACTCCAGTGGTGTTTCATGTTTCTGTGTTTCTGTTTCTTCAACATGCTGTGTCTGCTGCTTGGTAAACGATTGCTTCTCTTTCTAATGTCATGATTTGTTCTTCAAGGCTTAGCTTGTGTTTCCACCTGAAAGAGCCCTCTTTGACCCCCTAGTCCATTAAGCTTTGCTTCTGCTCCTACACTGTCCTCTGTGTACTTTGGCCACATCATGGATTGTAATTATTTCTCCATCATCTCCAGTTGATGATGGGTAGTTGGCAATTTGCTAACTAGACCTACCTGTATGGGGGCCAGTGTGAACTCTCCTACTGAACTGACGCAGTGATGTGTCTGCTGACCTGGTCGCTGGCTTCCCTTCTGTTCCTCACATCCTCCTGATTCCCACACCAAAGTCACCTCGCTTCTTTCAACAATCTCAGCACCATTCCAGGATCCGGGATCACTTATCCGCTAATCAGAGAAAATGTAAGGAGCTCTAGACTTGTTGCCCTGCATCCAGCATGCCATGCTAACAAGGACATCCTTTCGCACCATGATGGATTTTGAAGATGTTTTATTTGAAGATGTTTTATCTTACTCTGATACCCTCGCTAAATCAGCTGTAATTCACTACCCATAATTCAGATGATATCCTATTTAACTCCGACAACAACCCTATGAAGAGTTTTGTAAGGAAAATTGGGAGCTCATAAAGGTTAAGTAACTTGCTGAGGTCCCACCACCAGTAAGTCTCAGAACCAAGATCTAAACCCAGGTCTAATTCCAATCTCTTATAGCCTTAAACACCATGCTACACCGTAGGCCTCTTTTGAAACTTACTTTACATTGTTAACTATCTTTCCCTGCTTATGCCTTATTTTCTCAATTAGAATTAAATATTCAGTAAATATTTCTTTGTTGAATATAAACAATACAATTATGGCCTGTAGTCCCAGCTACTCAGGAGGCTGAGGTAGGAGGATGGCTTGAGCACAGGAGTTCAAGTTCTGCCTGAGCAAGATAGTGAGACCCTGTCTCCAACGAAAATAAAACAAAAATAATATCTCCAATAAACAACACAATTATGGATAGTGTGTCACTGGACTGAACTTTAAAAAAGCTTCCAAAATTGCCCAACCTCTCATGGAATACCAAATACATAATAATTTTCTAGAACTATCTATTTAAAAGTTTCTACCAAAGTGAGTCTAGGCCTATTTGCATCTCATCTGCCTATCATGGATGATGAAAAGATTTCTCCACAATTGTCTCCATCTTCCATAAGAGATGTTCCTGAACTCCAAAGAACCACCACTTCCTCTGAGCTCTTTGATTTAGGCCTGGCCTCTACATGCTTGGGTGAAGAATGTAAAAAGTAAGACAGAATGATGGGGTCCAGGCACAGCTCTGATTATTCATAATTGAGTCACAAAAGCGTCACAAAAGCTGGGCTTGAAACTGGGTGGTTGGGGGAGGGTGCTGCATACACAGGTTTCACCTACATATCTGAGCCACACAAAAACACACTCATTGCTTGTCTTAAAGGTGGGAGTTTCAAGAAGACACAAGTGTTTTGAAGGATGTCAGAAATGGTTTGCATCAATTATACACGAAGAAGTAGAATAACACCTTAAAAATAAATCCGAATTATGTACCCCTTCCACAGTCAAGCATGGTTCCAAGGCCAGAAACCTAAAGAGATGCCCTTAGACGTAAGAGTAGAATCAAACACAATCTATTCCAACAGCAGAAATGAAGTGTCTACTGCCAGGAAGTGCAGCCACACCTTTCTTCTCCAGATCCTTGCAGACTGCAGAGCATGTGCCGGGGGACATACGGCACTGCGCGTGGGAGCATGCAGGGTAACTGACTGAAGCAGGTGCACGTGTAGGTTGAGCATCCCTTCTCTGAAATGCTAGGGACCAGAAATGTTTCAGATTTTGAATCTTCTCAGATCTTGGAATATCCGTATTATATTGATATTTATTCGTTGAGCATCACTAATCCGAAATCATGACAACACTCAAAAAGCTTCAGATTTTGGATCGTTTCTGATTCTCGCACTAGGGATGCTCAACCTGTGTTACCTCCTCAAAGCATAACACTTCCCTCCAGTTTTGTTAGCTAACTTTCATTCTGGACACAAGGACCCATCGCATCTAGGCTTCCTCCAGGGCCACAAAGCCCCAGAAGGCCTGCGGTGTGACAAATGACGCTACCTCCTCAAAGAACAGGGAACTGGCAGATTTGAGTATAATGGGAGGGTGTTCCCTGACTTGAGTGACACAAGAGTAGGCTGTGTGTGTGTTGGAGGCGGGAGAGGGCGTAGCAGTTGAGGAAATAAGCATCTGTTTGTTTCTTAATGTATAAAATTTAAAACGCTGGTGACACCTATGAAATACTCAAGAAATTGGATCTCAAAAGAGAGATCAGGGCAATAGATTTTAGGAACCTTTTGCAGAGAAGGGATAGTTGAAATCTTGTGTGCCACAGAGAGAAATTATCGCAAAGGGAGGACCAAGGACACAGCGTACAAAACATACGCTGGGTGAGGCATTCTGGCAATGCAGCCTCCAAGTTCCTTCTCTTTTCTGTGCAGACATTTCTCTTGGCCTTGAGGAATTCCTAATGCTTATCTTATTCTACTACATCTAATTTCTTTCCCCCAGGTGGGTTTGGTTTGTTCTTGCTTTTCCAGTTCCTTGAGGTACTCTGTTAGGTTGTTCATTTAAAAATCTCTTGGCTGGGTGCGGTGGCTCATGCCTATAATCCCAGCACTTTGGGAGGCCAAGGTGGGAGGATCACCCAAGGTCAGGAGTTCAAGATTAGCCTGGCCAACATGGTGAAACCACGTCTCTACTAAAAATACAAAATCAGCTGGGCGTGGTGGTGCATGCCTGTATTCCCAGCTACTCGAGAGGCTGAGGCAAGAGAATCGCCTGAACCCGGGAGGCAGAGGTTGAAGTCAGCCGAGATCACGCCACTGCACTTCAGCCTAGGCGACAACAGCGAAACTCTGTCTAAAAAGAAAGAAATCTCTCTAGTTTTTAAATGCAGCCACGTATTGCTATAAACTTGCCTCTCAATACTGTTTTTGCTAGGTCTCATAGGTTTTGGTACACTGTGTTTCTATTTCATTTGTTTCAAGGAAGTTTTAAATCTCATTCTTAATTTCTTCTTTCACCCATTGATCATTCAGGAGCATGTTGTTTAATTTGCACGTGTTTGTTTAGTTTTGAATGTTCCTTGTTACTGATGCCTAGTTTAATTCCGTTGTAGTCAGATAAGATGTTTGATACAATTTCGATTTTTTAAAAGCTCTTGAGACTTGTTTTGTGTCCTAACCTATGGTCAACCCTGGAGAATGTTCCATGTGCCGATGAGAAGAGCGTGTATGCCTCAACACACCTGATTTTTAAAAGCTCCCCCTCCTACTCTCCTACCTTCCTTGTATTCTCTCTTGGGAGAATACAAGGAAGTTGCCTGTAGTAAGGAATGTAGGATTTAACATAAATTTTACGACTTAAGGTTTCTTTGTATTTTACTTGTTTCTCCTGAATTTCCAGAATCATCCCTAATACGTTGTTGCTTGGAATTCCCACATTTTTCTCACCAGACACACAGAATGAACAAAAGTCATGCTCATTGTTCCCCCACTGTACTCTTCATGCGTTTTAGGCAGGCGAGCAGAAGTGCAGCGTAATCGCTGAAACACTCAGCGGAGCAAGTGCCTGGGGGCTCAGCTGTCTGCACTGAAAACGGTCTCATTACGCTATACCTTGTATGCATGCAATTTCAGCATGGCCCAGGACTGAGTAAGCACTAGACCGAGGTGGGAATAATGCTAACCCAGGTGTTACTGACTTTATCTAAAGGAACTCAAAAGGCTTGGTGCTGGCGGGCTGATGGAGAGGCTTCTTGACAATGAGGCAGGGGCAGGTTTGTGCTCCACTCTCCTTACAAAAGTCTAAGTTCGTTTTGTCAGCGCTAAGGAAGTCCTAAACAAGAACCTTATCAAATGTGAACTAACACACACCCCCCCCCCACACACACACTATATTACTGATGAAAACATTTTATTAACATACAAAAATAACAGAAATTTTCAACACTGGACCAGAGGTCTTCATGTGGGATATGTCTAACCCTAGGGCCACCTTGAAACCTTCTAAGGGGTGCCTCAGCAAGGGTAATTTTACAGGATGACCTAATTAATTTGGAATTTAAGGTAATTCTGAGCTTTCATACAGCCCTCTAACAAAAGCAAAACCGTGGCATCCACACTATTTCTTCCGTTCTACAAAACAAAGACACCACTCACCTTCCCAGCTCACTTGGCACTGCTGCCCCAAGGCGTTAGCGAACACAGAGAACAAAGCAGAAGCCTCCTACCACCCGGAAAGTCTCAAGTCAGCTTAAGGCCTTAGGGCTTTGTGACTTTCCCCGTTCTAAACTTCCGTAAAAGGGGATTTAGAAATGGGGATGTTTGGGGACTTGTTAGGATATTCAAAATGTGAATATGTGGTAAAGTGAAAGTAATGATTTTTATTGAACAAATTGGCCACTTCCCTCTCCAAGACTCCTGTCAAGAAATAAATCACTCTTGGTGGAGGCCCCAACAGCAAAAAGCAGCAAGCATCGGTGAGAAATACTGACTGCTACAAACAGCTGTTCTTCTAAGTTACTTTTTCAACTATTTAAAAACTCATCCACAGAACAATCATTGACTGGAAGGAAAAATACCCTTGGACAGTCAAAACAAAAAGAGTTTAGTGATGCTGAATATTTTAATTGTACTTGGAATAATTTTCAGGACTATCAGAATTTTCATGAGGCACTGAATAAAACCTATAGACAAAACTGCTCACAAAAAATGAAAAAAACTGACCACAATCATTTTGTGAAATATTTACTCCAAATACAGTCAAATATGAATCTACTTCATCTTATGAAATGGGAAATATTTACTACCTCTTAACAGAAAATAAATTAGGTTCTAGATATCTGCCAGTTAGTTTTTAGCAGGATAACATTCTATAGGAAAAGCGTAATCCTAGTAAAAGTTAATATTATTAACACTAAAGAATTTTATTTGATTCTTAATTCTGCCAAAAGCCAAATACCTTAGTTCAATATACGTACACACCTATATTGAAAGAATATCTTGCCTTTCATCAACCTAACTTGCTTCCTAAATAACTTGTTTTTGCCACAGATGACTGCGACTTGTTATAAGTTAAATAAGGGAAATTTTAAATCTTGACTGTTTTCACTAATCATTTACAAAAGGTGTTCTGTGATGGTTTTTAATGATTTTTGTATGTTCAAAATTCAGTAACACAACCTGAATTTTCAAGCCAGACCTTTTTCTGACAAAGTCAGTCTGATTTGATTCATGACATGGATATTTTGCTTGATTTCATTATATGATGAACATGTATCATGAAATGAATGACTAAATCTGTAGCTCCAAGGTTTTGACGAAACATATAATAAAAATATATTTAAAGCACTAACTGTGCCAAGAGTATTATATCCTAAAAGGTGTTTTGAAAGTAACAGGTTGGATTTTCCCAACCCTTTATGAATATACTGAAATAAAGGTTTTCTAGGTTAAAGAGTAACAGGTATAATGAATAATTATTTGATAGTCTTGGTAAAGCCCTTTGGGTTTACATCCCCAAATATAAGAACGAGTAAATTCTAAGTAAACACTTCTAAAAGTTAGGCACCTTTCAAAAATTCTGTTTTCAACAAAAATAAACAAGAAACTAATCATGCTGTCAGCTGAAGAATGATTTATCATCACAGATCACAATGTGATTTTTGTCACGGAAATTAAAGAACTGAGTAAAAGCCTTTCAGGTAAAGCTATAGAATTGATGCTGGACCCCCTTTCATTCTAGCAATGTCATATTAATCCAGATATATAAACTAATTGTAAAAACATTATCTCATTAAAGTATTTCCAAAAATTTTAATATATTTACATCTTGATCCATTATGCAAATGACTGAGTAAATATAGAAGAAACTTCACACATCCTTACGGTCACAATAAATAGATCTCCGTGCAATGTAGCCTCCACCTGCTGGGCTCAAGCAATCCTCCCAAGTCAGCCCCCCAAGTAGATGGGACTACAGGCTTGTGCCACCACGCCCAGCTAAGTTTTGAATTTTTTGTAGAAACAGGGTTTCACCATGTTGCCCAAGCTGGTCCAGAACTGAGCTCAAGCAATCCACCCACCTCAGCCTCCCAAAGTGTTAGGATTACAGGCATGTGCCACTGCACTCAGCCATATATAATTTTAAATGTATATACACTTGTTACAAAGATGTATGATAGTATGATCAATGACTTTCAGGCAGAAAAATACAGAGTAAAACCTGATGACAAGCTATAACATGAAAACTGGATGTGAATGTGGTGTCTCCCTCTCTCAAAATATCTTGTTACTGCACCTTGGGTAACTGAAACTATGGAAAGCAAAACCACGGATAAGAGGGGACTACTGTATTACATTAGAATAAAACCTTGTGGGAGAACTGCACCAAAAATAGAAGTTCCAGGAGAAAGAGGAATTTTAAAAGCCTTTATGTATTTTCTATGCAGATGATGGTACTAAATTTCTATGGTATGGAGACTCCACTGATTATATAATGAAGCCTGTTTTGTTTTAAATGTCAATATTTATACTATGAACTTAGGAATAGCTTTAAATGTGCAAATAGGTACAGTTTCCTTTTCAAACAATTTTTTTCAAGTATTAGGGAGTACTTGTGCAAAAAAGTTTGAAAAATCAGTGCTCAACACAGAGGAAAGGCAACCAATGACCTTTTTCAAGGCCAAAGATACTTGGAGCAGATTTTTTTTTTTTTTTTTTAAATCAGCAATGTACAGACTGAACTACTAGGAAGGACAGCTTAACATTTGTTTGCTTTTCCTGGCACCTAGGGGGAAAGTCAAGCATAGACAGGGATTAAACATTTCTACTCGAGACAGAGCCTCTAAAAATTTATTTATGGTGCACAGTAAAAGGAAAGGGGATAGCTCCTATCTGTAACTCTGCCAAAACAGTAACTCATTCATCACGGCAGTCAGGACTTACGCTACCTTTTGCAATTTCAGGAACAGGTACTAACCTTACAAGATACATTTTACCATCACTAATTATTTTTAACTAAGCACCCATTGTGTCTTAGGTTCTTGAGATACAAGTAAGAACCTGTGCCTGAATAATTTACACTCCTGTTGGGGAAACAGAAAAAAAAAAAACCCAACAATACAGTACATATGAATCTCTGCAGCACAAATGAAGGGCCCAATGAATGTAACAAAAGTGCAATGAACAAATAGAGGGAGTTGTTGCCAAAGGTCCGGGCTGTCTGGGAAGAAGGCTGAAATCACAGCAGGTCTTTAACAAAACAGAATCAAGAGAATAAGACTGATGGGCTAACTTCCTGGGGACAGAAGTAGGATGGTGCACATGCGACTCAACGCGAGTGTGATGGTGAGGGGAGTAACTATTACCCTAGAGCAGATGGTTACTGTAAAAGTTGGCAGACAGAAATCAGACTGTGAAGGTTCTTATATGCCAACAGAGAGCTGAGTTTTATCCCATCAGAAATGTGAAGGTTTCTGAGATCAGTGTGCAAAGCAACATTTTAGGAAGGTTTTTTATGACAGTGGTATACAGGAAGAGACAGCAAGAGAGAAGTCTGTTAAATTTTAGCAATAGTCTGTGTAGCAATGATGATAACAGAGGCTGGGGTGAGGATAAAGTGACTGGACAATAAAGGACATTGTGCTAAAAGGGGGAGGGAGGGACTATGAGTTTCATGGTTTCAATCCTATGTGACTGTGATAATCATGGTCCCACTGACAAAAATAAATCCAAAGGGAAAACAGGTCTATGTTCAAAGGTGCAGAGTCGGCAAGCAAGAATGGACACTTCAAGGGGAAGGCTCAATCGCTGCCCTCCATCAATCTGCCATCACCAGTGATGGTGTGCCACACTACATTAGCAAACAGAAAATCACAACCTTGCTCCTCTTTTGTTCTTTTACTCAATAGAAAAAAAAAATGACTTGTATTCTAAACTTGCTCTTGATCATACTATATACAGGCATACCTCAGAGATACTGCAGGTTCAGTTCCAGACCACTGCAATAAAGGGAGTATCACAATGAAGCAACTCACACAAATGTTTTGGCTCCCCAGTGCATATAAAAGTTAAATTTAAACAATAGTCTATGAAGTGTGCAAAAGCATTATGTCTAAAAAATACATATATACCTTAAAGATTAAATTTCTAGAAAAAGGTAACAATCATGAGTGTTCAGCAAGCCATAATCTTTTTGCTGGTGTAGGATCTTGCCTCAAACGTTGAGGGCTACTGAGTGATCAGGGTGGTAGGTGATGAAGATTGGAGTGGCTGTGGCAGTTTCTCAAAATGAGACAACAATGAAGTTTGCTCCATCAACTGATATTTGTGCTTTCACAAAAGATTTCTCTTTATCATGCTGTTTGATAGCATTCTATCCACAGACCTTCTTTCAAAATTAGAGGCAATCCTCTCAAACCACGCCACTGGTTTATCAATTAAGCTTATGTAATATTCTAAATCCTTTGCTGTCATTTCAAGAATGTTTACAGCATCTTCACCAGGAATAGATTCCATCTCAAGAAATCACTTTCTTTGCTTATCTGTAAGAAGTAATTCCTCAAGTTTTATCATGAGGCTGCAGCAATTCAGTCACATCTTCACTTCTAGTTCTCTTGGTATTTCCACCACATCAGCAGTGACTTCTTCCACTGAAGTCTTGGGCCCCTAAAAGTCATCCATGAGGACTGAAATCAACTTCTTGCAAATTCCTGTTAAGGTTGATATCTTTACCTCCTCTCACGAATCACAAATGCTTGTAATGGCATTCAGAATAGAATGGTGAATCCTTTCCAGAAGGTTTTCAACTGACTTTGCCTAGATCCATCAGACGAATCACTACCTATGCTAACTACAGCCTTATGAAATGTATTTATTAAATAGTAAGACTTGAAAGCCAGAACTACTACTTGATCCATGGGCTGTGGAATGGATATTGTGTTTGTAGGCATTAAAACCAACATTAATCTCCTTATACAACTCCATCAGAACTCCTGGATGACCAGATGCATTGTCAATGAGCAGTCATATTTTGAACAGATTTTTTTTTTTCCTGAGCACTAAGTCTCAACAGCAGGCTTCAAATATTCAGTAAATGATGTAGTAAACAGATGTGCTGTCATTCAGGCTTTGCCGTTCCCTTTATAGAGCACAGGCAGAGTAGATTTAGCATAAGGGCCCTAGGATTTTCAGAATGGTTAATGAACACTGACTTCAACTTAAACCAGCTACATTAGCCCTTAACAACAATCAGCCTGTCCTTTGAAGCTTTGAAGCCAAGCACTGACTTCTCTCCAGCTATCAAAGTCCTAGATGTTATCTTCTTCGAATAGGCTATTTCATCTACATTGAAAACCTGTTGTATGGTGTGGCCACCTTCATTAGTTATCTTAGCTAGATCTTAGCTAGATAACTTAGCTAGATCTTAGCTAGATAACTTGCTATAATTTCTACATCAGCACTTGCTGCTTTACCTTGCACTGTTTTATGGAGACAGCTTCTTTCTTTAAATTTCATGGACCAATCTCTGCTGGCTTCAAATTTTTCTTCTGCAGCTTCCTTACCTCCCTCAACCCTCACAGAATATGAGACAGTTACAGTCTTGCTCTAGATTAGGCTTTGGCTTAAGGAAATGTTGCAGTTTGATTTTTTATCCACACCACTAAAACTTTCTCCATATCAGTAATAAGGCTGTTTTGCTTTCTTATCACTTGTGTGCTCACTGGAGCAGCACTTTTAATTTCCTTCAACAACTTTTCCTTTGGGTTTACAACTTTGCTAATTTGGATCAAAAGGCATAGCTTTCAGCCCGTCTTAGCTTTTGACATGCCTTCCTCTTTAAGATTAATCATTTCTAGTTTTTGATTTAAAGTGGAAGACATGTGACTCTTCCTTTCACCTGAACACTTAGAGGCCACTGTAGGCTTATTAATTGCCCTAATTTCAATATTGTGTCTCAGGGAATAGGTAGGTCTGGAGAGGGAGCGATGGGGAAAACACAGACATTTATCAATTAAGTTCGTTGTCTTATATGGGTGTGGTCTGTGGTGCCCCAAAACCACCATGATAGTAACATCAAAAGTCACTGATTACAAATCACCCTAAGAGAGATAATAATAATCAAAAAGTTTGAAATATAGGGAGAATTACCAAAATATGAGACATGAAGTGAAAGTATGCTGTTGGGAAAATGACATAAATAGACTTTCTCCACACAGGATTCACACAAACTTTCAGTATGTTAAAAAACAAAACAAAACAAAATAGTATCTGCGAAGCACATAAAGAGAAGTGCAATAAAATGAAGCATGCCTTGTGGCTCCACAATGATTGAGCAGTATTCATCCTAAAACAAATCTAATGAAATTTACCTTGAGAACATTCACTTGCAAGTAGAAAAGCAGATCTGGTTTAAAGCCTCGGGCATCCGCCCCTTACCCAAGTCTTGGTAAGGAATCCAGAAAAACAAGTACTTCCAACTCTTCATCAGTCAAACTTAAGCCCTTTAGCCTCTGTGTCATTATAAACTCAAGACACTAACATTTCTAATCTCAAGAACATGGAGGAAATTTTAAAGCAAAAATCGTTCTCCTTCTCCACTTATCCCCATCTCCGAAAAAACCTTACAGCTGGTCACATTAGAAGTTAACAGTATTTTATATTGTTTCATTCAAAGAATGAACATCAAATTACCTCCTGATTTGCAACATTTAGTACAATCGCATTGAAAATGTCTAGTTTAAACCATACAGGAAGATGTTTATTCTACCTAGGACAACCTACCTGTTCCTGGAATATCAGGTTAAGCCAAAGTCTACAACGGGAGGCAGCATAGCACAGAGATAAAGAGCAAGGCTCAAGCCATACTGCCAGAATCTACAGCTCCCACTACTTAAACTTTGGCAACTTAACCGCTCTGGACCTCAACTTTCCCATCTGTAAACTGCAGAGAATGCCTCTCTCCATCACCAGATTCTTACTAAACAATGGAGTAAAGTACTTAACAGTGCTCCATAAATGTCTGATGCAAGTATCATTGTACCTTAACATTCAGCTCTACGCTCTCATCACAGTCGCATTTCTTGTTTGTTGATGGAACTTATATATTGCATTACATAAGGGAGGTAAGGGTAGGCAAACTTTCTCCATAAAGGGCCAGACAGTAGTATTTTTTGGCCTTGCTGGCCAGATGGTGCCACTGATGCAGCTATTCAACTCTGCCATTGTAGCACAAAAGTGGTCAGAGATGACATGAAAACAAATGAGAATGGTAGTTCTTTCCAAAACTTTATTTAGAGAAACTAAAATTTCGTAATTTTCGTATTATACAAAATATTATTTTGAGCCATTAACAAAAGGGAATATAAAAACCATAGTTTGTAGGCCATACAAAAATAGGCAGCAGCCAGATTTGGCCCATGGGTGGTAGTTTGCTGACCCCTGCTCTAGATTAACAAATTTACGGGCTTTGGAAGCTTTGTGGGGCAAGGAGGCTTGATATACAGGTTGGTGGTGCAGAACAAAGAGGAAATTTCTAAGTATAATAGAAAAAAGATGTAATGCTGTCCTTCATGTATCAACGCTGGATTCAACTATGTGCAAAACATTTTATCATATGTCGCTGGAATCAAAGATGCAGAAGTCACAGTCTCTGGTCTCGAGGAGCATATACTTCTCCATGGTAGCTTAGAAATGGAAAGTCTTCCTTCAAAGTACAATACATCCTTCTCAGACTTTGACAATGCACCCGTGCGTGCTCATCTGTGAGGCAGGTAGTTTCTTTGGCAACTACAGCTGAGGCCAAACATGCATTATTATCTTGACCACCTGTGCTTCTTCCCCTCCCCAGTAATCATACCAGTTTTTCTCCTGGTCTCCAAATTATTCTGTTTTGCATTATCATTTTGGGGATAATACTTGGGATGATATACTAAAAGTCAACTGGTCACATCTTTTTAAAAATTACCATTTTAATTAGTCTTCAGAGATACCCTCTCTCTCTTAATAGGTAACATGCTTGTGACGCCTGTGTTTTTTTGTTTCAATCCAGGCAGAAACTTCTCCCTAGGAGGCAGGATAAATGGATCTATCTCAAGGCAACAAAGACACATCACAAAAACATTTTTTTCAGAGCAAATGTTAAATACTTGATCCAACAGAACACAAATAAAGATAAAATGTAATGCTCTATTATATACTTCAGTTGGTTATAAAGATTGCGGATTTGAAAAAAATCAGCAGAAATCCACTATGTCAATGTCAGAGCATATGAAGCATAGAATAAAAGTTAACACAGCTAATAATAAATTGTTTGTAAATACTAAGTAACTATTAATAAGAAACAATAATAGAATATACTAATATTGTTTTCATGGACATCCATCTCTTACGTGTTTCCTTGTAAAAAGTTGTACTATTTGTCTTTCAAAGACAACACAATAAAAGTCAGAGTAAAAAGCAGTACTCTCAATGTTTAGTATCATCTCATCAGCAAAATCCCAAATCAAATTGGAGGGGAGGACAGAGACTCAACAGAGGAATTAAAATGGGTTAAGACAGTAAAATCTATGGCTGAGCGCAGTGGCTCACGTCTGTAGGAGGTCAAGGTGGGCAAATCACTTGAGGTCAGGAGTTCAAGACCAGCCTGACCAACATGGTGAAACCCCGCCTCTACCAAAAATACAAAAATTAGGCGGGTGTGGTGGCACGCGCCTGTAATCTGAGCTACTCAGGAGGCTGAGGCAAGAGGATCACCTGAGCCCAGGAGGCGGAGGTTGCAGTGAGCCAAGATCGCACCACTGCACTCCATCCTGGCAGACGAGCAAAAACTCTGTCTCAAACAACAACAACAACAAAATAGGGTACTGAGAGCTTATAATGTTGAAGTTCTTAAAAAGAAATACAACATGAGCTTGTTGGTACTTGGCGAAAGTGAAAACAGGCAAAGAAATTAGCAGATAGAGCTAAAAAAACTGGAAACGTAATATTTCCTCGTCATCATCAGATTTTCCAATTGCAGTTTCAGCTATTCAGTATTCAGTAATACTTTACAGGTTATTGTACAGTGCTATCTGGGATGCACAAACATCTCAGCATACATCCCTCTTATCCTAAGAGTTAACTGTATAAACTTAAAGCACTTAGATTTCCTTATTTTACTATAATCTGTAACAGTTCATCTAGGAACACCACACTCTCATATGCCTTCTGTTATTTACACATTATTCTTTATGATACTGATTATATGACTACTGCTGAAAAGCAGAAATTCATTGGCTTAAGAAATCTACTGCCCTATGTAGAGAATTCCCACGCCAAGAAAAATGTCTACTTTCCTGCTTTTCACCCTATATGATATAGGTTTGGAAACCTTTGAGGAAATTCATCTGGTTATAAAATATAAATCTTTAGAATAAAGTAGCATCACAATTTTTATTAAAAGGTAAAAGGCAGGAAGCAAGCAATGTCAATGAAATTGTTCCCTGAAAGCTACAAGGAGAAAAATTCAATTCTGAAAATACATGGGTTTAGCCTCTAGATAAGAGTTTTACCTTATCAAGTCGAAATGCACATTTTAGTTTTTAGAATTAGTTAAGAATTACTCAATACTTAGCAGCCATTTACTATGTAAAATCAGAAAAACAAGTCTTTTATTGACTAACTTCACTAGTGGCCAATGAAGTTTTTTAATAACAAAAACGTAATATATGGTAGAAAGTATTGACTTTATTAACCTCACTTACGATACTGAATACAAAGTAAAATTAGGTGGTGACCCTTAATTTTCAGTCTATTTCAAAGCATGGTCCCTCAGATTTAAGAATTAAGGCATACATATGTCAAAAAAGGAAGGCGAATCAAACAACCAAATCCAAAAAGACCCCAGTGATTTATGTATTATGAAGTTTGAGCTACAGCCCTTATGATATTCCTTTTAGTACTTTCTTCTACGTTTTCATTAATTCCTTCAGTAACTGGATTTTTAACCAAACCCTATAATCCATCATAATTCTTCCAATTATGAGTTGAAAAGAAACATAGGCAGATATGTATACCAAGTACCTTACGAAATTCACCACATACATGGTGAACTTCACATATAAACTTTGAAAATCAAAAGGACTATGATATTCTTGAAATCCAAAGGCTAGATAAGATCTACCTTCCAATCATTTCTGCATTTTAAGATATGGTTTCATCTAGTGATGTTAATAAAGAAACACATTACATATTTAAACACCAGTAAGATATGACATTCAACAGAACAGCCAATAAGATTTTGCATTTTAAAACCAAAAAGAATATATCTTGAACACCTTAAATTATAAAATTCAGTTGTAAGCAGGAACTGTTACTATGTAACGAATACTGTTCATATCAAAAGTGCTGGTGACAAAGAATTCAGTATGCCTTCCTACAAAATCTGTTCACATACATGTATCTATCTCTATCACCTGTAATAAGATTTTAAATGTTTTAAGGTGCTTAAAGTTTGCACTACAGGACTAATTCAATGAGATTCATCTGCTACCTCTTCATAGCAACTTCAATTGGAATGATCCACACACAAAACTGTTGTTACTTTCTAAAATGTGGCATTTGTGGTGGTGGAGTGCCCTCTATTGGTAAGGAAGAGGACACACTCATTAGCTGTCCTGCATGCATTTTCTCGTTGATTCGGAGTTCACACCCATCCTGAAGCATTCGAACTGCTATTCGGGCGATATTCTTAGAGTCATCAAGACCACAGTGAGGCCGCCCATCATAATCCATTCCTAATTTTTCAAGCATTATTGTCAGTTTGGTTTGGCTTCTAGGAACCTGAAAAATAAACAGCTTAGTAAATAATTCTTTGGTGTTCTAAACTGTAATATAAGCCACAGTTAAGATGAAAAATAAGAAACTGAAAATTAGCACTAACAGCTAAATAAAGCTAGGCAAAGGGCAATACCCCCACTCAAATAAGGCAAATAAAAAATTCAGGCCAGGCAAGGTGGCTCACGCCTGTAATCTCAGCACTTTGGGAGGCCAAGGTGGGCAGATCACTTGAGGTCAGGAGTATGAGACCAGCCTGGCGAACATGGTGACACCCCATCTCTTCTTAAAATACAAAAAAATTAGCCAGGCGTGGTGGTGCACATCTGTAATGCCAGCTACCTGGGAGGCTGAGGCAGGAGAACTGCCTGAACCTGGGAGGTGGAGGCTGCAGCGAGCTGAGATCATGCCAATGCACTCCAGCCTGAACAACAGAGCGAGACTCCATCAAAAAAACCCTGAAATTTTCAGAGCTTTAAAATATGATCTTAAGAGTTTCAGCTGAAAATACAGACAGGATCCTCAGACATCTAAAAACTCTGCAGTTTTTTAATTTAAAAATAATTTATTAAAGGGAATGTATTGTTCAGGACATGTAAGTTGAAGATCTACCTTTTTATTTTTAAACCAAGTTAGTTATTTTACATGGTATTTTTCTATAGTGTATTACTTTACTTGACTGATTTCTTAGATAAAAAGACTAGCCTTTTTGGATGGCTAAAGATAATGAAGATTAAGAATGAAAGACGATGTGGTGTGGTATTTTTCAGGTTATTTAAAAACCTGTTCCTTGATAAGTTAAAAAAAAAAAAAAAAAAAAAAAACTCTCACACTCCCCAAATTCCAATATGTGCCTCCACTTTTAAGAATTATTGGCTGGGTGTGGTAGCTCACGCCTGTAATCCCAGCACTTTGGGAGGCCAAGGCAGGTGGATCACCTGAGGTCAGGAGTTCAAGACCAGCCTGGCCAACATGGTGAAACCCCATCTCTACTAAAAATATAAAAATTATCTGGCTATGGTGGCGTGCGCCTGTAATCCCAGCTACTCGGGAGGCTGAGGCAGAAGAATCCCTTGAACCCGGGAGGCAGAGGTTACAGTGAGCCAAGATCACTCCACTGCACTCCAGCCTGGGCGTCAGAGTGAGGTTCCATCTCAAAAAAAGAAAAAAAAAATTGTTATATTTTCTTCATATTTCTATCAAGATTTGTTAAGTTTTACATTCTGTAGTTTGTACAACTATTTTGCCTATGCATCTTGGACCTCAGCTTCTTCATCCGTAAAATGGGACTAACAGCTCTAATATTTACTCATAGGGTTACTGGGATAATCACAAAGCAAATGATGTAAAACACCTATAATTATCTTAAGCTGTAATACTGCAATATACCCTGTACCTTCCACTAATTATCACTTGGAAAACGCACTTCTAAAAATAGTTTGCCCAACACACTGGATAACTTAGGTAGAAGAGACAAATTCCTGGAAATACACAACTTAACAATAATTGAATTACAAAGAAACAGAAAATCGGAATAGACCTATACCTAGGAAGGAGACTGAATCAGTAACTGAAAACCTCTAACAAAGAAAAGCGCTGAACCAGATAGCTTTGCTGCTGAATTCAAGCAAATATTTAAAGAATTAGAACCAAGTCTCCTCAAACTACTACAAAAAAATTGAAGAAGAAATACTTCCCAACTCATTCCATTAAGGTCAGCATCACTTTGATACAAAAGCCTGACAAAGACCTCATGAGGAAAGAAAATTACAGATCAATATCCCCTACAATTATCATGTTGCAATAATCCTTGACAAAATATAAGCAAATTTAAATCAGCAGCATATTAAAACAATTATGTGCCATGACCAAGTAGGATTTTATCCTGAAATGCAAGGATGGCTCAACATTTAAAAAATAATGTTAACACAAGCATTAACAGAAGGAAGGAGTGCAGTAATTGAAAGAGAGTGGTATTAGTATAGACATACAAACTAATAAAACCGAAGAGAGTCTAGAAATAAACTTTCACAAATACATTGAATCAATGGGGAAAAAACAACAGCCTTTTCAACAAACGGTGTTGGGAAAACTGAATATCCACGTGCAAAAGAATGAAGTTGGACCCTTACCTTACACCATATAACAAAATTAACTTAAAATTGATCAAAGACCTAAATGTAAGACATTCAATTATAAAATTCTTAGAATAAAACATATGGAAAAGGCTTTATGACAATGGATTGGACAATGATTTCTTGGATGTCACCAAAACACAGGCAACAAAAGAAAAAATAAAGTAGACTTCATCAACATTAAAAACCTTATTACTAAAGACGTTATCAGTAGAGTGAAATGGCAACCCATGGAACAGAAGATACATTTGCAAGTATATATCTGATAATGAATTAATATCCAGAATAAAGAACTCCTACAACTCAAAACATCATGATACCTCATTTAGTAAATGAGGAAAGAATCTGAATAGACATTTCTCCAAACATGATATGCCAATGGCTAAAAATCACATGAAAAGATGCTCAACATCACTAATCATTAGGGAAATACAAATCAAAACCACAATGAGATACCACTTCACACCCATTAGAATGGCCATAAACACACACACACACACACACACACACACATACACACACACACCAGAAAATAACAAGCATTGACAGAGATGTGGAGAATGTAGTACTTTGTGCATTGCTGGCAGGAATGTAAAATGGTACAGCCACTGTGGGAAACAATGTGGAGATTCCTCAAAAAAATTAAACATAGAATTAGCACATGCTCCACCAACTCCTATTCTGGTTATACAGGAAGAAGAATGGTATCTGTACATCCATGTTCATAACAGCACTATTCATGATTGCCAAAACATGGAAGTAACTTAAATGTCCATCAAACAATCAATGGATTTTTTTTTTTTTAACGTGGTACAGGTTAAATATTCCTTATCTGAAATGCTTGGGACAGAAGTGCTTTGGATTTGAAATTTTTTGGATTTTGAAATATTCAACATTTACATTACACCACTTTTGCATCACTCATCCGAAAATCCAAAATTCCAAAACCTGAAATGCTCCAATGAGAATTTCTTTTGAGTACAATGTCAGTGCCCAGAAAGTTTCAGATTTTTGGAGCATTTCAGATATTGAATTTTTGGATTAGGTATACTCAGCCCGTAAATACATACAATGAATTCTTATTCTGCCTCAGAAAGGTAGAATTCTGACACATGATACAACATGGATGAACTTTAAAGACATTATGCTCAGTGAAATATGCCAGTCACAAAAGATCAAATACTGTACGCCTCCACTTATAAGAGGTATATAGATAAGTCAAACTGATAGAGACAGAAGAATGATGATTGCCAGGGTTTGGCAGGAAGGGGAAGTTCAACAGGCACAGAGTTTCACTTTTGGAATATGAGAGTTCTGGAGAATGATGTGGTGATGGTTGTGCAATAATGTGAATGTACTTAATGCCACTGAACTGTTGTGCACTTAAAAATGATTGAGAGCATTTTTAAGTGAACAACAAGTGTTATACAGGGTGGGCATTCCTAATCCCAAAAACCCAAAATCTGAAATGCTCTAAAATCCGAAACTTTTTGAGGGCCAACATAACGTCACAAGTGGAAGATTACACACCTCATGTGATGGTTCGCAGTCAAAACACAGGTACATGACACATGCTTAATTTATGTGTAACTAAGAAAGCTATTGCTTATTGGTAGCATCAGGAAAGATGATGCCAAACAACCAGACTGTCCATATCAGTGGCTGAGACAGTGACAGTTCTGCTTTCTAATGGCTCAATGTACATACACTGTTTCATCCACAAAACTGTATGAAACTTAACTTCAGGCTCTGTGTATGAGGTATATATGAAACAAAAATGAATTTCATATTTAGAGTTGGGTCCTATCTCTAAGGTATCTCATTATGTATATGCAAATATTCCAAAATCTGAAAAAAACCCCAAATCTCAAACATTTCTTCTGGTCCCAATCATTTCCAATTAGGGATACTCAACCTGTATTATGTACATTTTAACCACACACACACACACACACACACAAAAAAAAAAGATTAAAATGAAAAGTCCTAGAGAGTGCCCAAAAAAGAGTTATTAACTTTATTAAACAAAGGCCCAGTCACTTCATCGTGTTTTTAAAAATGATGTGAAATCTAGACAAAGAACAAACCAACCTCTTGCTTCCTCTGGCTTAGCAAGGAAAAGTTCTCAATCAAGTGGCTGAGTTGAAAGGTGAACAAGAGGAAAACAAAAAGGCCAGATTTTGCTGAGCAGTTGGAAGAAGCGCTGCAAAACGCAGCCTCCTTACAGACATTTTTCATCACATGAATCAGCTGAACAAGTCCCTATAAGAAGCTGGAGAAAATGTTTGACTTCAAGTGACAAGATTCTTGCATTTCAAAGGTAACGGAGTATGTCTTTGGAAATAATCATGTTACAACAGAAAACCTTAAAATGTCCACCTTTTGCTTGGGCTTGATATCAAGTGAGGAAAGCTATTGGAAAGTCTCAAGTCTGAGTGCCACATGGAAAAACTGTAGGAGATAATTAAATATTTTTCCTCCCTTTCAACACCAGCATATGATTAGGTAAGGGATCCTTTCTCTGAATCTCTGCTCAGCCTGAGAATCTGACTTCAAGAAAAGAGCTTTATAGGTACAATCTGACTGTACACCAGAGACAGACTTAACGCTCTACCCCCAGAAAAGTTGTGGATTTCTGCAAAGTATCCTGTCATTCATTTGAAAGCAGTAACACTTCACTGCACTTTCAACTTTCTACATGTGTAAGCAAGCTTTTTTTTTTAACATGCATGAAGAGCAAAGGCAGAAATTGTCTAATTTCCTGAGAAAAAGAATCCATGTGAGCTTATCTTAAATTCAATCTAAAATTGAGTATTTGTAAAGGGAGGACAAAAAAAAAGAAAACACATTTTACAGTCAAGAGGTGTATTTCATCCTTTCCTTTTACTTCAACAACAGCATTGTAATGCATATACATAGGCCTATAAAAACATAAAGAGGCTGGGCCTGGTGGCTCATGCCTGTAATCCTAGCACTTTAGGAGGCCGAGGGGGGGCAGATCATTTGAGGTCAGGAGTTCAAAACCAGCCTGGCCAACATAGTGAAAGCCAGTCTCTACTAAAAATACAATAAAATTAGTCCAGGCATGGTGGGAGGCACCTGTAATCTCAGCTACTTGAGACGCTGAGGCAGGAGAATTGATTGAACCCAGGAGGCGCAGGTTGCAGTGAACTGAGACCCCACCACTGCACTCCAGGCTGGATGACAGAGTGAGATTCCGTCTTGAAAGAAAAGAAAAGAAAAGAAAAGAAAAGAGAAAAAAGAAGAGAAAAGCAAAAAGAAACAGCTGTATAATTTTGTAAATGCTAACTCCACATTTGCGCTTGATATGCCACGCACAAAGAAAGTTTGGGATTTCCCCCAAAATCTTATACAAAAATCTGTCTTAAACTGTATTTTTATTTATATTGTTTCAGCCTACTTTTAGAAAAACCAAGTCCCATCCTAAGCGAATTATTTCACAGAAATGTATTACAGTTATTTGCCTTTTAAATTAAGCTCCAAGTTTAATTACCCATTTCCACCCTTTGCCCCCAAGAAAGACTGGATAGAAGGTCATTTTTGGCCAGGCGCAATGGCTCATGCCTATAATTCCAGCACTTTGGACGGCCAAGGTGTGCGGATCACAAGGTTGGGACTTCAAGACCAGCCTGGCTAATATGGTGAAACCCCGTCTCTACTAAAAAATACAAAAAAATCAGCCAGACGTGGTGGCACATGCCTGTAATCCCAGCTACTCGGGAGGCTGAGGCAGGAGAACTGCTTGAACCCGGGAGGCAGAGGCTGCAGTGAGCTGAGATCATGCCACTGCACTCCAGCTTGGGAGACAGAGTGAGACTCCGCCTCAAAAAAAAAAAAAAAAAAAAAAAGTCATTTTTACTTAAAAAAAAAATGTTTTTAGACATACCATATAATATACCTTATTAGCATTATATACAGCAGAAACTTGTGACAGAGAGTTTTATTTAGGTCTTAGATAAGGTACAAAAAAAGAAGGAAAACATAAGTTTCTTCTACTTATACAACTAATTGCATTATAGTTATCTATTACGAAGAGGGGAAAACCACACACAAAAAGAGCAGGCTAACAAACTGGCCAAAATAAACAGGTGCACAAAGAGAAACCACTGTTTACTCAAAAAAGGAGGGAGCATTTTATTGCCTTATAATATCTACAACTTTCCGATTACACTAATATACTGTGAGCTGTAGATTTATGCATAACTGACTGAAAATTATTTTAAGGTTTATTAATTTTTAATAATAAAAATTATTCCATCTGGGAGTTGTAGCAAAAAAAGAACCTAAAGGGGATCGAGCTTCTCAACTGGAGTATAAACTGACATGAAATACAAAAGACAGAGACACCTCTGAAACCACATTCCAGGATATGATTACAAAATCCAGATAAGGGGAAACACAACAGGACAAATGACTCAGTTTCTTAAAAGAATAAAGTAAAATAAACTGCTAGGGAAGAAAAAGAAGAGATTAAAAAAAACTAAAGAGATGTATTAACATACCAAACATATCAAAGACTAAAAAACTTAAGAGACATATTAACCAACTACAAATCTGTGAACCTTATCCTGATCTGACTCAACACACAAAAGGTAAAAGAAAATATTTATGACTATTTGATGAAGGAATTACTGCTAATTTTTTAAGATGTCACAATGGTATGGTAGCTGTGTTTCTAAGAAAATGACCCTTAGCTTTTGGAGCTACGTAATGAAATTTTTACAGATCAGATAACATAATGTCTGACTTCTGCCTCAAAATAATAAGGAAGAGGAAAGTGGGTGGGGATACACATGAAACATGACTGGCCATGAGTTTCTAATTGTTGAACCTGGGTCATGAGGACTCATACCTATTTCTGTTATGTTTGAAATTTTCCATAACACAATTTTTAAAAAAATTCACAAAATGAGTTCAAAAACACAAAAAAAGATCCACAAAAGGCCAGGTGCAGTGGCTCACGCCTATAATCCCAGCACTTTGGGAGGCCGAGGCGGGCAGATCATTTGAGTCCAGGAGTTCGAGACCAGCCTCACCAACATGGCGAAACCCCGTCTCTACTGAAAATACAAAAATTAGCCAGTTGTGGTTGTGGGCGCCCGTAGTCCCAGCTACTCGGGATGCTGAGACAGGAGAACTGCTTGAACCCAAGAGACAGGGTTGCAGTGAGCCAAGATCGCACTACCGCACTCCAACCTGGGCAACAGAATGAGACTTCATCTCAAAGACAAATAAACCAAAAAACAAAATAAATTCACACAAAAAGATTATCAAATATAATCAAAGGACTAGCACCCAAAGTAAAAATCTATAGACCAGTAAAATACACAGGTAATGAAAAAACAGACTACCCAATTTTTTTTAAAACAGTCAGAAATTTAAATAAGGGGTTCGCAAAAAAGCAATCCAGATAGCTGATACCTCAATGAGATGGTATCACACACCCGTCAGATTTACAAAACATTTAAAATGTATGACAATATCAGATGCTAGCAAAAACTTACAGTAACTATAAACTCACATAGCACTGATAAGAGTGCAAACTGGTACAATTCCATTGGAAAACTATTTTTGTATTATCTAGTAATGTCAATGATGTACATATCCCATGACCCAGCAACTGCACTCTTAGGTTTTTCTTAGAAAAACGAGTGCACAGACACCAGGGGACATGCACAACAATGCTTATAAAAGTACTCTTCATGGAAGCCCCAAATAAAAACAATCCAAATGGCCAGCCAAAGTAGAACAGATAAACAAATCTGGTATAGTCACACAATGGAATTAATAGCAATAAAGTGAATGAACTGCAGTGACATACAAGACGTGGATGGATCTCAAGCATAATATTGAAAAAAAAAAAAAAACAAAAAAAACAAATAATATAGCCAGTATAATACTAATTATATCGTGCTCAAAGCCAGACAAAACTATATAATATAAGGATATACATTTAAATACTAAAGCTATAAGGAATAATAAGAAAATGATTACCATGAAAGGAAGAATTAGGGTTAACTCCAGGAGGAAGGAAGGGAGTTAAGTGGGTGGAAGTTACAAGGGTATTTGCTTTATAGCAATCGGCAAAACTCTACTTTTCTGCATGCATACTTCTCAGTTTTAAAAGACTGTTAAAACAGAAGAGTCTGTAAGGAAAAGCACCTTTTCTCATGAAACTACTTTAGAACATGCTTCTCCAAAATGAAACTGTAAAGGGAGAAAAATGACATAGTATCTAATGCATGAGAATTAAAGGAAATCCCCTAAGATGATTTTAAAAGAAGCCTGAAGAACTAACAGTTCAGATTAGAACAGGATTAAAGGCTCCAGGAAGATAGTCTGCAAGGGAAAAACAGATGAAAAAAGAAAACCTGACAGACTACCTGAGTGTTCTCAGTCATAAGAAGTGACTTACAGTTTGAATGGAGAGTAAGGGGATAAGTAAACAACCGCGGAAGTAAATTATTACATCCAGGGGAAAGTTGTGGACACTCTCCATAGTCACGGGAGTATGAACACTGAGTGCTCTGACTGAAAGGTAATAGAGCTATAGTAGGAAGATGCAGGAAGGGAAGGACAAGCAGGAGTGGTAACTTAATTGAACTCAATCTTGATCTTTCAGGGCAGGAATTCAATAGATCGCAAACTGAAAAGTCAAGAAGTAGTATAAGCATGAAACTTAGAAATACAAAGGTAAATATTTGAAAAAAAACAAAAACAAAAACAAAAACAGAGCTTTACATAAGTTGAAAGTGTTTGCCTCAGAACAGGAACCAGTTCTGGTGAAGGCTATGGCAGAAGACTGCCATTCATTGTAAGTCTTGCAATAATATTTTAAACATTTACACGGCACACGCATATTAACTTTGATAAATGTGAAGTAAAATTAAAATCTAGTGGGGAGCATTTGCTCCATGAACAATCCACATACTGACTGCCCCTACAGTTTCAAACTTGTCAGGTATATATAGTTAACCTACTTAAATAAAGTTAACAGGTTGAATGAGAAAAAGGCTTATCTAATTTGAACATAAGGAATTTGGAATCTGAAGAGTAAGAACTAATTATATGGCTTTTTTCCATGAAAAACACCTGGAAAATTACAATCTAACGTACATGCAAATTTTAACAAATTTATCATTAAGAACCACGTAATTATTAAATATAGAAATTTTACCTTGTAAAAATTTCCATATGACTTCCGAATATTGATCCACTTTTTCGCAAAAGGAGGGTATTTGAGCCTGCTGAGTTGACACTGAATGTTCAAGAACTTACTCATATCCCAAGAACTATAAATTAAAAAAGGACAAAAAATTGATGAAATAAACGCTATGCTATTCTTACAAATGAGTATTTTAAATCATTTATTTATATATGTCAACTTTCTCATATTCAAATGTAACATCAAGCTGAGAAAATTAACCTTGCTTCCTACAAAATACTAATTCAAAATTAAGCTTTAAAAACCAAACAAAGAAGTCGGATATATTAACTTTTGTTCACAAACTAATTCCTATTAGGCTCATCTTGATTGTTTTCATGGTTCTGGGCAGGCTTCTATCTTGCTGAGTATTATGCTAAGCTTACTTTTACTGCCAGACTTAGCATGGTAAGTTGACAGCATGCTTTGAAATAAAACCAAAAACAAAAAAATGAAAGAAACAAAAGCAGCTGGTATCAAATGGTTAAAATACAATCTGTTCTGCTACAACATTTTTCTATAACACTAACCAATTTATTGTAGTTAAGGACAATACTGATTGTGTAATATGGAAATTGTGTTGGTTCCTACGTGGTTTTTCTTAGGCAAGGAGAGTCAGAATAATAGCAGTGGAAATTATAAACTTCAGCAGGAAATAAGAAAAGCCCTCAACTCAGCTGCTATACTGGGAACAGGATATAATCCTTTGTATTTTCTTATAATACTGTCAACTATATTATAAGAAAATTAAAAATAAGTGTATGTCCCCAGGACACTAGTGCTTCTGTACAATTTTCATATACTTTGACGCAACCTCACCTTCCCTGAGCTGCTTGCCTGGGCTGCCAAATTATTAATGGAGACTCTAATGATTGGTTTTTGTTAGTGCTCTTGTTACAAAATTGCATAGGTTTTGAGTGATCTGTCCCACAAAATGAGACTTTACCAGAACTGCGTATACTATACTACAGCAGAAACACCTGTATACTTTAGCAGAGCACTGCTCATTCATGTTTAAAATCAGTAATGGATTTCTAAAGAGGTCCATAAACATTTTTCCAAACTTAACAGTTATGATGTGATTAAATTCAATGCTTTTCTCCTATCACATGTGAGGATCTCCAAACCCTCTATGTTGGTGACATCTCAGGTATAGAGGATAACCTGCACAGTTTGAAACAGAAGTTGTTTAGGACGTTCTTTTCAACCTTAATGGCCTTAAGGTATCGGAGTTGCCCTGGCACAACGTCTGTCATCTATGTTTTAATCTTTCTGATCTTCCCATTTAGCTTTTCATTTAACAAATGCTTTTTGGGCATACACTTTAAGCTCAGCACTAAGGTAAGCATTATGGAAGATTATTAGGCAGCAAAAGTCCTTCTCTGAAAGAATTTTAGATTTCCTTGCAAAAGTAAGTCTTATGTATGTACACAAAGATTATATATCAGAATATATGGTCAGATGTCAACATGAATGGTATATACCATAGAAATTATAAGGTTTCAAGGAAAAAAAAGATCAATGGCGTTGTCAGGGTAAAACACAAGATGGGCTTTGAAAAATGATAAAGTTGTCGAGAAGACACTCTCAGTACAGAGGGAGGCATAAGTAACTACACAGAGAAAGGGTAAACCATGTGAATTCCTGGGCCAGTCTGACTAAAGAGGATTAATGGCAGGTGAATTAGATTAAACAGGTAGCGTGGGATGAGAGGAAAGAGGCTTCAAGGCCAAGCTCAAGAGTCTGAACTTTTTTGAGTAAGGAAGTGTCATGAAAAAACAGAGTTTTAGCAAAGTCTTTTTAGCTTTACATATTTTTAACTTTCTGTAGTGTTCTAGTCCTGTATTGGACTGTGACCACTGTTTTCTTCCTCTCTTTCATCCTTAGGTGAAAGGAAAAATACTATTCCCTGTGGGGTGAGACTCTAGGGTCTCTAATAATAGTTTGTGGTTATTCTAAAAATCAGATAAATAAGGGTATCTTTAATCTTTAAAAAGTAGATATAAAAAAATAATCTTCCTAAATACTTACCCATCTGTTAAAAGTGAGTATTTATACTTTGTTCCTAATTCCTTCAATTTCATCCAGTCAATTACTTTTTTTAGTACCTGAGGGAAGGTATCAGCTCTGTCTACCTGATCCTGAGGATATAAAAGTAAAATATACAAAAATCAGGGCTGCAGCTTCACGTAGACCTACAAAATACCCAGACCTAAGTTGGAGGGGAAGAAACAGTATGAGAAAGGCTGATACTTTAAATTCATGGTTTCCTTGGCTTAGCTCCACCTAAAGTTTCATTTTTAAGAAATTCTAAAAATTTCATAACCAAGTACTGGGACTACTTTCAACTGAAAAGTATAATCCTCCCAAAATTAAGATTTAAGATCATCCCCAGTGGTTCTCTTTTTATAGGCCTGAACCTAGCGGCTTACTGGATTTCTAGAGGAGGGAAAAGAGAAATCTCTTCTAAGCTGAAAGCCACAGCTCCCTAAGTGTCTTCCCATCTCAGGTCTCACAATTTTCCACGCATACTACATACTGCTGCCAGACTGATCTTCCTAAAACGTAAATCGGGTCCGCCCTATCACTCTCATACTTAAATCCTCCAACCACTCTCCAAGGCTTTCAGGACAAATAGATGCACAAGACCCTTCAGGATCTGGATTGCCTCTGCCTATCTGGACCATTTTCTTAACAGTCCATACACATCTGAACCATCCTGAACTACCTGTAGGTCTGCCAGTTCCCACCTGAAATGCCCAGCCATTCTTTTCTGCCTACCTATCTTTCATGACTCAGCCCAAGTTCATCAACTTGAGGATGTTTTTCCCCAGGACAGTCTTCTATTCCCTCTGTCATATATGGAAGCCCTTTTCATAGATGTCCACAACACCGCAATAAAACACTGACTTATTAGGCCTACTGTGACCACTGCACAGACATACGTCTATATACACATAAAGATATATACAAATGCTGGCATATATTATAGTAGGCACTCAAATACACGTGGAGTGAATGAATGAACTAACTAAATGAAAAAAGTGCCTACCACATTAGAATACAATAAAAAATCAGAGACCTAAAAATTCATGAAACAGGCTAGGTGTGGTGGCTCATGCCCGTAATCCCAACACTTTTTGGGACCGAGGAGGGCTTGACGTCAGGAGTTCTTCAAGACCACCTTGGCCAACACAGTGAAACCCGTCTCTACTAAAAATAAAAAAAAAATTAGCCAATCATCGTGGTGTGTGCCTATAGTCTCAGCTACTTGGGAGGCTGAGGCAGGAGAATCGCTTGAACCTGGGAGGCAGAGGTTGCAGTGAGCCAAGATCGTGCCACTGCACTCCAGCCTGGGCAACAGAGTGAGACTCCATCTCAAAAAAATAAAAATAAAAAATAAATGCAAAATATAAAGTCAGGTTGTAAACAGATACATTCTAAAACTTATCTCTGGCTGGGCATGGTGGCTCACGTCTGTAATCCCAGCACTTTGGCAGGCCGAGGCGGGACACTTGAGGTTAGGTGTTCGAGACCAGCCTGGCCAATATGGCGAAACCAGGTCTCTACTAAAAATAAAAAAATTAGCCGGGTGTGGTGGCAACGCGCCTGTAGTCCCAGTTACTCAGGAGGTTGAGGCAGGAGAATCGCTTGAGCCCAGGAGGCAGAGGCTGCAGTGAGCCGAGGTCACGCCACTGTACTCAAGCCTGGGTGACAGAGTGAGACTGTCTCAAAAAAATAAATAAATCAAACATCTCCAAGTTCAGTATGGAAACAATTTGCTGATGCATTTTACAGACGAAATCTTTCGATTCACCACTACAACTCCTTAAGAGGAAAGGCTGAGGAAAATGTTACCAGATATAAAATTTGCTGTTTTTTTTTTTTTAATTATTACAACATGAAAGATCTTTACCAAGCAAGGTATTAAATTGTTCACAACAGTAATAATTTTTTTAAATTATGTATAAAATAAATCCCTAATTTCAAGAACTCTTTCAAACTCTAGAAAGAAGAACTTAGAATTATAACCTGAGTAATTCCAGTTAGACTGATGCAGAAATCAGACAGCTGTGTGTTAATCTCTGGTCTTACATACTGCTGAAACGTGTCTTCCTGCAAGGGAAGGATAGCAAGTTAAAGTAATTTATATGAGTTAAGATACACGATACATGATACACGACGAATTCATCACAGCAGGTTGCAATTTCATAGGATCTCACGGCATAAACCCTTCCAGTTTTTAAGAATAATTCCCCACATCGAAAGCACTCTTAATTTTTAAATTAAAAAATGAATTGATTCATAATTTAAAATATTTTACGATAAAGTGAGTGTGTGAAAGATTTCAACCCAAAATTTAATTATTTTCCTGAGGAACAAAATATTAATAATTTTGTTCATAATATTTTAAAACTATAAAGCGCATTAATGCATCCTCTACTTCAAGATACTAAGTTTTAAAAATAATAAATTCTTTTGAAGAAATGCCAGCCTGCAGTTATAATAAATTAGCTTTAAACTATTTTTCTCTCATTTACTCCTGAATAGTCTTTATTTTCATATAAAAATCCAATTGAACTAAATTCTAAATAGTCAAAATTTAACTGTATGATATATAGGTAGTTTAAGAGTTGCTAACACTGTGTATCTACAGTAATGTTGAATCTTTTCAAGAAGCTTTCACGATGGTCTCTTTTTTTTTTTTTTTTTTTGGAGACAGAGTCTCGCTCTGTCTCCCAGGCTGGAGTGCACTGCCACAATCTCGGCTCACTGCAAGCTCCGCCTCCCAGGTTCACGCCATTCTCCTGCCTCAGCCTCCCAACTAGCTGGGACTACAGACGCCTGCCACCACGCCTGGCTGATCTTTTGTATTTTTAGTAGAGACTGGGTTTCACCATGTTAGCCAGGATGGTCTCGATCTCCTGACACGATGGTCTTATTTTATGCTCACAACTCTGTAAACTAAGTGAGGCCAGTATTGTTATCAGGCTCCGATCTCTAAGTGCTTTTTCCTCTAGCCAGTAATGCCTCCCTAACCAGAACACACTGAGTCAATTTTGAGATTAAGGACAATTTTAAACCCTAAAGATTTAAAGGCAGCAACTGTTAATCCTAGGTAGTAGATATAGAGAAAATGACAAAAAATATTCTTCATGGCAGAAGATTTAAAAATTAAGAAAAGTTTGTATTTCCTAAGAATAAATTCTTTCTACCTACTAATCTATTAAGTGGATGAGCTATAAATGGTTGTAAAGAATTGTAAATGAGCAACAGTAAAGAACAAAAAAGAACACCTGAGGCCAGATGTGGTGACTAATGCCTGTAATCCCAGCACTCTGGGAGGCCAAGGGGGGTGGATTACTTGAGGTCAGGAGTTCAAGACCAGCCTGGCCGAAGTGGTGAAACCTGTCTCTACTAAAAATACAAAAATTAGCTGGGCGAGGTGGCATGCACGTATAGTTCCAACTACTCAAGGAGCTGAGGTGGGATAATCGCTTGAACCCAGGAGGCAGAGGTTGCAGTGAGCCGAGATTGAGCCACTGCTCTCCAGCCTGGGTGACAAAGCAAGACTCCATCTCAAAAAAAACAAAACAAAACAAAACAAAAGAATAATTGAACTTCAAAAGTTAGACACTCTTACCGGATACACTGCAACATTCCACTTAACTGCATATCACAGATAAATTAAGTCTATATCCTTTTAAGTATCACTATTTTATCATTCTAAATGACATTCTTTCAAAAATATATTGCAACTTCCCTTATAATTATAATTCGGTAGTACTAAATAACAGATATTACTAAAATGTTATTCGCTACTAAATACTTTTAACAGAAGAATGCTAGAGAGAACTATACATTCATTGGCCAAATCTTTAATCATCACTTAAATAAATTAGGTAAGTTAAAAGGTAGTAAGGGTTATTAAAACTAAAGGAACCTGGGTGCCTGTAATCCCAGCTACTCAGGAAGATAAAGTAGGAGACTCCCTTGAGCAAGCAAAGGAAAGTAGAGCAGTAAGGGGGGTCAGAAACATGGGCACAGGCCACACTCTTAAATAGGATAATCAAGTAGGCTTTATTTAGAGGTAAGATTTAAGGAAGGACTGGAAGGAAAAACGGGAGGGAGGGAGAGAAGGAGAAAAACATCAGCCAGCAAGACTTCTGGCTAAGAAAACTGGAGCTAAAGTCCTGGCAAGTAATGGGATAAAGCATGCCTGGCATTTTTGAGAATGAGCAAGCAGGTCAGTATGCCTGGAGTGGAATGAGTTAAGGAAAAGAGTAGTAAGACAGGAAACAATCAGAGGAAACAATAGGCCAGGTCATGTAAGGAATATTGGTTGTACTCTGAGTTAAATGAGGAGCCATTGCAGGGTTTTGAGCAGAGGGGTGAAATGACTTGTATTTTAAAAGGATTACTCTGGCCAGTTTTTTGAGAACTGGTTGTAGGCGGACACAGACAGAAACACAAAGACCAGTTAGGTGGCGAATGCAGTAAGTCACATAAATGATAGAGGATCAGAATGAAGTCACAGCAGTTCAGTTAAGTGACTGGGTTCTGGATATATTTTGAAGGCAGAGCCAAACAGGAATCATTGATGACCTGGATGTGAGAGAAACAAGAGTCAAAGATGACTCCAAAGTTTTTGAACTGAGCAATTAGAAGGATTCTAATTAGAAAAAGCTGCCATCCCCCAGGCTACAGGAGGCTAAAGATAGAATGGGCTGGGGTAAGTTCAAAAGGTTGAGACACTTAAGCAGAGATTTCAAATAAGCAATCTGGATTTGGAACGGGTTGGAAATATGTATTTGAAAGTCACCAGCAAAGAGACAGCTTCTGAAAGCTATGGAACTAGATAAGATCATCAAGCGAAAGGATGTAAGCAGAGAAGAGGATGTAAGCAGAGAACGGGGGCTAGGATTGAGACCTGGGTCATCTGATACGGGGAAGCTGGGAAGGAAAGGAGGAACCAGCAAAGAAAACTGCAAGTGGGGAATCCAGTAGGGCTGGAGAAAAATCAAGCAGAACAAGTTATACCTGAAGAAAATGCTCCAAGGAAAGAGTATTCAAGCCAGCAGTGCAGTGTTAATTTTTTTTTTTTTTTTTTTTAAGTGAGAATGGCCGGGCATGGTGGCTCACGCCTGTAATCCTAGCACTTGGGGAACCTGAGGCAGGTGGATTGCCTGAGCTCAGGAGTTTGAAACCAGCCTGCGCAACATGATGAAACCCTGTCTCTACTAAAATACAAAAAATTAGCCGGGCGTGGTGACACACACCTGTATTCCCAGCTACTCAGGAGGCTGAGGCAGGAGAGCTGCTCGAACCCAGGAGGTGGAGGTTGCAGTCAGCTGGGTTTGCACCACTGCACTCAAGTCTGGGTACAAGACTCTATCTTAAAAAAGAAAAAAAAAAGTGAGAATGGTCAATTTTGCCAGGAGTTAGGGTAAAGGTCAAAGATGATGTTGATGAGTGATTTTAGTGGAATGATGGGATTGAATACACAGCTTAAACTTTATTGAAGGTTATGGTATAAATTTGAGAGAATGGAAGAAAAGGAAAGAGATAAACATATAAGTACCTATAACTTAAGTGAAGAATTTTCCCAAAAAGAGGAACAAAGAAATGCAGTAGCTGGCAGTGAAGTGGGATGAAGTTTTTACACAGTGTGAAAAATATAACATGTTTTTGTGTAGTGGGAGCAATATAGACAAAAGCAATAAATCATAATGTCCAAATGAGGGAGAACTGCTACAGTAACGTCCTTGAGTAAGAGAGAAGTAAAATCTAGTGACTTATGCAAGATTATTTGCCTTCATAGCTGCCATTTTTCCTTCTAATTTACTGACCTTCAATCTGCTTTGGATAAGAAAATTATAGAAATAGGCTAAGACTATAACTAAAAGAGATTTTGAATAGCACTAATAACCTATGCATTTTAATTCACAAAACCTTTTTATACTTACTCCCAAGTGGGTTGGTAGCAACTGAGGATATCACAGAAGTGACTTTTGGAAAGTTGAGATGTTAGGATATTCTTGCTCAGATTTTATAAGGTAAACAGTATTATTTTAGGGAATTCCTACTAGACTTTCTTAACTAATAAAGCACTGACAAGTATCTAAAGCACACATATTATTTGGCTTAGAAACCAGGGTTATATGAGTCATTTCACCCTTAAACTTTCCACCAGAGAGAGAGGTTCAAAAGTCATTTTTGTAAATTATCATTCTTAGAGATCAGAGTTCACACTAGGCCACAGTGGTGGTTATCAAGCCTGACCGCATATTAAAACCAACTGAAAAGCTTCAAAAAAATGCTGATGTCAGAGGCCCTATCAGAGAACTAAATTAGAATCTCTGGGACTAGGGCCAGGCATCAGTATCATTAGTGTTTTCTTTATTTTTTTACTTACCAGGAGATTCTGATGTCCACACCCAGATGTTCTAAGCAAATGGAAAACAACATTTTAACTTCCGCTACTGCAAAAAGAAAGCAGTAGTCTCTAAAATTGCTTTGTTACAGCTTTTCTATTAATCAAGCTGATATAAAGTTCATGGCAAAGAAAAAACTTACTTTAGAAGTCTAATTCTGGCTAAAAAGCAAATGAGGTCCTCCACATAACCAGTAAACACCAGAATAGTTGCTGCTAGAAATACAATTAAAATACAAAAATTCACTTACTATTTCTAAAGTATGCGTATTCAGTAAAACAACCGGAAATTCAATTATTTCATGTACAAACTCAGGTGGGTTTCCTTCTTCACAAGTGGCTTCAAAGTCAATAATACAAATGTAGTCATAATAACTGTCAGCAAAATTGCTCTCTTTCAGCATCAGCTTCTGCTTCTTATAATAGTTTTTCAGTCTCTTCTTTAGAACATCCTTTACTCCTCTAAGTAGAAGAAGAAGACTAGTTACACTTAGGTAAATTCTACAGTCAAGAATCAAAACTCTCACCTGCTGGCACTGGGCTGAACACTGACAATCACAGCGAAATTTAGCAAATGCTAGCTAAAATAAATGTAAGAAAAGCAAGACTCAAAGCTAAGTTAGCAAAGAACTAATTAAAATAATATGTTTATTACAACATTAACATTTTCCTTCACAAGTCTTTTTTTATTTTAGTAGTATATAACAGTATTTTCTCCAACATATACTGGTACTTCAAACCATAAACACTGTCAGCATATACTACCAACACAGTCGTCATACTGCCTTATATACTAAGATAACATATATGATACAAACATTGAAATTAATATAAAATTATTCCACTGGCCAAAATATAAACTTAAGAATATAAAAATTTGGGTTAAGTTGAAAATATCGTATTATCTCTTTCCTTTCTTTTGGCTTTTGTAGGTTAGTCAACTCAAAAGATTCATATGAATATGAAAGCATTATGAGCCTAGCATATAAAGGTGAATGTCTGTTGGCTACTTAACAAGGAAAACTCAATTAGAATACACTCTAAGTAAACTGTCCAAAGGAGCATTATCACACTAGTAGGTTCTTAACTAGAAATAAGTTTCTTAATTTATCATGGGTAGAATATGATTTAGGGGATTTCAATATTATAGGTAGCTTTAAAATATACATTCCACAAATGGAGTAGTGGGGAGGAGAGAAAGGTCATCCTAACAGATAACAGTGATCAGGTGACTTCATTCTTTAAACAATATGTATTTTTCCAAAAAATTAAGTTGCAACCAGCATTCAGGCTTCCTTCAGCGTTATATAAATGAATCCTATATTGGCCTGCAAATATGAAATGGAAGTAAAAATAAAAAGATCTAAATTATAATTAATGTGTAGTGCCAAGTAAAGTATCATGTTAACTGATTAATGACTATTTAAAAAAAACCTTTTTAGTCTTTTATTTTCCTTTCTAAAATACAATTAAGCACTGAAAAAAATCCTACCCATGAAAATAGTAATAATCAACCAGTTAGCTTTTTTAAGATGAAATGTCTTAATATTGTTTCTTTGCTTGAGATTTTCAAAATTATCAAGACCTACGGAGAAAATCCTTAACCTCTTTCATATTAAGGCACTGTGAGTGACCTCTGTGTCATGTGACAGCTTTGGATTACTTTCTTTTTTTATCTTTTTATTGGTTGTTATTGTTGTGGGGTGGGAGGTGTGATAGGGGGAGAGACTACATTTACCAGAGTTGTCTGCAAAGCTAATGGCAGGACAAACATACAACTAGTTGCTCTGGATAGAAACCTGCTATCTTTAACATCTCCTTTGCTCTTCCAAATATTCACCATGTTTGTCAATTCTAACTCAGAAACATATTCAGAATATGATTCTCTCTAATTCTTTCTGCTATGGCTCTCATTAGCTTCGTTGAGCATGGCAAATGCCTCCATTACCACAACACTTCGATTCATTCTTTACTTTACTTGAGAACTGAGCACTAACACCAATTTTCTGCTTAAATATCTTCAGTGGCTCCCTTCTGCTTACGAGGTAAAATGCAGACTTCAGCATAGAGTTCCTTCACAACTTGGCTACAACCTATCATTTCACTATCATTGTCACATGTTCCTGAGGTATACTGTGTACTGCAGACAAAATATACTATAAGCCATGGCCTCAACCAGCCAGATGGCTCACGTCTATAATCTCAGCACTTTGGGAGGGGGGTGAATCACTTGAGCTGGAGCTCGAGACCAGCCTGGGCAACATGGAGAAACCCTATCTTCACTAAAAATACAAAAATTAGCCAGGCATGGTGGTGCATGCCTGTAATCCGAGCTACTCAGGAGGCTGAGGCACGAGAATCGCTTGAATCCAGGAGTCGGAGGTTGCAGTGAGCCGAGATCACACCACTGCACTCCAGCCTGGCGACAGAGCAAGACTCTGTCTCAAAAAAATAAAAAATAAAAGGCATGTTCTCAATACACTTTTATGTCCTATAACTTTGGTTGCACAACAGGTGAAGAAAAGGCAAGATCATGTTGCAGAAACCATACAAACTGGAATTAGAAAAGTTTCTGTTATTTTTTTGCCTGAAATACCCTCCCCCTCCCTTTTCTGTTTGGCACAATTCAAATGTCATCTTTCTGAATTCCTGAGAAATATTCTCCTCTGTATTCTCATGCTGTACCTGGCCAGACCTCCAATATAGCATTGGCCACTCTGTATTGTGATGATTTCTTTGTATGTTTTCCCAAAAGACTGAGATTGCCAAAGTGGGGAACATATCTGTATTTACCTTTATAACTTCAATGCCTAGTGCAGTACTTAGAATTCAATACAGGCTTGTTGAATAAACGTATAAACATACATCTAGATCGCTAGCTCCCACGCAAGCCAGGAGTAAGCAACTGATCTTCACACCTGGGAAGGACAAAAATTTTGCTCGGAAAATCTTCTGTAGGCTACAAGTTGTACCTTCATAACAGAAAGAATCGGGGAAATAGGAGTCAAAAATTTCTTCATACATTATGATGTAGACAATCTAGAAATTAATAAATTTGTGCTCTTTTGAAGAGTGGTGAAACTCTAAAGAGGAAGAATACTACTATTAAGAGAATTATGATTCAGAGATGTCTTGAAAAAGGAAGAGTTTTTACCTATTTCATACAGGCAATTTTTTTTCTTGATGCCTGGCAGTTCTACCGTTTATCAAAAATCGATGTATTTTTCTGGACTCCAAAAGCCATTTCTGCCCCATGGCCCAATGAACGTAAAGTGATTTGTTTCGCAAAAAATTACTAAAAACTTAGGTATGTGTATATCTCATTAAAATACACATACAGTTGACTAAGTTGCATTGTTTTCTCACTCAATATACAGTGAAACATAATGCAAACGATCATTGTAGATTATTTTTTAGAAATTAAAACAAAAAATATTCCTGTTAAGTGAATGTTTTTAATTTATTGTACCTGATTTCAAACAAACTCTTTTTATAAAAGATACAAATGGCAAAAAGAAAATAAAAAATACTCTATCTCACTAATATAACTATCCATCATTTAAATGAGCAACTAAAAAAATTTAAAACACTCTTGTCATAATAAGACAGAGACTCCTATACATTGCCGGTAGGTCATTAAAATATTTGACTTTGATTCAGCAGTCCTATCATCTAGAAGACAGACAAAAATAATCAGAGTTGCACATAAAAAATGTTAATTAGTTTTTGTGAACTGTTAATAGGATCATGTCATTACGGTAGGATTACAGATGATTTTTAATATTTCAATGTTTTCAAGATTTTCTAAAATGAGCATGTACTACTTTTATAATTTTATAAGTTATTTTTAATTACCTAGTTTCAAGCTTGAATTCTGAAAGCTTAGCTCTGAGTTCTTCCTTACTCATTCTATTAATACAGCCATTCGTAATGGCAATCTCTTTGTAAACCGGGTCACTGAAGTCACTCGCACTGGAGGTAATGAACTTGGATCCTTTTGTCTCCTGGCCATCAAATTTACACTGTTGAGTTTCCTACCAAAAAAAAAAAAAAAAAAAAAAAAAAAAAGGATGTAGTTTATAATTAGTACAAACATCACAGATTTAAAGATTCAAACTTTCAAACTTCTGAAGCCTCTTCATGCTACATGTTCAATGAAAAGTGTTCACTGCAGCTCCTAAACGGAGGAAAGGATAAGAAGGAAGATGCGTCTCCAATACAATTTACCCCACTCTATTATGAGTCATGAGGTTCCTCAAAGGAAACAAAGCTAAGTAAAAAGAAGACTGGTGGTGGGAGTCAACACCACCTCAATAGAGAACCCCAGCTGACTATTTACTAGAAATAGCAGCATGACTTTGGATAGCTACGTATTAGCCTCTGATCCTCAATTTCCTTATCTATAAAATGGTAATTTGGTAATGGTAAATAGTGTTTGGGCAGAATTATTACAAAGATTAAATGAGATTATGTGTATCAGACCCCTACACCCACAGTAGCTATTAATAAATGGTAACTATTAATATCACAGGCTATACAACAAGCCCTTCACAAACAATATGCTAATATTTACAAATGAACCCATTTTTAAATGAACTTTTACATTATACATGTGTAATAACTTCTGATAATTTTTTAACCTGACTTCATTTCACAAAGTTAACAAAAATTGCCCAACATAAAAACAAAATGGACCGCAAATCTAATTTACAGCTTCCTAGTACTCAAAGAAGGAAATGTATTTAATTTCAAAACTTACATTTTCCAAAAGTTGTACTTAGGTCCACTAACCAGAAGAACTATAGAATTATGAATTTTTTCATAAATAAAAATCTGTTAAGAAAAAACATGACTCAATTCTATTTTCTCCACAGGCAGTCTCAAATTACTAATATGTTAAGTTCCAAAGATTCATTTGTAAGTTATTTTCCACATGCAATATCACAAATATTAGCTATGTTCCATAATTTTGAAAAATATTTAGTACTAATTATCCCTATTAAAGCTTGTTACCTTAGTTATAATGTACCACATTGTCCTCACGTAAACTGTAATTATAGATCAAGGAAGGATAATCACAGAGAGGCCACAGTCCCTAACTCAGAACTGATCCTGATGGTTCAGGAACCATTTCTTACTCTAAGCTCTCAATTTAATGCAACACACATTTACTGGAAATGTAATGCTAGGTAAGGTGCCAGAGTACTCAAGAGTGACTCACCCATTTCCTTTGAGGAAGAGGTCAGCAGTTCCAATGTGTGAACTGTCCATAAATTAAAGAACAGCCACACTGAGGTTCCTTGTTAACAATGTTAAGGAAAAAAAAAGTATTGCTAGTTGACCAATGATTCACTTTCAACAATATATTAGATTTACAATAGATATTGCTCTGCTTGACCAGAATTTTACAAAAAATTATCTTTTGACTTTAAATTTACATTGAATTTGAAACTTCATCTTTAGTCATCATTTAGTAAATTTCAGGTTAAAATTTAGGTCAACATTAAGTAACAGTTTGTCTACCAAAACAGATGTCTCAGTTAATTTAAGCAGATTTTCTCTTTGGATAAATCCTCTTTCTGATTCACTGGTTAATTCTCATCCTAAACTGTAGCTAGAAAAATTATTCACAAGTAACACTTAGGCCTCTTCTATAGATGCTATAAATTATGACTTCCATAAAGAAAAATTTGCTTCCTTTCCTAGGTCCAGCTCTAGTTCTCTTCCTTCAGTGAAGTTCTAGAGACAGCCGAGGTCCAATCCTCAGAAAGCAGTGTCTCCTCCCAAATTTCAAATCTACACTAATGGTTCACAAAGAAGGATGCTCAAATCAATCTGCCAAGGAGCAGAAAGAAAATACTAAAAACCCTACTTGTATTGTTAATCTGCAGAAAGACAAAATTAGTTTACGAAATACATACTTACATTTGCATCAGCATCCGTACCAGTAACTACATCCACCTATCACATGTCACATATAATACGGACCATATAATGAGAAAAGTGATAGATTCCACAATATGGAGAGAAACATTCACCATCACAGAACTGTAACATTTTGCAATATTCACGTATTCAATTAAGTGGATGTATGGTTTATATTATCTCAAATAAGAGAAGCTTTTACATTATGGGATGTGGCCATGAAAATCTTCTATACCAAACAGAGGTTTACTATCTTGTGGCAAACTACTTTAAAACTGTCGTTGAGGCCGGGCGCGTTGGCTCACGCCTGTAATCCCAGCACTTTGGGAGGCCGAGGCGGGCGGATAACGAGGTCAGGAGATAGAGACCACGGTGAAACCCCGTCTCTACTAAAAATACAAAAAATTAGCCGGGCGGGCGCCTGTAGTCCCAGCTACTCAGGAGGCTGAGGCAGGAGAATGGCGTGAACCCGTGAGGCGGAGCTTGCAGCGAGCCGAGACTGAGCCGCTGCACTCCAGCCTGGGCAACAGAGAGAGACTCCCTCTCAAAAAAAAAAAAAAAAAACATAAAAAAACTGTTGTTGAACTTAAAGATGAGTTACAAATTTTCTTTTACAAAAAGACAGGTATTCTATAATTGCTGTCCTCTTCTTATTGGGAAGGGTACCGGAGCTTGATTTTTAGCATTTTTTTAAAGGAACACAATCTGTTGTTGCAAGAAAAAAGAAAACACATTTTAACAGTAAGCTACAAAGTAACTGCTTGTCAAATAAAACTTTTTCTGTATAGAGAACATTTTGAAAACATGTTCTGGAAATGCTATTATTCTGCTGCCAAAAATCTAGGTACTACCTTTTAAAAAAAGAAAAGGAAAACCTCTGCATCTGCACACTGAAAAAAAACTTAGAATTTTTCTTGATTGACGTTCTTCCAAAAGGAGAGTTCTGATGAAATCTGAACCTACTTATTAAAAATATAAATATGCAATAGCTTCTACTAGTTTACAAAGACAACTAGCATTAGAGATAATGGAAATTTACCACCTGAATTCAACAAAAAACTTTGGCCCAGATTGAAAAACACTGTATCATGGCCAGGCGCAGTGGCTCATTGCCTGTAATCCCAGCACTTTGGGAGGCCGAGGTGGGCGGATCACCTGAGGTCAGGAGTTCCAGACCAGCATGGCCAACATGGTGAAACCCCATCTCTACTAAAAATACAAAAACTAGCCAAGCGTGGTGGTGGGTTCCTGTAATCCCAGCTACTAGGGAGGCTGAGGCACGAGAATCACTTGAATCCGGGAGGCGGGAGGTTGCAGTAAGCTGAGACCATGCCATTGCACTCCAGACTGGGCAACAAGAACGAAACTCCGTCTCCAAAAAAAAAAAAAAAAAAGTATCATTACTATTATTTTTTGAGACAGGGTCTCACTCTGTCACCCAGGTTGGAGTGCAGTGGCACGATCACAGCTCACTGCAGCCTCCACCCATGGGCTCAGGTGATCCTCCCCACTGAGCCTCCCCAGTAGCTGGGACTACGGGAGAGGGCAACTACGACCGGCTTTTTGTAAAAAAAAAAAAAAAAAAAAAAAAAAGTATCACTATAAAGAGCATGCAACAGTAAGTTTTTAACAATTACTACCGTCACTAAAGCCAATTTGGAACAGAGACCTAGGCCTTAAGTAGCTGTAAAAGTGTCAAGACTTTCAAATATAAAGAAGCATATTCAAACACACTTCTTTTACTAAAAATAAACTTCGAAATTTATTTTAAAACCCACTTACAGGATGAGATTGACAACGTATCTCAGGCTGAAGAGGGAGGCAGGTGGAAGAGTGGTTCTTTACAAGAGAAGGGATGTGCAAGTACTCTTTGAAATAACAACCTTAGAAGGAGAAAGATAATTGCAAGGATCCAAAGGAAGTGCACACAGGGCAAAAGGAACATACAGAGATCCTTAACGAGACCTTCTTTCCAATGTCAAAGAACACAAGGCAGCGAGGGGCACTGGGAACAAAAGGGAAAAAACTGTGTGAGATGCAATTACCAAGGGAGGCAGGCACCCGACCCCGCAGAGCAGCAAATGGAAGTGACTCAGGAGGGGAATAAGCCAAATTCATGTTATTGAAAAGCTCATTCTAGCTGCCAGATGGAAACTGACTGTGGACGGAAGGAGCAAGAGTTAGGAGGCCTCTTGCAAATACGCACTTTATGAAGCTTTACGAAGTGTTCAACATGTTTATTATTAGGAAAAGATCAATTTTAGTATTCAATCACTTACAATCCGCAGCGCTAGTCAACAATTAACATTCGTTAAATAAGTTTTAAGACTGTTCTACAACTTTGCCACTGTAACTAAGTTCAACCGATGAGATGTCAAAATGATTCATTCAATCTTATACTATGGTTATATGAGACACCAGTTAATGAGCAAAAGCAGCTAAGACGAAGCTCCACTTAACAGGTACAGAGACAGGGATGCTGGTGAGTGCTTTTTAAATTTTTTCTTTTTTTAAAAACAGGCATGAAGTGACATACCTAGCGTATATGGTGAGATTTTAAAAACATAAAGCCTTGCAAACTACCCATAACGGCTACATGGAGTGACAACAGCAACCGTGAACACAGAATTAAGTTTAAAGCAAAACTCCCTCTTAGAACCTGTTAACCCACTGTAGACAGAACTGGTCTTGACGATTTCCTCCCTCCCAGAGAGTGATTCGGCCCTGAGGGGGCTCCAAGACACCCACCCGAGGATAAAGCCAGGGAGCTGGGCACCGAGGAAGAGGCTGGGGTCCAAGGGCGCACAGCTGCACCTTCTGCGGGACACCTGAGAAGAAAGGGGTGCCGAGGGCGCTTTGGGGACGGGGCAGCTGGCGCCAACAGCCAGGCGCGGGTCGACTCCTCACCTCGGGACTGGGACGCGGCGGCTCCTCCCCGCCCTCCGGCCGCGGCGACTCCAGCAGCGCGAGAGCCACGGCCTCGCCGGCAGGCTCTTTACTCTGTGGATCCTCCATGCCGGCTGTCACGCCAGAGGAGAGTTGCTGGAGCCGGACACTTGCTAACTCTCACTCTGCAGAGCCCGAAAGCCTCGCCTTTCTCCGTTGAAAAATTACCGGGCTCGCGTTCCCGCGGCGGCGGCCACACAAACTCCAGCGGCCACCTCCCACTTCCGGGAGCGTGTGGCGTCCACACGCCGGGCAGGCGCAGTGAGCCGGCGTGCGCGGAACGCCAGCGCCGCAGTCCACAGGGGGAGGGAGGACGAACAAGAGGGAGGCGCGCCGGTGAGAAGACGGGGCGTGGCCGGCCGTAGGCGGAGCTAGCGCGGGTTGAAGTTGCGCAAGGATCTAGTCCAGTCACTGGAGGGTAGCACCGGCACGTGTGTTCCCGTCAGTGTTTCCTGAGAAGGAAAAAAGTAGGGTGAGTGGGAAGATATCATAGAGAAAGATGTTTTCGACCATAAAAAATAATAAAACAATTCACATTTTCCATAAGGAGTTTCCTAAAACTTCCACTCTGGGCAAGAAAAGAAAATGGGTCGGGACTTAGTGTCCCACTATAAACAATTAGAAAACGGAACAAAATATAGGAGACACCTATTCAGACATTGGACAACGGACAGCTGTGGACTGTTTTACCTGAGAGAAAAGAAATAAAAGGAGCCGTATATCATCCTGCCCTTTTGCCCAGAGGCGATTTCCAGTCTGTGGTGCGATGAAAGGAAATCATATGGAAACCTAGGATCTCCTGGGTTGAAAAGACAGAGATTGGAGTTGACGAAATTGGGGTAGGCCAAGTCGGTTGGAATTTGTAGGGCAGAATTCTGGAGAGGAGGGAATTACATGGAAAAAGAGCTTCAGAAATCTGCTTAGGAGTACCTTGAATCTTTAACTGAATAAAAAACGTGAAACTCCACAAGGCCAGGAAAGAACAATTACTGGGGAGCAGTACACCAAACAATGGTGAGAGGTCACACAGAACTGGGAATCATTTGAGCTCCCAGCAACCAGAGTGAAGAGATTATTGAATACCATGGAACACGCAATAGAAACCTCAGATGTGAAACTGCCATTGCAAAATTATCATTGAGACAGTGAAAGAGATCAGACCTAACCAACTCCATCTTGCTTTTAACCTCCAGGCTATCCTTATTCATTCCTAGGCGTAGGCCAAACTAACACTGGGAGGAACTTAGTGTATAGCTTATAGTTTAAAACAAAGGTGATAGCCCTTTCTCAAAATAAACCCTCTTCTTGAGACTAGACTGCTTTTGTAGGACTAGTAAATTAGCCGAAAGATTAGAAATTATGATTTAGGACTCATGCAGCTGAAGGCTACAAGATTCTAACCCTCTCCAAATTGCTCCTGGGGATAATATCACTATTGTAAAATCTAAGATCAGTGCTTGAGATATTTTGCAGGCCCTGCACTTGATGGATCAGCTGGCACCTCCCAGATTGATAAACTGACTCACCTGATCTTGGATAAACTAGCTCATCTGATTTTGTGTCCCCCACGGGAGGAACTGACTCAGTGCAAGAGGACAGCATCGACTCCCTATGATTTCATCTCCTACCCAACCAGTCACCACTCCCATCTCACTGGCTTCTCACCCACCCAATTATCCTTAAAAACTCTGATCCCCAAATGCTCAGGGAGACTGATTTGATTAATAAAACTCAGGTCTCCTGCACTGCCAGCTCTGCATGAATTGCTCTTTATTGCAATTCCCCTGTCTTGATAAATCGACTCTGTCTAGGCAGTAGGCAAGATGAACCTTTTGGGTGGTTACGAAAGTGTCATGCCTTAGTGAGATATAATAACCGTAGACTGCAGGACCCAGAACATAAACTACTGTAGATTCTTCAAAAGCCTTAAAACAAGCCCTGAAAGGATCAAACTGCTCTGTAAGTAACCTAATTACCTGTAAGAACAAATTCTAAAACTCTCTGAAAGACTACAGTAAAATCCAGGATTCAACAACATTAAATTCAAAATGTGAGACATCCAGTCAAAAATTGAAAGACACGCAGCACTTGGGGATGCTGAGGCGGGAGGATTGCTTGAGCCCAGGAGTTTGAGGCTGCAGTGACCTATGATTGCACCACCACAACCCAGCCTGGGTGACAGGGTAAGACTCTGTCTCAAAAGAGAGAGAGAGAGACCAAGTGGTAAGAAAATATCTCACGAAGTTCATAGAAACAAACCCCAAAATGATAAAAATGATGGAATTAACAGACAAGGATTTTAAACACCTGTTATGAATATGCTCAAAGATTTAAAGGAAGACATGATAGGAGAGAAACTGGAAAGATTTTTGAAAAATCAAATTTCTGGATGGAGGTGAAAAATATTTGAAATAAAAATTTCTTTGGATGGGATTGCTAGCGCATTAAGCAATGCAGAGAAAAAGGTAAATAAATTCAAAGATATAGCAACAGAAACAATACAAAATGACACACACACACACAGAAAAAAGATGAATACAGCTTCAGTAACCACTTAAAGAGGCTTAATACTTCAGGACCACTTGAAGAGGCTTAATACTATTGACCTAAAAGGTAGAAGCTGAGGCAAAATTAATATAACTAGAGAGTTTATTTGGTCCAAGTTTGAGGATTGCAACCCAGGAGCATAGAATTGAAGTTGTGCTGAATCCATCTACTCAGAAGATATGCCAGTTTGGAAGTTAAGTGAACACTTAGTAACCAATCATAATTGTCTTAAGTCTTGCCCATTCTAGATTATTTGCTTTGTTAAATAGGCAATTGAGATAGGGCATAATTCCAATAACAATAATCTTTGATGGGGTTAAGTAGCCCTTTCTAACCATACATACCTCCATCTCAGCTTCTATCTCAAGAAACAACTCTTTTGACTTTGTTTCTTTGACTTCTAGAACTAGTGCAGCAGCATCAAGAAATTAGACCTGCCATAAATAAAAAGACCCAGAAGAAGATACTCTAATAAGTAGTGAGGCTTTTGTCCATGAAGCCTATGATGAGCAGCTGTGCTGGGGAAACTCCAAGAAGTTTCTCTGAGGAAATTGGATTGTGAGACACAGTTAAAGAATGTCCCTTCTGAAAAATCCTAGCTAGGTGAAAATAGTCGAAGTCAGTCAAAAAATAGTAAAAAAAAAAAAAAAAAAAAAATACAAGCTAGATGAAAATAGCTACATGAAAATTACTATCGTGCAGTAACTTTTTTTGTCTTTAGACTCTGGTTTGAGCTATTAAAGGTTGAACAAAGTGAAACATGCATGAAATAACCGAAAAGGAAGATGAGGCAAAATTAATATAAGTAGAGTTTATCTGGGCCAAGTTTGAGGATTGCAATTGTAGATTCAAGTTGCCCTGGGTATACTCAGATCAGTAGAAGCTACAAGTGAATTTTTAAAGGAAAGAGGCAGTTGCTGGGTTGTTTATCAAGAATTTACTGTAAGGCCAGGCGTGATGGCCCACACCTGTAATCCCAGCAGTTTGCCAGGCTGAGGTGCGAGGACCACTTAAGCTCAGGACCAACCTGGCCACATGGTGAAACCTCATCTCTACAGAAGGAAGGAAGGAAGGGAAGGAGGGAGGGAGGGAAGGAAAGAAAAAGAAAGACAGGCAATCAACAAAAGAAATAAGTAAAATGCTTATAGTATGGAGAAAAGTAAAACAGGAAAAGGGAATGGGAGGGTGCCCAGGTATGGAGGGGGTTACAATTTTAAATAGAATCGTTAGGGAAGACCTCTCTAATGATGTGCCATTTGTGTAAAGACTTGAAGAGGCAAGGGAGTAAACTGAGTATATATGGGAGAAGAGAAGTTTAGGCAGAGTAAACAAGTGAAAAGATCCTGAGCTGGGAGTGTACCCAAAATGTTTAAGAAATATCACTGTGTTCAGTACTTTCTTATGACTGTGTGACATCAGTATGCAGGAGACCTAAATGTTTTTATTTATTTATTTATTTATTTATTTTTTGAGACAGAGTCTCGCTCTGTAGCCCAGGCTGGAGTGCAATGGCGCTATCTTGGCTCACTGCAACCTCAGCCTCCTGGGTTCAAGAGATTCTCATGCCTCAGCCTCCCAAGTAGCTGGGATTACAGGCGCCTGCCACCACACCTGGGTAATTTTTGTATTTTTAGTAGAGGTGGGATTTCACCATGTTGGCCAAGCGAAACTCTCAAACTCCTGATCTCAGGTGACCTACCCGCCTTGGCCTCCCAAAGTGCTGGGATTACAGGCATGAGCCACCTTGCCTGGCCGATGTTTTTAAATGTTGACTCTGCTGTAACTTGCCACATAACACCAAAGGGGAAATCCCAATGACTTTAGCACCTCCTGTTTAAAATAAAATGTGTGCCATAGTTGAACAGTTAAAGAGAAAGCTTCCCTGAGTATTTCAGCTATGCAACAGTCTAAAAGAGAAGTTCGAGAATTGGTTATTCTCTATTCACCCCAGTGGAAAAATGTACCTACCCTTCCTCTAGCTTCAGTGTCCTGGGATTAGTCAGCTGTCAGTGAAGATCAATGTATTGTTAGACAGCAGGGTTAGTAAATTACTCTAGGCTGCACTAAATATGTGACTTTCACATAGCAAAATGCCTTTTGTTTCTAAGCCGTCTCCCATTGCTGCCTGATGCCACGTGTTAGATAATTCCATATGTTTAGGTCTGTATTTGAGCAACCTGCTCTGTTCTCTTGGTCTCTGGTATCTGTTCTTATACCCTTCCCACACTGCTTTCTATTACTCAGCTCTGCAATATGTCTTCATATCTTATAAAACAAGTTCCTCCTCTTTACTCTTCTTTTTCAATACTGACTTAGCTATTTGTGGATATTTAATCTTTCATGTATACTTTAGGACAAATTTTTTGCTCTTCAAAAAATCCAATCCAATCCAATCCAAAAAATTCATTAAGATTGAATTCACTCGATTGATTTGAGGAGAAATGACATATTAATTTATCCTCTTGTAATATAGAACTGCTAATTCAGATTGTCTTTTATGATGATCTTTAACATTTCACAATTTTCTCCATAGATATCTTGTACATTCGTAACCAAGAAATCCTAGATACATTATGAGTTTTTTCCCATTATGAATGGTAAATTATTTTATACCATTACATAAAATATTATTGATTTTTAAGTTAAATAAACAAAAGCAAAGAAATAAAAGACAACCAGATTAGAAACAAAGAGCCAGGCGCAGTGGCTCACACCTGTAATCCCAGTGCTTTGGGAGGCTGAGGAGGGTGGATCACCTGAGGTTAGGAGTTCGAGACCAGCCTGGCCAACATGGTGAAACCCTGTCTCTACTAAAAATACAAAAATTAGCCAGGCTTGGTGGTGCACACCTGGAGTCCAAGCTACTCGGGAGGCTAAGGCAGGAGAATCGCTTGAACCTGGGAGGCGGTGGTTGCAGTGATGCTAGATAGTGCCAGTGCACTCCAGCCTGGGTGACAGAGAGACACTCCATCTCAAAAATGAATAAATAAATGAATTAATTAAATAAACATAATACATTGGCCCTATCACCCAGCAATTCCAGTCCTAGGTATTCACTCAGGAGGAGTGAAAGTGAATGTCCAGGTGGTGGCTTGGACGTGGATATTTCCAGCAGCATTTTTCAAAATAACTGATAAATGAAATTAACTCAAATCTCCATCAACAAGTGAATGGATAACCAGAATGTGATGTATCCCTGTAATGGCATAATACTCCTCATATAATAATAAGCCTTTTTTTTTTTTTTTTTTTTTCAGAAACAAAACCTCATTCTGTCACACAGGCTGGAATGCAATGGCAGGATGGTGGCTGCCTTGACCTCTGGGACTCAGGTGATCCTCCCACCTCAGCCACTCAAGTAGCTGGGACTACAGGTACATGCCACCATGTCCAGCTAATTTTTGTATTTTTTGTAGAGACAGGGTTTCACCATGTTGCCCAGGGTGGTCTTGCACTCCTGAGCTCAAATGATCCACCTGGCCCAGCCTCCCAAAGTGCTAGGATTACAGGTGTGAGCTACCGTGCCCAGTCAATAATAAACTATTGATACATGCAATAGTATGGATGAATTTGGAAAAATCTTGAGTGAAAGAAGCCAGATGCAAAAGAAGACATACTCTAATTCCACTTATATGAAGTTCAAGAATAGGCCAAACTAATCTATGATAATAGAAATTCACAATAGTGACTGCTTCAGCTTGGGATTAGGGGTTGAGGATTAACTTGAATGGTACACAAGGGAAGTTTCCAGGTCCTGGAAATATTCTATGTGTTAATTGGGATAGTGATTATGTGATGTATATATTTATCAAAACACATTGAATTATGCATGTAAGATCTACGCATTTCACTCTATGTAACCTTGCTTTTGATGAAAAAGAAATTAAAATTTTGAAGACAAAAAATTGGTTTTTAATTTCTTTCTTTTTCTTTTTCTTCTTCTTCTTTTTTTTTTTTTTTTTTTTTGAGATGGAGTCTTGCTCTGTTGCCCAGGCTGGAGTGCAGTGGCACAATCTCGGCTCACTGCAACCTCCTCCTCCCAGGTTCAAGCTATTCTCCCACCTCAGCCTCCCAAGTAACTGGGATTACAGGTGTGCACCACCATGCCCAGCTAATTTTTGTATTTTTAGTAGATACAGGGTTTCACCATGTTGGCCAGGCTGGTCTCAAACTCCTGATGGTTTTTAATTTCTAAACATTCTTTTTTTATTAATCCCCAGAACATTCTGGATAATTTCTAAACTTTCTTGTAAATTTTAATAGTTTTATTATTCTGTTGCTTTTTTTCTAAAATTATCAAATTCTGCAAATAATCAGTTTTAGCCCTGCCCTTCCTTATACCCCTTATATCTCTTTCTTTTCTTATTGCATTGGCCAGGAGTCTTTGTAATATATTAATAGTAATGGTGCTGTGCTGATTTCATGGGAAATGTGTATAAAGCTTTTCTATTTAGTTTAATGGTTTCTGCAAGTTACAAAGTCTTTTCCTTCAGTCATTTAAAAACATTATTTTCTTCCTGTATCCTATGTTTATTTGAAAAGTGTAATGTTGATATGATTCTTGCTCGTCTATGGATAATCTGTTCTTTCTCTCTGGAGTCTGCAAATTTTCTTTTTGTCATTGATGTTCTTAAATTTCATTGTAATAGATCTAGGTGAGGATTCTCCTTTTTTTCTATAATAAAAAACATAATTTTTTGTATTTTTAGTAGAGATGGGGTTTCACCATGTTGGCTAGGCTGGTCTTGAACTCCTGACCTCAGGTGATCCACCTGCCTTGGCATCCCAAAGTGCTGGGATTACAGGCGTGAACCACCATGCCGGCCACCTCATTTTAATTTAATCACTTCTTTAAAGACCTAATCTCCTGCCAACTGAAGAATGACAAGGTTCATAAGTATAGAAAAGAGAGCTTTATTTCTCATAAAGGGTTGGGGTTATGCATCCTTGCAGGCTGCCATTCTGATAGGCTGGGAAGTGTAGCCTCCAGCCAGAAGCCAGAAATAGGCACCTTAAGGGAAGGAAGCATAAGACAGGAATGTATGCTGAGCATAGTGGCCAAATATACATATTTAATAAGTAATAGGAGGAATCATTAATGTTTATGAAAGGAGAAGCATGCATGTGCACTTGAGCTTCATACCTCTTCATGGGTCACATGTACACAAATGGCAGCATTAGCATAATCTGAGTGTGGAGTTTTCAGCCTTCTGACATCAGAAGGTGAAGCAGAGGACCGAAAATCCTCTGTGCATTCTCTATAGACTGGCCAGAGCATCTCCATCATCAACGGTCTCTGATAAGGAAGGTATGCATTGTGAAACTGGCGAGCTGTCATGTCGAAACTGTAAAGAGGGAAGGGAAGTCTCGTCATGGCCTCAGACAATTGGCTAATAGTGATAATAGAGTAAGTCATCGGCTCTTGTCTTCCACAGCTGATTCCTGTTTACTTCTTAGGAAAGATTCTGGTTAAAGGTTAATAAGGAAGGGGCAGACTGAGGCATGTCTGACCTCCTGTCCTGAGATGACCTGGAACTCTGTTTTAAGGTTTCTCTGGGGTCTTCTTGGCTGGAATGGGGTCCATTCAGAAGTTTGGGGGGTTTAGGAATTTTTTTTTTATTTTTATTTTATTTTTTTTTGAGACAGAGCCTCACTTTGTCACCCAGGCTGGAGTGCAGTTGCACAATCTTGGCTCACAGCAACCTTCACCTCCCGGGTTCAAACAATTCTCCTGCCTCTGCCTCCTGAGTAGCTGGGATTACAGGTGTGTACCACCAAGCCTAGGTAATTTTTTTTGTATTTTTAGTAGAGGTAGGTTTGGCCATGTTGCCCAGGCTGGTCTCAAATGCCTGACCTCAGGTGATCCGCCTGCCTTGGCCTCCGAAAGTGCTAAGATCACAGGTGTGAGCTGCCACACGTGGCCTTAGGGGATTTAGGATTTTATTTTTATTTCTCACTCTAAATATGGGTACATTCTGAGGTACTGGGGGTTAGGTCTTCAACACATAAATTTAGGGGGACACAACTCACCCCATTACATTTGGCATTTACATTCTATTGCAGAGCTATCATTTCACATTTGATTTAGTTTATTTCTCATGTTTTGGCTTATTACCTCGCTGGCTTAGTTTCAACAGCCCCTTATCATAACTTCTCATAGCTTCTGTGGTTCACTATCATAAATCCCTTGCCAACATCCCAACCTTTTTCCCTGCGAAAACCCGCCATGATCATAAATCTATTTTCCTTCTTCATGCTTTCTCTGAGTTCTGAGAGAGGCCTTAGAGATCATACAATGGCCAGATCAGTGATGTGAAGAATTAATGACCACCTGCTCCACCTGGGTGCTAATCCTCCTTGGCAGCCGTCATATTTCTCTCCTTGTCTTGTCTTCCCTCTCTCCACAACTTCTGCAGCAAACCTTCTTTGCTCTCACCTCCAACCTTCCATCTCCTTTCCCATGTACTCTCACCAGACAACCTTGCCTCCTGCTTCACAAAGAAAACAGTTTTAGCTTTTTACTGCCAAGTCTACATGCTCACATCTGGTCGTGTCTTTGTTTATTATGTTGATTTTTGTTCATCATACATTTCTTACATTAATTTTGATGTACTAAGAGATTGATGCCTGTAATCCTAGCACTTTGGGAGGCCGAGGCGGGAGGATCGCTAAAGGCCAGGGGTTTCGGACCAGCCTGGCCAAGATGGCGAAATTCCTTCTCTACTAAAAATACAAAAATTAGCTGGCATGGTGGAGCATGCTTGTAATCCCAGCTACTTGGGAGACTGAGGCACAAGAATCGCTTGAACCTGGGAGGCAGACGTTGCAGTGAGCTGAGATCGCACCCCTGCACTCCAGCCTGGGCGACAGAGCAAGATGCTGTCTCAAAAAAAAAAATTACACTAAAGTGTTTATCTTAATTACTGATTTTGGGGGGATGCCTCCTTAAATTTTGTGCCTAAAGTGAGTGCCTCCGACGCCTCACCTGAGTCCTAGCCCCGCCCCACCTGAGTCCTAGCCCCGCCCCTTTCAGCCACTCCTCCCTCCCACCTTCATTTTCTGGTTTGATACCACCACTCGCTCCCTCAATTCCCCTCCTCTCCTACCTTCCCAGCAATCTTGAATTTTGTATTATCCAATCTCTGTTCTGTATCTTCAGTGTTTTCCTCATCAGTAGACCTTTCCCTTTGGCATTTAAATGAGCTTGACTCAAAATTTTCCAACTTAAATAGCCCTCCAGCCAAACAAAACACCTCCTTCAACCTCAGAATTCCTATGGCTGCCGCACTATCTTTTCTCCCGCCCCCTTTGGTGCTAAACTTCTTGAAAGAATTGTCGCTTTTTTCACACATCTACCCACTATTCAACCTACCCTAATTTCTCTTCCACCCCCATGGTCCACTGACATCTACTTCTCCACTGAGGTCACTAGTTATCCCCGTGTGGTTGAACCCAGTAGCCTCTTATCAAAGCTCATCTGACTTGATCCTTCAACAGCATCCAGCGTTGCTAACTTTCTTTGTTTGTTTTTGTTTTTTGAGACGGAGTCTTGCTCTGTCGCCCAGGCTGGAGTGCAGTGGCGCTATCTCGGCTCACTGCAAGCTCCGCCTCCCGGGTTCACGCTATTCTCCTGCCTCAGCCTCCCAAGTAGCTCGGACTACAGGCGCCCACCACCACGCCTGGCTAATTTTTTGTATTTTTTAGTAGAGACGGGGTTTCACCTAGTTAGCCAGGATGGTCTCCATCTCCTGACCTCGTGAACCGCCCACCTCAGCCTCCCAAAGTGCTTGGGTTACAGGCGTGAGCCACCACGCCCGGCTGACTATTCTTTATTTACTGCAACACTCTTTTCCTTTGGTCTCCATGACAGCACACTCGCCTGCTTCCTTCCTTTTTCTCTGGCCATTTCTTCTCAATCTCCCTGATCAGTTCCCCCTCTTATATCCAATCATTTAATTCCGGAATTCCTTCAGGACTTGGATCTTAGGCCCTGTTCATAACTTTTATATTCTTTTCAAAGTATAGATTCTTGCTCTAGGTATTCTATGCATTCATCTAGCTTTATTTACCATCCAGTAGCCAATGACTCCAAAACCTGTTTCTACCCACGATCTTAACTCAGAGCACCAGAGCCACATAACGACTTGCCTATTCACAAACACCACAAACTTGACATATCCAAGGTGAAATCATCATCTTCCTCCCCAAACCAGCCACTTCTCTAGTGTTTCTGTTTTTCTTTTTTCTTTTTGTTTTTTTTTGTTTGTTTGTTTGAGGCAGGATGTCCCTCTGTCGCCCAGGCTGGAAGTGCAGTAGCGCAATGATTGCTCAAGTGACCCTCCTACCTCAGCCTCCCGACTAGCTGGGACTACAACCGCTCACCACCACACCCGGCTGATTTTTGTATTTTTTAGTAGAGGCAGGGTTTTGCCATATTGCCCAGGCTGGTCTCCAGCTCCTGGACTGAAGCAATCCTCCCACTTCGATCTCCCAAGGTATTGGGATTACAGGCGTGAACCACCATGCCCAGAATGGTGTTTCTTTTCTCAGTAAATAGCTCTACAATCCACGCAGTTGATTGGGCCAAAAATATGGGCATCACTTTTGACTTTTTTAAATCTTTTCCTTCCTTAATGCCTTCAGGATGATCTGTGTTATATTTTTGTCTCCTGATTTAGCACAAACTACCTTTTTTCTCTTTCCATTCTTCTTTTAGTACCTCCACACACCATGCCGGTTCCCATTTCAGAACTTTTGTTAGCTAATTTCATTCATTGTTTAGGTCAGAGATTCAATTTCCCTTCCTCCAGGATTTTCCCCCCAAACTCCCAGATTTTGTTACATCTCACCCTTTGTGGAATCTGCCTCCTTTCTTGGCATGTTTTCTTTTGTTTAGGATAAAGATTTGAAAAAAAGAAGAAAAGACCAGTGGCAATGGTTCACACCTGTAATCCCAGCACTTTGGGAGGCTGAGGCGAGAGGATAACTTGAAGCCAAGAGTTTGAGACCAGCCCGGACATCATAGTGAGACTCCATCTCTACAAAAAATAAAGAGGAAAAAATACAATTAAAATTTGATTGGGAATAAAATAGGCCTTAAATATATGTGGCTTCAGTGAGGTAGAAGTTAACATATTTCTCTCTGAGGTTAATAGAAAGATGTCGAGGACTTAGGGCTTTTCTGTCTTGTAGCTTTATCATTCCTAGTATGCTGTCCTCATTCCCATGTTCCAGACACCTCCCCATTTCACACACCGTTCAGCCAATGGAAAGACAGAAACAGTAAAAGGGAGGCTATGTATTTCTCTATAACTTCTTCTCACATCCTGAAGTCATGCATATTAATTCTGCTTATATCTTGCCCTTTGGTACTTAGTTATAGGACCACACATTAGTTGCAAAATTAGACTGGTGAAAATGTTGTCTTGTTTCTGTGGACAATTACTTATGAACAATTGAAAGTCTATCACTATTGAAGAAGGGAAGATCAAATATTAGGACCACTAACAGTCTCTGCCACAATTCTGGTGACCCCACATATCCACACATACCGTTTTTCCTACACATAAAACATACTTGCCCTTTCCCTAATGGAGGCAACCCCCAAGTCTCATTCTAAGCATTACACGATTGTTTAAGAACATTTGTGTGACCTGGTACAAATCATGCCCTATCTAATCTTGATCACAAAAACAAACAGGATCCTCTGCTCTAATCACAGCACCAGAATGTGTAGCCTTGCTGACAAGCACAACCCGCTGATAGGAAGGTATACACATATCCAGACCCTTTCATTAAGAATATCATCCACCAAGGCCTGGCGTGGTGGCTCACGCTTGTAATCCTAGCACTTTGGGAGGCTGAGGTGGGCGGATCACCTGAGGTCAGGAGCTCAAGACCAGTCTGACCAACAAGGTGAAACTCCGTTTCTATTAAAAATACAAAAATTAGCTAACGTGGTGGTGCATGCCTATAATTCCAGCTACTTGAGAGACTGAGGCAGGAGAATCAGTTGAACCCAGGAGGTGGAGATTGCAGTGAGCCGAGATTACGCCACTGCACTCCAGCCTGGGTGACAGAATGAGACTCTGTCTCAAAAAAAAAAAAAAAAAAAAAAAAAATTCACCAAAAAAAAGAAAAGAAAAAGAAAGAAAACCAAAATGAAACAAAAAAAGAAAAGAAAAAAAAAACAGAAAAAAGAAAAGAAAAAACAAAAATAAAAACTTAAAAAATATGTCATCCATCAAAGTTCATTTTGCACATATTTATGTGTCTTTGTTTAAATAAACATGCTTAAGCCTGTATGTTAAAAATTTCAGATTTGTTTTGAAATTGAGTGGAAGAAACTCAATTTTTTTTGGCATAAAAAAGAAAATGGACTTTCTAGTATGAAGAATTCCAGATTTTTTTTTACCATTTGAATTATAAATGATTAATTTGAGGCTTATCATAATTTGACTCACTCAGACTGAGAAATAAGCAAGGTAAAGCAGGCCGGCGTGGTGGCTCATGCCTGTAATCCCAGTACTTTGGGAAGCCGAGGTGGGTGGATCACCTGAGGTCCAGAATTTGAGGAAAGCCTGGCCAACATAGTGAAACCCTGTCTCTACTAAAAACACAAAAATTAGCCAGGTGTGGTGAGACGTGCCTGTATATGGGAGGCTGAGGAAGGAGAATTGCTGAAACCCAGGAGACGGAGGTTGCAGTGAGCTGAGATTGCGCCACTGCACTCCAGCCTGGGCGGCCTGGGCAACCTGGGCGACCTGACCCACAGAGCCAGACTCCATCTCAAAGAAAACAAAAAAAAAAGCAAGCAAGCATTAGAAATAGATTAATTTAAAAATACGTGCAATTTCTATTTGTATGTTTGTTCAGCTTCCTAACGTCTTCTGTTGTCTCAGAAACTCATAAAGTTGTTTTGGAAAAAATTATACAATTTTTCTGATTGCAAAAGTCATGCATGTTCAATTGAGAAAATTAAGAAAATGAGGGATGTCTTCCATCAAGCTTTTTAATAGCAACAGAACCAGATATCAGGCTGTAAAATAAGTTAGTTTCTTCAAATGCCACCAGAGGGTACTCAAACGAAACATTGCTCTATCTGGAGTGCAAGAAACAGGCTTCTATGCTGTTGAAGGAGCTCACCGGCTTTCAGTTTTAGTTTAGTTTGACAACTGATAAGGAGGAATTAAAAATTCCTAGTCAGTATAACATGTATTTGAATAAATGTCCAATTTTTGAAAAGGTTCAGCAGTATCCTTTTTGGAACCTAATTACACATTCCTGTAGATAGCAAACATTTATCAAATACATATTGGTATTATGATGGGTGCCATGGATAAAATTAGAGTAAAACTTGATTCTGACATTTCAGGATTCATATTTTCTCTGGGGGAAGAGGCATATGTAAACAAATGGATTAGAATCCAATGTGTTGTGCACCACACTAAAAATCTTTTGAAGGACAGGATTAATTCTGCTAAAGGCAGATGAATCAAAAGAATGCTTCCCAGAGGAACTGGACCTTACAGAAGTAGGCAGTTTTGGACTTCCAGGCTAATGTAGTGAATTGAACATATCCCTTTAATTTTTCTCTCTCTTGAACCCCATAAAAATAGGAGTTGTTTTGTTTTGAGACCTAAACCCACAAGGACTAGAAGAATAGGAGAGGAGACAACAGCTATGACATTTTAGAAGCTGCAAAACCAGTGGATCAGTGCAAAGTGATTTAACAAACTTGTTTCTCATAACAATATGAGAAAACAAAATCCCAAGCTGCCAGGGGGAAAGCTGAGAACAAACCACACTTATACCGCAAAATCTTCAAAGGTTGTTAACAACAATTTACTGTATATTTCGAAATATCTAACAGTGAAATTGAAATGTTCCTAACACAAAGAAATGACAGATCCTTCAGGTGATGGGTATCCCAGTTATCCTGATTGGATCATTACACATTGTATCCTTGTAACAAAATATGACATATACCCAATAAATGTGTACAACTCTTATATGTCCATAATAAAACAGGAGATCTAACACAGGACAGAGGCAGAGAGAATCCCCAAGATGATGGAGGAAGATCGCAGCATGACAGCTGTGCTCCAGGGGACAGTTGTGAGGATCGGAGCAGCGCAATTCAAGAGACAGGCACGTTGAATGCTGTTACCACCAAGATGTTGAATGCTATTGCATACTCTATTTAACAGGTGAACAGAAAGTCCAGTGAATCTAGTCAGATTTTGATGTGTGATTACTTTGCCTTTTTTTTTTTTTTTTTGAGACGGAGTCTTCCTGTCACTCAGGCTGGACTGCAGTGGCACAATCTCGGCTCACTGCAACCTCCACCTCCCAGGTTCAAGCGATCCTTGTGCCTCAGCCTCCTGTGTAGCTGGGATTACAGGTGTGCATACCCATACCTGGCTAATTTTTGTATTTTCAGTAGAGATGAGATTTCTGTGTTGGCCACGCTGGTCTCGAAATCCTGGCCTCCAGTGATCTCCCACCTTGGCCTCCCAAAGTTTTGGGATTGCAGGCACAAGCTACCACACCCAGCTGCTTACTTTCTCTTGATCAAAACTTGAGGAAGTTCCACTTTCCCCTCCAAGTCCTGCTGCTATATCAGTTGAAGATACTCATTCACCCCACAGAAGTATTGTGCTTTGAATTATGCAAGAGCTGGAGATAAAACGTGGTAAGCTAAGAAAGAGAAAACACACTGTAACTCACTGTGTCTAACCATATATCTTTCTTTTTTTTTTTTTTTTTGAGACGGAGTCTCACTCTGTCACCCAGGCTGGAGTGCAGTGACATGATCTCGGCTCACTGCAACCTCCAACTCCCGGGTTCAAGCGATTCTCCTGACTCAGCCTCCTGAGTAGCTGGAATTACAGGTGCACACCACCACGCCCAGCTAATTTTTGTGTTTTTAGTAGAGATGGGGTTTCACCATGTTGGCCAGGCTGGTCTCGATCTCCTGACCTTGTGATCCACCTGCCTCGGACTCACAAAGTGCTGGGATTACAGGCGTAAGCCATTGTGCCGGGCCTATATGTCTTCTTGATATTTGGTAATCCACGCCATAGTTCTGTCTGATGCCCTTACATGCCTACATTTCCTAGGACACACATACAGCTTTGCCCACCAATTTCCAAAGGTTTCCCATCAGCAATCAAGCAAGATGGAGCCAGGCTGTGACTTAGAGACTGTTCAGATTACCTGGGAGACTTCATCAAATAGAGACGATTTTGTCCCTCCTCATACAGCTAAGTTTGTGTTTGCATCTTAATTTTCAAAACTAAACAATATGATAGCTAGGCGCATATCCCTACATGAAAAATAGATTTTGAAAAGGCAATAAAAAAGAGACAAGTGGGGGCTCCTAATGCACTAAGTTCTATTTCTCAGTGGGGATGATAGATGCAAAAAGCATTTCATTAATAGTAGTATGTTACTTATATGTTGTTAAAAGTTCATTTGTGTATATAATACATTTTACCATTTGTAAAAGTACAGAAGAGAAAAACATTATTTGCAAAAAATTATAAGCCTCTATTTTGCTCTAAATAATATAATTATAAACTTGAATGTTTTATTAAACTATGGCAAAATATAATAATGAGGAGGAAGTTTCCAGGCAGAGGAGGCGGGGGTATACTTCAGGAAATTCGCAGAAAGGGGAGGAGGCTTGAAGGTACCTGCCATGGTACTCGTGGGACCAATAATCAAAGATGCAATGGAAGGCAATAGCCTGTTCCCAGAAAACATTCCTAGTGCGAGAGCAAGCAAGATTAATGGCACGTCTTGGCAAATTTTTGAATTAAAATGATAAAAGATTACAGAATTATCCAGGTGTAAAAATACTAGAACTCTTTTTTCTTTTCTTTTCTTTTCTTTTTTTTTTTGACACAAGGTCCCACTCTGTCACCCAGGCTGGAGTGCAGTGGCACAATCACAACTCACTGCAGCCTCAACCTCTCAGGGCCAAGCGATCCTCCCACCTCGGCCTCCTGAGTAGTTGGGACTACAGGTGTGTGCCACAAGCCCGGCTAATTTCTGTAATTTTTTAGAGATGGGGTTTCATCATGTTGCCCAGGCTGGTCTCAAGCTCCTGGGCTCAAGTGATCTGCCTGCCTCGGCCTTTCAAAATCCTGGGATTACAGACATAGCCATCACACCCAGCAAAAACTAGAACTCTTAAAACAGCAAAAATTAGATAGGCCTCAAATTTATCTGAAATACTAAATTCCAGAAGCCAATAAACAACATTTACAACATTTTGAGGGAAAAAGTTTACACTCTAAGAATTTTATTGTCAACCAAGGTATCTGTCGTTTGTGAGGTAAACAAAAATTCTTAGCTATGCAAGGGCCCATTAAAAAATGTTTGAATAAGTACTCTAGGCAATTGAAAATTATTACATTTAAAATGGAGATTTCATGATGGAATTTTGTAGGGTTTTATTGAAGGCATTTCTTTGGTCATTGTCAAAATCACAAAGCTCAATATTATAGAAACCATATGACAATAGCCCTTAAATTTTAGTGTGTGTGAGAATCCCGAGGAACTCCATAATAATGTAGATTCCTGGGGTCCTTATTTCAGGATTTGACTTTATAGATCTGGGTAGCCTCAGAATCTTCATTTGTACCTCACATTGCAGGGATTCTGAGTAGGTATTAAGAATAACCATATTTTAATGGAAATAGGACAAGATTAAACTGCTAAGTTTCAGTCTTAGTGACAAAACCACTGATATTAAGAAAAGAAAGGGAAATTTCAAGAATATTTAAATTCTGTAATCAGAAGAAGCACTGTGCATCTAAAACATGATGATATTTTCAACTTACGATGGATGTGTGAGGTCATAACCCCACAGTAAGTTGAGGAGTATCTGTACCTTATCAAATGCCAGCACACAGGCTGGAGCATTCATTACCCATTCCTGTCTGAATCAACTATCATTATGGTACTCCTTAAACAATGACTTTAACTTTTTTTTTTTGACACAGAGTCTCACTTTGTTGTCCAGGCTGGAGTGCAATGGCACAATCTCGGCTCACTGCAACCTCCACCTCCCGGGTCCAAGTGATTCTCCTGTCTCAGCCTCCAGAGTAGCAGGATTACAGGCACCTGCCACCAAGCCCAGTTAATTTTTGTATTTTTAGTAGAGATGGGGTTTCACCATGTTGGCCAGGCTGGTCTCAAACTCCTGAGCTCAGGTGATCCACCTGCCTCAGCCTCCCAAAATGCTGGTATTAGAAGCGTGAGCCACCACGCCCAGCCTTAAATGATGATTTTTTCTATTTCCATAATTCCTTCTGTAGTTGACATTCTACTACAAAGAGATGCTTTCCTGTTTAATTTACATATATATATATATATATGTCAGTATGGACTCATGGCTTCCTATTTTATTTGAGGAAATGTAATCCATTTCTATCATTTTTTTAGGGGAGGGGGATGACACAGATTAACCTAGATTTGGCCAAGGGAGTTTCTTCAAGCTGCTTCCTATGTCCTTTTGACATGTTCCCATTATTTTTTTTTTTAGCATTTTCTTACATTCTTGTGCAACAAACTGTTTCAAGCTCATTCTGTCTTTCCCTTGTCCTGGCCCAGGAATTTGCCAGTTCTCTAAGGAGTCCTGGGTCTTTTATTGAAAAATTTTTTTTTTTTTTGAGGTGGAGTCTCACTCTGTCACCCGGGTTGGAGTGCAGTGGCACAATCTTGGCTCACTGCAACCTCAGCCTCCTGGATTCAAGCGATTCTCCTGCCTGTGCCTCCCCAGTAGCTGGGATTACAGGTGTGTGCCACCACTCCTGGCTAATTTTTTAAAAAATTTTTAATAGAGTCAGGGTTTTGCCATGTTGGGTTGGCCAGTCTGGTCTTGAACTCCCGACTTCAAATGATCCACCCGCCTCGGCCTCCCAAAGTGCTGGGATTTCAGGCGTGAGCCACTGCGCCTGGCCTAGTGAAGAATATACTCATTGCTACAGTAGGGTCATTGCTTCTGAGACCTCTCATTAACGGAGATGGAAGACACACACATACACATACTCTATATAAATATTTCCATCTTTATGTATCTTTGCCTATATAAATATGAGTTCACACTGATATCATCAGTTTCAACCCCACACCTCAAGGTTTTTCTCAGCCTTTTATATTTGTAATCTCTTCCTCCACAGTAAAATATCTGCCTTTAATTTTTCCCAATGTAGTTATTTACTTGCATATTTCAATATTCCTATCATTTTATCTCAGTCTCCACGGTCTCTGCTGTCTCCTTGCACAGCCATCTTATTTCCGTTTAAATCTCTGCAGGATCTATGACTTGTTATGTTTATTGAGAGGAAATAACCTTCTCAAAATAATCCAGAGGATGCTCACCTGCTAAAAATTTAGCTCTCCACTGGGAGTGGTAGATGTAATGCCTGTAATCCCAGCCTTTGGGAGGCTCATGCCTGTAATCCCAGCACTTTGGGAGGCCAAGGCAGGTGGATCACTTGAGGCCACGAGTTCGAGACCAGCCTGGCCAATATGATGAAACCCCACCTCTACTAAAAAATTACAAAATTTATCCAGGTGTGGTGGCATACTACAGTAATCCCAGCTACTTGGGAGGCTGAGACATGAGAATCACTTTAGCCCGTGATAAGGAGGTTGCAGTGAGCCAAGATCATGCCCCTGCACTCCAGCCTGGGGGACAGAGTGAGACTGTCTCAAAAAAAAAAAAAAAATAAATAAATAAAAACTTAGCTCTCATTTAACCTCCTAGAGATGTGACTTTCAGCTACAAAATGTGTGATCACACTATTATAAAACATTGAATTAATTTTTCATTCTACAAAATATGTTCATTGAAAAAAATTGGAATTTGTTTACTGACATAAATGAACTCACCAGACTTGTGTTCAGCAATTGTTCATTACATGATTATGTAGAATATTTTATTAGTCAGAAAACACCGGGCTCTCTGGTGTTTTGCTTTCTCTTTCAGCCTGCTCAGTGTAAAATGTATTTTTAGCAGATCCAAACACAAACACAATAGGAAAACTGGTTATATGATACACTTATTAAGTGCTTTCATGATAAAGAAATAATATTATTGCAATTTTAACACCCGTTTGCTGATCAGATCCTTAAAACAGTTCTGTGAGGGTGTGAACGGTGAGGGACGCCTGTAATCCTAGCACTTTGGGGGCCAAGGTGCAAGGATTGCTTGAGGCCAGGAGTTCAAGACCAGTAAGGGCAGCATAGCAAGACCCCATCTCTACAAAAAATTAAACAATTAGTCAAGTGTGGTGGCAGCACCTGTAGTCCCAGCTAACCAGGAGGCTGAGGTGGGAGGATCCCTTTAGCCCAGGAAGTTGAAGCTGCAGTGAGCTATGATCGCACCACTGCACTCCAGCATGTGTGACAAAGCAAGTCCCTGTCTCTAAAAACAGCATACAAAACAAAAACAGTTCTGTGAGTTGTCACGGCAGTTAGGTACTGTGGATCCCACTTTATGGAATAAGAAAGTGAGGCTGCAAGGAATCCGTGACTATCAGTCCAGGCTTTTAAGAGCTGGGAATTGACTGGTCCAATTAGAACTACATTCCCTATTCCAATTCCATCAAACTTTTCAACTTTCAATAGAAAAGACAGTGCAAAGAAAGAGGCTGAATTTATACAACAACAACAAAAATTATGTCTCTCCCAGTCCATGAAAATATTTCAGGTTTAAAAAGCAATAAGCTGGCCAGGTGCCATGGCTCACACCTGTAATCCCAACACTTTGGGAAACCGAGACAGCTGGATCATTTGAGGTTAGGAGTTCCAGACTAGTCTGGCCAATATGGCAAAACCACATCTCTACTAAAAATACAAAAGTTAGCCAGGCATGGTGGTGCGTGCCTGTAGTCTCAGCTACTCAGGAGGCTGAGGCAGAAGGATTGATTGAGCCTGGGAGGTGGAGGTTGCAGTTAGCGGAGATCGTGCCACTGCATTCCAGCCTGGGTGACAGAGTGAAACTGTCTTGAAAAATAAAGTAAAATAAAATAAGCCTTTTTCTGTAAAAAGTCAGCCCTGGAGGAATGGTTCCAAGCGTGTGGACAGCACCACTCAGTTTCCCTACTATACCTGTGGAAGGAAATGATAGTTGCTGTATTTCTAAATAGGTTGACTATTAACATTGCTGCATTCTCCTTCCCAAGAAACACCATGGCCTGATACACTCACTGCGGCCCCATGTGGGGCAAAATTGCTGCCATCCATATCTTTTTTTTTTTTTTTTTTGAGACAGTATCTCACTCTGTCACCCAGGCTGGAGTGCAGTGGTGCAATCACAGCTCACCGCAGCCTCAATTTCCTGGGCTCAAGCGATCCTCCTACCTCAGGCTCTGGAGTAGCTGGGCATGAGCCACCACATCTGGCTGGTTTTTGCTTTGTTCTATTTTTGTTTGTTTTGTAGAGACGGGGGTCTCTCTATGTTGCTCAGGCTGGTCTCGAACTCCTGGCCTTAAACAATCCACCTGCCTCGACCTCACTAAGTGCTGGGATTACAAGCGTGAGCTATTGTGCCCAGCCTTGCCACCCATATCTTTGCTTCCTGTGGCTGAGTTTCAAAGCATCATGAACCTGAAATAAGAGGTCACAAGTTCACTGCTCGGCTTAAGCTGAATGGCAGCTAATCCATTCCAAATAGATGAAAATCTCTTCTACTCTGAAAGTAAGCTAGAAAAGATATCCCACAATATCGAATTCATTAAAGCTCTCTGTGAAAGAAGGATAATGGGTGATCCTTTTGTTTTGGTTCCACTTGCTTATTTCAAACTACCCACATGTTGTGTTTTCTGTTCACAATAGTTAACAATGGCTAACATTTATTGAGCACTGTTCTAAGTGCTCTTCACATATAAAAGATGTAAAAATGAGGCTCCTTCTTTCCCAGTTTGGCTGAGGCATGAGGATAATAGATACTAAATACCAAAGTGAGTTTTCACACAGACCACCCCAGAGGGCTTATAAAGTAGGATTTAGTCAAAAACTAGTTACACAATTTTGGACTACTTCCACTAAGTCAAATACAGTCCTGGCCCGGACACAGTGGCTCACGCCTGTAATCCCAGCACTTCGGGAGGCTGAGGGAGGCAGATCACCTGAGGTCAGGAGTTCAAGACCAGCCTGGCCAACATGGTGAAACCCTTTCTCTACTAAAAATACAAAAATCAGTCAGGCGTAGCGCATGCCTGTAATCCCAGCTACTCAGGAGGATGAGGCAGGAGAATTGCTTGAACCTGGGCGGCGGAGGCTGCAGTGAGCCAAGATCATGCCACTGCACTCCAGCCTGAGCAAAGGAGCGAGACTCCATCTCAAACAAACAAAAACAAAAAAGAAATACAGTCCTGCAGTGAATAATGACTTTTCAGTCAATGACACACTGCACATACGTTGATGGTCCCAAGAGATTATAATATTGTAGCTTTAGTATACCTTTTTTAATATTCAGATATACTTAGATATACAAATACTAATAGTATGGAAATTGCTCACAGTTTTCAGTGCAATCGCATGCTGTGCACGTTCATAGCCTGAGAGCAATAGGCTGTCCCACATGGCCTAGGTGTGTTGTAGGCTAGATCATCTATGTTTGTGTGCGTGCCCTCTATGATGTTCGCACAATGATGAGATCATGTAACAATGCATTTCTCAGAAGTATCCCTGTCATTAAGTGATACATGGCTATATATTAAAAAGTTGAAACTGAGGGAAAAAAATTGAAGAAACTGTGTCTAGAAAGAGGTGCTGTATGGGTCCTTTATCACATGCAGCAATGGGGACTGGTAGGGATGCCTCCTCTTCATGTCAGGTCAAGAGAGACTTTACTAGGACCGAGTAGAGCTTGGTTTGTGTCCCCTGGGAGGTGGAAGCACAGTAGACTACAGTCTGACTTGCATCCAGAGAATCTAGAGGTCAAGAGAGAAGGGCAGTCTGGAAAAGACATTAACAGGGTGAAGGAGAGTTCCTTCTGCACTGAGGTCAGCTTGCACTCCCAAAGTATGTCAGGACAAAAAATTCAAGTGTGGACCATGAGGGAGAGGAGGATGGCTTGGAGCTTGTTTAAACTCTGGTCAAGGGACGCCTGGAAGAACAGGGGTCTTCAACAGAGATTCTGTGCACGGTGGATAGCTACACACACACATGCATGCACGCACGCACACGCACACACACACACACACACACACACACCCACACACACACACACACGGCTGAGAGAAAAGCAACCAGGAGCAAATACATTGCCCTCAACATGGGAAGCACAGTTGAAAGTCACGGTGAAATCTGAAGCACCAGGAAGAAAAGGTCACCTTTAACCATTTGCCAAACCCAGAAAGTGAGAACATAGCCTACAAGAGTGTCACTTAAGGTGAAGGTTTCTGGCCACACCCTAACCTTTTCTGTCCTAACCCAACCTAACCCACTTCAATTGATGAGAAACTATGGTTATCAAATTGGGACTGCAGGGGTAAGGTGACCGTCTAGAAGAGAATCATACCCCCTAAACCTGGCTCCGTAGCAAAAGACCCCAGCTAGGGGGAACTTTCCCTAAAACTGGAAGCTTTTATTATTACATGGGATGTGACATTCTAAATCTAGAAATGAGAGTGTGTTTTGCAACTTAATGTGGTTGTAGAACTTTTTATTACCTAAGGATGGTCAGAAGCATTAGAGAACCACCTGATTTCACATTTAGGGGCAGGAAAAGAGTTTCTCCTGCTGAAGAAATTTTAAATAAACAATGAGAAACAAAATAAAGGTGGTTTCTTATCATGGCCCATGAATATTGCTTATACAACCTTTTGGTCATGTATGAGTTATTGTATTTAATCCCCACAGAAACCCAGTGAGGTAGGTCCATTGTTATCTTCATTTCACAGATGAGGAAATAAAACACAGAGAACTTCAGCAACTTGCCTAAGGCCACACAGACAATAAATGGTAAAGCTGGGATTTGACTACAAGGCTTAAATGCATCATAATACAGTAAGAATATTTTAAAATATATTTCCTGTCTTTGTTCTAGGTTCCAGAGAATCTCCTCCCTACTCGATACTTGTTTTGTGATGCAAACGCCCCTATTTGCATGATCATAATAGTGTGAAATTAGGTGATTCTTTATTAACCTTAAAGCAACCAATCAACCATTAGCAGTGGATGCTCACAACAGCTCTGAGTGATACAGAGAACAGATACAATTATTATTATTCCCCTTATACAGAAAAGGGGGATTTCCCCTTTCAGGAAAACTGAACGCAGAGAGAGAATTAATTCAGGGGATGTTGACAAAGGTGTGGGGTATGCTAGAAGAGCAAAAGAGAGAAGAGGGGTGTTACCCAGAGGGTAGAAGCTGCAGCAGTCCCCGGGCTGGAGCTGCTGAATGTCTGGAGACGTCCCCACTGCTGGGGAGCGGAAGCCAATCCTGTGTCTCCGCTGGAGCCTCAGATGCTTCTCGGGCCCCCTGTTGTATACAGTCACTGGTACCGCTGCCGCTGGAGCCAGAAGTAGGATGGCTTCTCCCTGTCTCGCACCTGCTCATCTTCCCCTGGAGTTAGGGAACATAGGCAATGACACAAAGGAAGGCAGAGAAGGGTGGGAGTTTGGCAGAGAACCAGCAGACACTGTGGCTTGGAGGCAAATGGAGATTTGTTGATAACTAGAGTTAGGGGCAGTCAGGACTAGAAGCCAGGCGTGAAGTTCAGGAGGCCCCAAGGCCACTTTCACTTCAGATACTAACTGCAAGTTCAGGGATCCTCAAGACCACCCACAGATTTGACAATCTGTTGGAAGGACTCACAGAACTCACTGAAAGCTGTTATACTCACAGTTGTGGCTTATCACAGTGAAAGAATGCAAATTTAAATCAGCTGAGGGGGCGGGGCGTGGTGGCTCACACCTGTAATCCCAGCACTTTGGGAGGCCAAGGCAGGCAGATCACCTGAGGTCAGGAGTTCGAGACCAGCCTGGCCAAAATGGTGAAACTTCATCTCTACAAAAACACAAAAAAATTAGCCAGGTGTGCTGGTGGTGGCACATGCTTGTAATTCTAGCTACTTGGGAGGCTGAGGCAGGAGAATTGCTTGAACCTGGGAGGCAGAGGTTACAGTGAGCTGAGATTGCGCCACTGCACTCCAGCCTGGGCGACAAGAGTGAAACTCTGTCTCTAAATAAATAAATAAACTGAGGGAAGAGGCATATGGGGAAGAGTCCAGGAGAGCTCCACGTGCAAAGCTTCCAGTTGTTCTTTCCCAGTGGAGAACTAACTCAGCAGTGATGTGTGAGGATATGCATGAATTGCCACCCAGAGAAGCTCACCTGAGCCTCAATGTCCACAGTTTTTACTGGGGTTCTGTCACATCGACATGGTCAGTTTCCAGCCCTTCCGGAGGCTGAGCTGGAGCTGTGTGGCCCAAAGCCTGCATTATCGATTACATTGTTAGCATAGGTTATGGAGCTTGTTCCAAAGTCCTCAGGTAAACATTCTTATCAAGCAGGATATTCCAGTGGTTTAGAGATTATCTTCCAGGAGCTGAGGGCAAAGGCCAGACCCCTGTATGGGCAAAGTTAATCCTCTCCTGCATATGAGGTCTTCCCCCTCTCAACTTGGTGGTACTTTCAATGCTCTCAAGCTCCTTATTTGATCCTCAAAGCCGCATTATAGCATAGCCAAGGGATGCAAAAAGACAACTAAAAAAAATTCTATCAACTTTGCAGGGCATACAATATTAAGTAATTTCAAGTATAAAGTGTATTTTCAATTAGCATATGAGTTCACTTTTATATAATGTGTAGTAATATTTAAAATATATAGAAACATTTAGTTTTTTTCCCACTTAACAATTGATACATACTATTCATTTAAATCAGGTTGGGCACAGTGGCTTATGCCTGTAATCCCAGCACTTTGGGAGGCTGAGGCAGGTGGATCATTTGAGGTCGGGAGTTCAATACCAGCCTGGCCAACATGGCAAAACCCCATCTCTACTAAAAATACAAAAATTAGCCAAGCATGGTGGCACATGCCTGTAATCCCAGCTACTCAGGAGGCTGAGGCATGATCACTTGAACCCGGGAGGTGGAAGTTGCGGTGAGCCGAGATGGCGCCACTGCACTCCAGCTAACAGTGACAGTCCATCCAGAATAATTAATTAATTAATTAAGTAGCAAAAACATGCTTTATAAACAAATTAATTCAAGAAGAATATATATGATATTTAGCCTTAGGATCAAACATATATTAAAAACTGGTTTAAAATTTAAAATTGCATACTACTGTATAAACAGATTGCCTTTAGCACATTAAATAGGAAATTCACTTACTATAATTTCCATGTTTTGTTTCTAAGTTATCAATTCAGAGGAAATATTTCAAGCTTCTAAATACAGGTATTTCTGTGCAAACAACGTATTTCAGGTGCTAATGTTTACTTTTGATAAATAAGAAGTCAAATTAAATTTAATAGGCACCATATTTTCTCTCTTAATATATTTTGAAGTACAAGAAGTATTTTGTTGTGCTAAATAACACTTTTGTTGAGATGAATACAACATACAAACTGCAAATATCTCCTTGAAATAAATTTGCATAATTATTATCATTTTAATAATCCTCAGCAAGTTGTTGGATTTTGACATCTGTATGCTTCTTACCTTTAACGAATGATGTTGATATGAATTTTAAAACAAGAAAGTGAGAATAAAATAACTTTATATGTATGGTTGGAGTATTTTTTAAGCTTCTATAACAAAAATACCATAAAATGCATGGCTTAAAGATCATAAGGTTTATTTCTCTCTTATTTAACGTCTGTAGGTGAGTGGTTTCATTGAGGGTGAGATCTGTTCCGCATGTATTCTGAGAGCCAGTTGTTCTGCCATCCCATGAGACAGAATGACTAGAAAAAAGAAACCATGTTGCTTCTTAAGTTTTTTGTGACAAGGTCCCCTTTGACAGTCTGGTGAAGCTTATGGACTATCTCAGAATAATTTTTTTCTTTTTATCATTATTATTATTATTTAATACAGATAAGGTCTTGCTATGTTGACCAGGCTGGTCTCAAACTCCTGGCCTCAAGTCATCCTCCCATGTCGGCCTCCCATAGTGCTTGGATTACAGGTGAGAGCCACCATGCCTAGCCTCAGAATAATTTTTTCAAAGATATAAAAGAAAATGTATAGGATTATAAAAGATAGCAATTATATTGAAATATATTCATCACAATGCTTATAAAGCAAATGTGTGAATTACTAATATATTTGCTTCTTTATTAATACATTAAATAGAAAGATCTAGTAGGGTCAAATTGTCTCGTATCACAATTTCAAACTGGTGAAGAGCACAAATAATATTTTGAGATATCTTCAGCTGAAATGTGAAATAAAAATACCTTTCTATTGGTCACAAAGTTACCTGTACTCTTAATACTGTGGTTACTTTCCTGTATTCATAATTGAAAAACACAATTTCAGTTAGAGTTAAATTGAAATGAAGACTTTTTTTCCCTGATTTAACTTCATTAACCCACATGGTTTATATCCCCAAATTCCTTGAGTATTCATAAAACCCTGATTAACAGCTCCTGGGCTGGGCACGGTGGCTCATGCCTGTAATCCCAGCACTTTGGAAGGCTGAGGCAGGCAGATCACTTGAGGTCGGGAGTTTGAGGCCATCCTGGCCAATGTGGCAAAACCCTGTCTCTACTAAAAATACAAAAATTAGCTGGCCGTGGTGGTGCGAGCCTATAATCCCACCTACTTGGGAAGCTGAGGCAGGAGAATCTCTTGAACCCAGGAGGTGGAGGTTGCGGTGAGCTGAGATCAAATCACTGCACTCCAGCCTGGGTGAAAGAGCGAGACTCCATCTAAAAAAAAAAAAAAATAACAAAAAAACAAAACAAAAAAACTGACCTAGGGCTATGAATTAATCTACATAATCAAAGTCAAGCAGCAAACATAGCTATTTTCTGATTCAAGAAAGGGAAAAAATGAAAATCTGTAACAATTTGGGGGGAAGTAAAGGCCAAGTTTTGGGGAGTGTTTTAAGGAAGTAAGACCAAAAAAGAATTTTTTTTTTTTTTGAGATGGAGTCTCACTTTGTTGCCCAGGCTGGAGTGCAGTAGAGTGATCTCGGCTCACTGCCACCTCCACCTCCCGGGTTCAAGTGAATCTCCTGCCTCAGCCTCCCCAGTAGCTGGGATTACAGGCGTGTGCCACCACGCCTGGCTAATTTTTGTATTTGTAGTAGAGATGGGGTTTCACCATGTTGGACAGACTGATCTTGAAGTCTTGAGCTCAAGTGATCCACCTGCCAGCTTCAGCCTCCCAAAGTGTTGGGATCATAGGCGTGAGCCACTGAGCCCGGCTGAAATCAAAATTTCGTGCATTATTTCCTCTCACAATTCACTGATGAAAACTTAGCTGGATGGCCACACCTAGCTGTAAAAAAGGCTGGGGTAGGCAGGGTGTGATGGCTCATACCTATATTCACAGCACTTTGGATGCCTGAGGTGGGACGATCACTTGAGAACAGGAGTTCAAGACCAGCTCGGGCAAAAACCACATATCTGCAAAAAAATCTAACAACCAGCCAGGCGTGGTGGTGTGTGCCTGTAGTCCCAGCTGCTTGGGAGGCTGATGTGGAGGGATCGTTTAAGCCAGTAGGTTGAGGCTTCAGTGAGCCATGATTGCACCACTGCACTCTAGCTTGGGTGAAAAAGCAAGACCCTGTCAGAAGAAGGAGAAGGAGAAGGAGGGGGAGAAGGAGAACAAGGGGGAAGAGAAGGGGTTGGGGAGGGTGAAGGGGGAGGGGAGGTGAAGGGGAAAGGGAGGAGGGAGGAGGGAGGAAAAGAAGGAGGAGGAGGAGAAGAAGAAGACTGGGAAATACAATTTTTAGCTGGCTCACCATTTTCTAATGAAGAAGGGGAAAATGGATGTGGGGTGACAACAAGCAGCCTGCCATGCTCCATGGTAGTCAGAGACAACATGGTGGGCTGTTGTGCTCAGCTGGTGCTAACTCAATAGAGTGACCGTGTCATCAGCCTTTTTATCTGATCCCCCAATTGCTCCATATGGTTAGTTGGTACATACTCAAAGGCTCTCAGGTGAGAGACATTTGTCAAGATCACCTCTAAAACTAGAGAGTGAAAGAGTTGCCATGATACCCTCTTAAAATCCCAGGTATCCACATACTTCTGAGAAATGTTGCCCTCAACCAAACAGAAAGGCACGAGACCCTGGAGACAATATGTCCTAGCACTGACCCCTAGGGGACACACCACGTTCTTCTCTCCACCTGTTCTGCAGCCCAGCTCTCCCCTCACTGCACCGTTTAGGGGCAGGAACGCGGATCTGTAGGGGTCAGAGGCCAGGGCATTTGTTTCCACTGTCACGGGGGTGAGGTCTCTGTGTTTGTGATTCAGACATTTGGGGGATTTGCTTTCTCTTCCATAACGCTGGCCCAAAACTGCATCTGTTTGGGGGTTGCTGCATCCCAGGAAGCAGGGTGGTGGAGAAACCACGGATAGGTGGGTGGTGGCGAAACCACGGATAGGTGGTTGGTGGCAGATGGGGGAGTACTGGCAAGTTCCCAAGTGCAGAGGTAGCGATGCCTGCATCAGCAACCACTATCTCGTGCCAGCATCAGCCATGGTGAGCATTGTGGTCTTGTGTCCAATGCCCACTGCACTGGTGTCCTCACTGACTGACTTCTGCTCCTGCCTGCCACCAAAGCTTTGACTTTAAGCCTGCTTCTCCCATCTGCTCAGCACGAGCCGGAGCTCCTGAATAGCCTTCTGCTAAATTTCTTCCTTCCAAAGTTATTGGAGTTGGATTCTGTTGCTCACAAATAAGATTCCTGACAGATAACAGTTTGAGGGGATTAGAGACACTCCAATCTAGCTCTCAGGAGGAAGCGTATTCCTTCTTTTTCCTTGGATTTGTCTTATTACATTGAGCTGTTCACGAGGCTGTGGCTTGCGCTGGGCTTAGAGGAAAGGGAGTCTAAGACGCCGTTCATCCCACTTTTACTGGTGCAGCTCCTTGAGCCTATCTCTATCCAGGCGAAATGAATCCTTCACATCATTTACCCCAGCTCACAACTCTCTGGAGGCTTAGAGCGAAAGCCTAATCATAGCAATGACAGCCAGCTTTGTCTGCTCTCATTCTCCCTCGCACCACCCCCCTCCCCACGTTTGGAAAGGATTTAAGTGATTAGGAGCCTGGCTCTCCCAGACGCTTCTTTCCATCTGAGCTCCACAGATCACTTTATCACCTTTCACCAAACTGGTAGACTGTGCGTTATACAAGAAGACAATCTGAGTCCATTTTGTGGAGCGCTTGGGGCCAGAAAGTGCTGGCTACACAAGTCTGGAATTAGTATTTATAGAGCATAAATCAACAGAAATTATAGACATGGAATATTCTGAGAGAAAATAAATAAAAGCTAGTATGGGCTTTTGTGGAGGAGGATTAACAAGACGCGGTTCAAGGCTGGGAATGCCAGAAAAAGACTGGGGACAGATCCAGTTATGAACATGGAAATCCATGAAACTGCCTCCCCCAATCTATGTTCAAAGGAAAAGCTCTCAGCAAATATAAAATGATTTTTAAAAAATTTTTTGCTTTGAATTTCAGAATTTGCACTTATTTATGGAGGCAAATATGTTGTATATAAACTTCTAATCCAATGTTTTTATTCTCTAAAATGACAATGAGGATGATGACGAAACACCAGTCATTTACTGGGCACTTTGTTTGTTTGTTTTTGAGAAGGAGTATTGCTCTGTCGCCCAGGCCGGAGTGCAGTGGCATAATCTTGGCTCACTGCAACCTCTACCTCCCGAGTTCAAGCAATTCTCCTGCCTCAGTCTCCCAAGTAGCTGGGACTACAGGTGTGCACAGCCACGCATGGCTAATTTTTGTATTTTTAGTAGAGATGGGATTTCACCATGTTGGCAAGGACGATCTTGATCTCCTGACCTTGTGATCCACCCGCCTTGGCCTCCCAAAGTACTGAGATTACAGGCATGAGCCATAGTGCCCAGCCTAATTTTTGTATTTTTAGTAGAGGCGGGGTTTTGCCATGTTGGTCAGGCCGGTCTTGAACTCTTGACCTTGGTGATCCGCCCACCTCGGCCTCCCAAAATGCTGGGATTACAGGCATGAACCACCGTGCCCAGCCAACTGTTTTTTTTTTTTTTTTGGGGGGGATGCAGTCTCTCTCTGTCTCCCAGGCTGGAATGCAGTGGCACGATCATGGCTCACTGCAGCCTCAACCTCCTGGGCTCAAACGAACCTACTGCCTCAGCTTCCCAAAGCGCTGGGACCACATGCATGAGCCACTATGCCTTGGGCCTGTCTGTTGGGCACTGTCAAGCACCATGCTAAGTGATTTACACATACTAGCTCATTTAATCTTCACACCTGTATATGGCTGGTGCTATAGTTTCCCTCCTTTTAAAGATGACACTGAGTCTTAGATAAGATAGCCAGCTCAACATCATATAACTAGTTAATATCTCAGGACTTAGCCTCCTTTTTTCCCAGCACTTATATGTATTTAATTACTTTCTGGAAGCGCCCAGTGGGAAAATGTTCACTCTTCTTTTGTTTCCAGCTGCCAGATTGGTATTCTCCACCCCAAATGCACATTAGAATCACCTTATCAGCCTTTAAAAATTTTTGATGCCAGGGTCATGCACTCGGTCAATTAAGTCAGAATACCATGCGTGTATTTCACTGTAGAGCAAGTTAAGCTAACTACTGGATTAGGATGGAAAAAGAAAATGAAACGGCCATTGCATTGAAACTACAATGGTAAATTCCTGGTTAGGAGAGTGGGGATTAGAGCCACTAGGGGATAAGGACTACAGAATCTGCTTTTAGCTCCAATAAGCAAGAGGTTAAGTGGAGGAAGCAATGCATTAAACAAACGCGGAGTCGCTTCTCTTTTTCATAATGTGTCTCACAAGCACTGAATTTGAAGGGAGAAAACAATGAAAATTTAGGGGTAATTCTCAAAAATAATCTCCCTGGGGACAGATAGTACACAAAAGCAAGGACATAAGACTAATAAAACCATTGCTAACATTTATCAAGAAAAAAAGAACACCATAGGAATGGGCCCTGGCATTCATATTTTATAAAGTCTTCCCGAGAGATTCTGTCGTGCAGCCAAGGTTGAGAATGATTGCCTCATCTCCTTCCTCGCAATCCAGTTTTCCTACCCTGCACATCTCCACTTTGCTATTTGGTATATGGCATACAGCATCTGCCTATGAGTTATGGGATTGCCAGACAAGCAAACGGCATGCAGCCCTGCAGAAGGGATACTGTCCTCAAGCTAGCTTGCAACGGTTTCTACAGGCGGGCAGCTGTTCGAAGTTGAAGAGATGGGATACTGGATCCCATCCCACCCATTTCATTCAGCTCATCCCTGGACATGTATTTCCTGCAGTGTTATTCCCCGTGGCTGAGCTTCTAAGAGCTCCTGCACCTGCACTTGGGGCCAGCTCAGTTATAAAATGCCTAGAAAACTTTTGGAGACTTTGCTCTTTTTCTCTGTGAATAAACTCATCATTTCAATGCCAAGCTTCTCATTGGGATTAGTTTACCAGCTTTAGACTTTTTTGTTTCTTTTTTCTTTTTTTTTTTTAGACGGAGTTTCATTCTTGTCACCCAGGCTGGAGTGAAATGGTGTGATCTCAGCTCACTGCAACCTCCACCTCTCGGGTTCAAGCAATTCTCAGACTTCCAAGTAGTTGGGATTACAGGCACCTGTCACCATGACAGGCTAATTTTTGTATTTTTAGTAGAGACGCGTTTTCACCATGTTGGCCAGGCTGGTCTTGAACTCCTGACCTCAGGTGATCCAACTACTTTGGCCTCCCACAATGCTGGGATTACAGGTGTGAGCCACTATGCCTGGCTCGGCTTTTGACTTTTAAGTGAGTCTGGTTTTTCAGCAACTTCACCTTCCTTCTTGGACTCAAATCTCAAGTCAGTGAATAAAATTCATAATGTTCCTGTTGGAGAAAGAGTTATATCTTTTTCTTTTTCTTTTTTTTTGCTAGGCAGGGTCTTGCTTTGTCACCCAGGCTTGAGTGCAGTGGCGTGATCATGGCTCAAAGCAGCCTCGCTCTTTAGCTCAATCAGTCTTCCTGAGGTAGAACAATAGGCCCTGGAAGGAAAACCCTAACTTTCCACACCTAAGTGACAAGGACCAGAGGCTACTCCCTTTGCAAACCCGTCTTTTCTGCTCGGGCAGATGGGAAATTGAAAGTACCTCTGATTGCAACCAATCAGACGTTTGCATAGGAGTGTAACTTTGAAACTTTACTTTAGCCTCTGACTGTTAGCTTTCCAAGACCAATCTCTGATTGCCAGCCAAGTCTTGGTTTGCATAGAAGAGCAACTTTGTAACTTCGCTTTACCCTCTGATTGTTAGCTTTGCGAGACCAATCAGATGTGTGCATAGGAGTGTGACCTTTGTAACTTCACTTCAGCCTCTGATCGGTTACTGTCCGTAACCAATCACACTGATTGTGAGCCACCGCTCCATTTACATGAGGTGAACACCAAGTGGCCAATGGGAAACCTCTAGGGGGTATTTGAACCCAAGAAGATTCTGCATCTGGGCCCTTGAGCTGCTGCTCCAACTGCTCCCACACTGCGAAGTGTACTTTTACTTTCAATAAATCTCTGCTTTCTTTGTTTCATTCTTTCCTTGCTTTGCTGTGCATTTTGTCCAATTCTTTGTTCAAAAATGCCATTAACCTGGACAACTTGCAGGCAAGACCCTCTATGAATAAGTACAGCTCAGCCTCCTGGGAGTACAGTCACATGCCCTATGCCCAGCTAATTTACAAAATTTTTGGTAGAGACTGGGTGTTGTTATGTTGCTCAGGCTGCTCTTGAACTCCTGGGCTCAATCAAGCAATCCTCCCATCTCAGCATACCAAAGTGTTGAGATTACAAGCATGAGCCACCACACCCAACCAAGTTCCATCTTTTAGAACAGTGGTTTTTAAAGTAGGATTTTTTTTTTCACAATATTGGGGTAGCACTGTTGGCATGGGACAGTTCTGTCAAATTCTGAATATCCCAACAGATGTTTGTGTAAGAAAAACAAACTAAGCACCCTATGTATAATTATCTGCATCTAGACCTCAACTCTATTTTACATATAAACACGAAATGTGTTTTGTGTAATTTTAATATACAACAAATTTCCACACATGCAACTACAATGTGAAAAGAAGGAAGATTATACTTTGTTTTGCTTGCTTTACTGACAGCTGTTTGCCATTTTAGAGAATATCATTGCTGATTTGGGATATTTTACTTGCCAATATGAGGCACTTCCATGGTGATTCTATGACATTTAAGGGCAATCATCTGTCTAATTCTTCATGTCTTCTCTCGTGGGGTCCCTGTACTATGTCATTATTCATCACTTTCCTTTTAGTCCTTTATTTCTTAGAGCATTGTATTGATTATTTTAACAATTATGTTGTAGGTAAATGATATTAACTAAGAATTGCATTTCAGAATTGTTAAGGAGGTGTTAAGGATATTTGTTACATGGCAAACACATGAAAAGATGCTCCACCTCATATATCATCAGGGAAATGCAAATGAAAACAACGAGATATTACAACACACGTATTAGAATAGCCAAAATCTTGAACACTGACAACACCAAATGTTGGTGAGGATGTGGAGCAACTGGAATTCTTCCACAGTGTTGGTGGAAATGCAAAATGATACAGACAATTTGGAAGACAGTTTGGAGGCTTCTTACTAATGTAAACCTAATCGTACTCTTGTCATATGATCCAGCAATCATAGTTCTTGTATTTACCCAAATGAGTTGAAAACTTATGTCCACACAAAAACCTGCACGCGAATGCTTATAGCAGCTTTATTCATAAATGCCCAAACTCGGATATGACCAAGATGTCCTTCAGTAAGTGAATGTGTGAAAAAACTGTGGTACATCCAGACAATGGAAAATTTTTAGCGCTAGAAAGATATGAGCCCTCAAGCCATGAAAGGGCAGAAAGGAAACCTACAATGTATATTATTAAGTGAAAGACGCCAATCTGCAAAGGCTCTATACTGTATGATTCCAACTATATGACAGTCTGGAAAAGGCATAACTATGGAGACAGTGAAAAGATCAGTGTTTGCCAGGGGTTGGTGGGGAGGGAGGAATGAATAGATGGATCTCAGAGGATTTTTAGGGCAGTGGAACTACTCGGTATGATACTATAATGGTGGATACATGTCAGTAGACATTGGTCATACCCATAGTATGTACAGGAGTGAACCATAAGTAAATCACAGATTTTGGGTGATAATGATGTGTCAGTGCAGCATCACCAATTGCAACAACGTACCACTCTGACTGGGGATGTTGATAATAGGGGAAGCTATGTGTAGGGGAAGCTATGTGTATGGGAAATCTCTGTACCTACATTCTACTCAGTTTTGCTGTGAACTTAAAACTGCTCTTAAAAATAAAGACTATTTTTTAAAAATTAACCATAGTAGGTATTACTGAAAAATTTGCTTATAAAAAGTGAGCATGGGCCAGGCTCCGTGGCTCACGCCTGTAATCCCAGCACTTTGGGAGGCCAAGGTGGGTGGATCACAAGATCAGAAGTTTCAGACCAGCCTGGCCAACGTAGTGAAAACTGGTCTCTACAAAAAGTACAAAAAATTACCCAGTCGTGGTGGTGGGCACCTGTAATCCCAGCTACTTGGGAGGCTGAGGCAGGAGAATCGCTTGAACCTGACAGGCGGAGGTTGCAGTGAGCCAAGATCATGCCATTGCACTCTAGTCCAGGCAACAGTGTGAGACTCCATCTCAAAAGAAAAAAAAAAAAAGAAAAAAAGGAAAGATGATTGGTGCATGCCTGTTGCTATAGGGGAGGCCGAGAACTCAAGGAGGATCCCTTGAGGTCAGGAGTTCAAGGCCACAGTGCAGTCTGATGGTGCCAGTATTGAATAGTCACTGCAGTCTAGCCTGGGCAACATAGCAAGACTCTGTCTCCAAAAAAAAAGGAAGAAAAATGGTGAGCATTGGGTCTGATAGTGTTACAAGTCTTTAGAAGGAAATAAAGCCTTGCTTTTTAGGCTGGATCCAGAGGAATCCTAAACGTCAACTCTATATTTAATATAAGAACTTCAGATAGGCCGAGTGAGGTGACTCACTCCTGTAATCCCAACACTTTGGGAGGTTAAAGTGAGTGGATATCAAACCCTGTCTCTACTAAAAATACAAAAATTAGCTGGGCGTCATGGCATGTGCCTATAATTCCAGTTACGGGGGAGGCTGAGGCAGGAGAGTCACTTGAACCCAGGAGGTGGAGGTTGCAGTGAGCTGAGATTGTGCCACTGCACTCCGGCCTTGGGGACACAGCCAGACTCCATCTCAAAACAAAAGAAAAGAAATCATACTGAATGGACAAAAACTGGAAGCATTCCCTTTGAAAACTGGCACAAGACAGGGATGCCCTCTCTCATCACTCCTATTCAACATAGTGTTGGAAGTTCTGGCCAGGGCAATCAGGCAGGAGAAGGGAATAAAGGGTATTCAATTAGGAAAAGAGGAAGTCAAATTGTCCCTGTTTGCAGATTACATGATTGTATATCTAGAAAACCCCATCATCTCAGCCCCAAATCTCCTTAAGCTGAAAAACAAATTCAGCAAACTCCCAGGATACAAAATCAATGCGCAAAAATCACAAGCATTCTTATACACCAATAACAGACAAACAGAGAGCCAAATCATGAGTGAACTCCCATTCACAATTGCTTCAAAGAGAATAAAATACCTAGGAATCCGACTTACAAGGGATGTGAAAGACCTTTTCAAGGAGAACTACAAACCACTGCTCAATGAAATAAAAGAGGATACAAACAAATGGAAGAACATTCCATGCTCATGGGTAGAAAGAATCAACATCTTGAAAATGGCCATACTGCCCAAGGTAATTTATAGATTCAATGCCATCCCCATCAAGCTACCAATGACTTTCTTCACAGAATTGGAAAAAAACTACTTTAAAGATCATACGGAACCAAAAAAGAGCCCGCATTGCCAAGTCAATCCTAAGCCAAAAGAACAAAGCTGGAGGCATCACGCTACCTGACTTCAAACTATACTACAAGGCTACAGTAACCAAAACAGCATGGTACTGGTACCAAAACAGAGATATAGACCAATGGAACAGAACAGAGCCCTCAGAAATAATGCCGCATTATCTACGACTATCTAATCTTTGACAAGCCTGATAAAAACAAGCAATGGGGAAAGGATTCCCTATTTAATAAATGGTGCTGGGAGAACTGGCTAGCCATATGTAGAAAGCTGAAACTGGATCCCTTCCTTACACCTTATACAAAAATTAACTCAAGACAGATTAGAGACTTACATGTCAGACCTAAAACCATAAAAACCCTAGAAGAAAACCTAGGCAATACCATTCAAGACATAGGCATGGGCAAGGACTTCATGTCTAAAACACCAAAAGCAATGGCAACAAAAGCCAAAATTGACAAATGGGATCTAATTAAACTAAAGAACTTCTGCACAGCAAAAGAAACACCATCAGAGTGAACAGGCAACCTACAGAATGGGAGAAAATTTTTGCAACCTACTCATCTGACAAAGGGCTAATATCCAGACTCTACAATGAACTCAAACAAATTTACAGGAAAAAAACAAACAACCCCATCAAAAAGTGGACAAAGGATATGAACAGATACTTCTCAAAAGAAGACATTTCTGCAGCCAAAAAACACATGAAAAAATGCTCATCATCACTGGCCATCAGAGAAATGCAAATCAAAACCACAATGAGATACCATCTCACACCAGTTAGAATGCCAATCATTAAAAAGTCAGGAAACAACAGGTGCTGGAGAGGATATGGAGAAATAGGAACACTTTTACACTGTTGGTGGGACTGTAAACTAGTTCAACCATTGTGGAAGTCAGTGTGGCGATTCCTCAGGGATCTATAACTAGAAATACCATTTGACCCAGCCATCCCATTACTGGGTATATACCCAAAGGATTATAAATCATGCTGCTATAAAGACACATGCACACGTATGTTTATTGTGGCCCTATTCACAATAGCAAAGACTTGGAACCAACCCAAATGTCCAACAATGATAGACTGGATTAAGAAAATGTGGCACATATATACCATGGAATACTATGCAGCCATAAAAAAGGATGAGTTCATGTTCTTTGTAGGGACATGGCTGAAGCTGGAAACCATCATTCTCAGCAAATATCGCAGGGACAAAAAACCAAACACCGCATATTCTCACTCATAGGTGGGAATTGAACAATGAGAACACATGGACACAGGAAGGGGAACATCACACACAGGGGACTGTTGTGGGGTGGGGGGAGGGGGGAGGGATAGCATTAGGAGATATACCTAATGCTAAATGACGAGTTAATGGGTGCAGCACACCAACATGGCACATGTATACATATGTAACAAACCCGCACGTTGTGCACATGTACCCTAAAACTTAAAGTATAATAATAAAAAGAAAAGAAAAGAAAAAAAAACCTAGAAAGGAACCATGAGGCACCACTTGAAGCTTAAATGAGGTGGTTTTATGATGTTGAGGGGTATAGAAAATCATTCCTCAAAATATGGCACCTGAGCACGCTGGGCGCTTTTGAAAGCTGAGCGGCCTCAGAAATAAGCCTCAGAATGAAGGTCCCTCTAACCTTGTCTTGTGCCTCCCCAAACCACAAGGGCAGGGACTATTCCTGGAACATCCTTATCTGACCAAGAGAGCTTACCAAAAGAAACATAAATGCTTTCTATGCCCTCCCTGGAATCTCATTATCTCAGAAAAAAAGCCTGACGAATGTGACCACACCTGACAGACATTTTCCCGAGATAATGTCTGCCTCTCAGGCCCATTCAGATTCCAAAGAGAATCACTTACAATTTCATTTCGGTCTCTGTGGTCCATTCATTCTCCCTAATCATGACTTACTGCCTCTCAAAAGAGAGAACTTAAAACTGGGCAACTGAGTGATACTCTGTCTCAAAAAAACAAAAAAGAACTTAAGATAAACTTCAGTGTATAAAATGTCCATGTGTTTCCCAAACAGTGCCTTCTCTGAAGTACAAAGTTTCAAAAGTTATATAATTATATTCTATACTATACATACGATATATAATTACATATACATCCTACAGTATATTCATTGGACACATACATAGATATAAACAAAGATCAAGAATAATGCAATTGTTTGCAAATGAGCTAAGATGGAATGCTTTCCTTTCCACGTAACTGTTTTTAAGAAGCATTAACTCTGAATGCCAATATTTCCTTCTAACTCAAAAAAGAAGAGCATACTTTAAAAAATGTTCAGTAGAAGATGCACAAAACTTCACCATGAAAGCATCGTCGTCATACTGGCTTTTCTTCAATGCCTCCTCATCAGACCCTACTTTCCTAGGCCCTAAAAGGACATCCACACCCATGACTCTAGCGCCTGGCTTTCTTGGGAGGTTTCTTCTCCCGACCCTGGTGAAGCCTGATCTTGTTTTGTAGCAGTTGCCATAGGAGCAGCCCGTGTTGCAGGGCGACTCCATCCCTAAACAAATACATGCAAATAGCTGGGAAAGCAGACTTCAGCCTTAATACTTCAGACACCAAGGAATGGAAACGATCTATGTAATTTAAATAGAATAAATGCCACTGGCCCCAAGGGAAGTGTGTGTTTATTTTTAAACACGATGCACCGCGACCCAGGCTTCCTGCACCACTGACTGAGCTTTCTGAGCCGGTACCTGCGTCTGTTGCACGGCGGGTTTAAGAACCTGAGCTGGCCAGAGGAGTTGGGGAAACAAACTAGCCCTGGTCCGGGCTTCTCTTCCTAGTGTCCTGGTCGCCTGCTCCTGAAGCGGTGAGCCACGGCCGCCGTTCGCACCCCGGGGCCGGGAGCTGCCAAAGGTGCTGGAGCTCAGACCCGCTTGCTCTGCGCCCGGCGCTCTGGCAGAACCCCAAGGCTGGGCGGACGGGTGGAGCCAGGCTCCGTGTCCGCGCTGATCGCCACCGCAGCACGCGGGATGTACCTGTCCTGCCCTTGCGCCCTGGAAGGGCGCTGGAGAGCGCACGAGGCCTGCGCTTTCCAAGGACTTGTGGGCGGACGAGGGCGCGCCAGTTCCTCAGCCCGCCTGGTTCCTTTCCAAGAGCCAGGACGACAGAGGGAGGACCCGCGCCAGCTCCAAGACGGCTCTGCAAACTGGACAGTGAAGGAAAGCATCGCCTAACCTTGAAAACAACAAACAAACAAATATGGATAAGAGCATCATAGTCCTGACTTGGTTTTGAAATACTAGTTTTCTATATTAGTATGTTATTAGTAGCCTTTTATTATTATTATGTTTAAACAGCATTAACTTTGTTCTTAATTTGGGTTTTAGTTTTTGGGGGGCAGCTTTAGGTTCGCAGAAAAACTGAGCAGAAAGTCCAGAGAGCTCCCATGCATCCTCTCTTTGCCCAGCAGTTAGGCTGTTACCATCTTGCATTAATGTAGTACGTTTGTTACAATTGACAAACCAATATGGATCCATTATTATTAATTGAATCCATGGTATACATTAAAATTCACTGTTTGTATCGTACACTTCTATGGATTTTGACAAATGCCTAAAGTCCTCTCTCCATCATTACAGTTTCATACAGAACTAGCTCCACTGAGCTAAAATTCTCCGGTTCTCCACCTATTCATCCTACTCTTTCACTCCTTCCCCAGCCTCTGGCAAACACTGATCTTTTTACTGTCTCCGTGGTTTTGCCTTTTCCAGAATGTCATACAGTTGGATTGTATGTCTGTAGCCATTTTTGACTGGCTTCTTTCATTGAGTAATATGGCCGTAATACCCCCCACATCTTTTCATGGCTGATAGCTCATTTCTTTTTAGCGCTGAGTAATATTCTGTTACCTGAATGCACCATAGTTTGCTTATCCATTCACACGCTGAAGGACATCTTGGTTGCTTCCAATTTGGCGTGATTCATGACTGGCCTTTTTTGTGTATCTGTAATTAAGAGATTACACATCAGAAGTAATCTTCACACAGTATTTATTAGCCAAACATGATAAGTAATGGCTTTCTGCAGTCAAACACACTGGACTCCAGAGTTCCTCACGTGTGGTTCTAATGCCTCCCTCCTCTGCATTCTCCCCTTGCACAGACTAGGCACACAGTGAAATATTTTTTGAAATTTAAATGTTATAAAAATGATACCCACTTCAGAACAGTTTTCCAACATGGAATATGTCCAGTGAGAAGTAAAAACTCACTTCCACACCAGCCCTATTCTTACTCTCAAGAGGTGACTACACTTTGTCATTTTTTTAAGGTGGACAGGAAGTAGGATTTATTGGTGGGCATTAGGAGGGGGCAGCACAGTAGAAGCCCTCATGAGTGCAGGGCCCACCGCTTGTCCGGAGGGTCACGATTGGGGGTATACTTGACCCCACAGTTATTGGGATAAGCTGCTTCTCAGCCATCATGTCTTCAAATTCATCCACACTGAACTTGGTAAAGTCCCACTTCTCTGAGAAGTGGATATTCTGGCGGCCAGGGAACTTAAAGTTGGCCTTGCATAGGGCCTCAATCACATGCTCCTTGTTCTGCAGCTTGGTGCAGATGGACATGATGACTTGGCCAATGTGAACCCTGGCCACAGCACCCTGGGGCTTTTCAAAGGCACCTCGAATACCTATTCAGAGCACTGAGGGTAGTGCAAGGTCAGAGACATGAACAACCATATGACTGTCTCCAAGGTCCCTTAGAGCAACCCATATAAGAAACAGGCTGCGTACACTACCAAGGAAGCTGCTGTTTGCAGCTTTTGCACACTGGGCCCCAGGAGGAAAGGAACTCCATCAGCTCAATTGGCTGCAGCCCTTTATCATTTTTACATGTAGCCTACTATCTGTTTCTTCTTCATATACAACCATATGTGTATATTACCTTTTTATGGTAACAAAATATATATGCCAATTGGAATATGTATAAATAATTTCTTTAAAAAGCACCTTGTATTATTAAGAAAATGCGTTTGAAAATAAAATCTGATATGGTTTGGCCCTGTATCCCCACGCAAATCTCATCTTGTAGCTTCCACAATTCCCATGCATTGTGGGAGGAACCCAGTGGGAGGTAATTGAATCTTGGGGGCGGGTCTTTCCCATGCTATTCTCATGATAGTTAATAAAGTTTACCTGCACAAGCTCTCTGGACATCCACGTAAGATGTGACTTGCTCCTCCTTGCCTTCCACCATGATTGTGAGGCATCCCCAGCCACGCAGAACTGTGAGCTCTCCATTAAACCTCTTTCCTTTGTAAATTGCCCATTCTCGAGTACGTCTTTATCAGCAGTGTGAAAACAGACTAATACAGTAGATTGGTACCAGTAGAGTGGGGTGATGCTGGAAAGATACTTGAAAATGTGAAAATGACTTTAGACCTGGGTAACAGGCAGAGGATGGAACAGTTTGGAGGGCTCAGAAGAAGAAAGGAAAATGTGGGAAAGTATGGAACTTCCTAGAGACTTGTTGAATGGTTTGGACAAAAATGCTGATAGTGATATGAACAATAAGATCCAGGCTGAGGTGGCCTCAGATGGAGGTGAGGAACTTGTTGGGAACTGGACCAAAGGTGACTTTTGTTATGTTTTAGCAAAGAGACTCGGTGGCATTTTGTCCCTGCCCTAGAGACTGTGGAACCTTGAGCTTGCGAGAGATGATTTAGAGTATCCGGGGGAAGAAATTTCTAAGCAGCAAAGCATTCCAGAGGAGACTTTCGTGTTGTTAAAGGCATTCAGATTTAAAAGGGAAACAGGGCATAAAAGTTTGGAAAATTTGCAGCCTGACAATGCGATAGAAAAGAAAATCTTATTGTCTGAGGGGAAACTCAAGCCAGCTGCAGAAATTTGCGTAAGTAACGAGGAGCCGAATGTTAATCTCCAAGACAATGGGGAAAATATATCCAGAGCACGTCAGAGGTTTTCACGGCAGCCCATCCCATCACAGCCCCAGAGGCCTAGCAGAAAAAGTGGTTTCATGTGCCAGGCCCAGGGTCCCTACGCTGTGTGCAGCATAGGGACTTAGTGCCTTGCGTCCCAGCCACTTCAACCATGGCTGAAAGGAGCAACAGTAGAGCTCAGGCTGTGGCTTCAGAGGGTGCAAGCGTCAAGCCTTGGCAGCTTCCATGTGGTGTTGAGCCTGCCAGTACACAGAAGTCAAGAATTGAGGTTTGGGAACCTCCTCCTAGATTTCAGAGGACGTAAGGAAACGCCTGGATGCCCAGGCAGAAGTTCGCTGCAGGTGTGGGGCTGTCATGGAGAACCTCTGCTAGGGCAGTGCAGAAGGGAGATGGGGGGTCAGAGACCCCACACACAGTCCCTACTGGGGCACTGCCTAGTGGAGCTGTGCCCAGAAGAGGGCCACCGTCCTCCAGACCCCAGGATGGTAGATCCACCAATAGCTTGCGCCATGTACCTCAAAAAGCTGCAAACACTCAATGCCAGCCTGTGAAAACAGCCGGGAGGGAGGCTGTACTCTGCTAAGCCATAGAGGCAGAGCTGCCCAAGACCATGAGAACCCACCTCTTGCATCAGCATGACCTGGATGTGAGACATGGAGTCAAAGGAGATCATTTTGGAGCTTTAAGATTTGACTCCCCTGCTGGATTTCGGACTCGCATGGGGCCTGTAGCCACTTTGTTTTGGCCAATTTCCCCCATTTGGAATGGTTGTATTTACCCAATTCCTGTACCTCCATTATGTCTAGGAAGTAACTAGCTTGCTTTTGATTTTACAGGCTCATAGGCAGAAGGGACTTGCCTTATCTGGATAAGAATTTGGACTGTGGACTTTTGAGTTAATACTGAAATGAGTTAAGACTTCGTGGGACTGTTGGGAAGGCATGATTGGTTTTGAAATGTGAAGACATGAGTTTTGGGAGGGGATAAGGGCAGAATGATATTGTTCAGCTCTGTGTCCCCACCCAAATCTCACCTTGTAGCTCCCACAATTCTCATGTGTTGTGAGAGGAACCTGATGGGAAGTAATTGAATCATGGGGTGGGTTTTTCTCCAAGCTGTTCTTGTGATACTGAGTAAGTCTCATGAGATCTGATGGCTTTAAAAACAGGAGTTCGCCTGCATAAGCTCTCTTTGCATGCTGCCATCCATGTAAGATGTGACTTGCTCCTGCATGCATTCTGCCATGATCATCATGCATCCCCAGCCACCTGGAACTGGAGCTCTCCATTAAACCTCTTTCCTTTGTAAATTGCCCAGGACAAGTACGTCTTTATCAGCACCATGAAAATGGATTAATACAAAGTCAAATAGAATATGTGTTTTAAATTATCTTTTTGGTATCTTCAATGAGAGAGAGAGACTTTTGATTCCTTTTCTCCAAAGTACAACTCAGTTTCATGATTCCTAGGGCTTCATTAAATTAATAAGACATTGATATCACTCCTGAGAAGTGGGAGAGTTGGGAAGGTGGCTTAGGTTGTCTCAACTTCAATTGCAAATTATTAGATCAACCATTATTTGTATTCTCTCATTCTATCTTCTTCATAAAATCCCCCTATCTCAGGAAGCAGCTTGTCTCTTCTGTAACCAAAGTTCCACTCAGAATTGCTCACTTCATTTTTGTGGAATAAAACGAATATTCCCAATTTTATTTTATTTTTCTACTTATGCTTTTTTTTTGTCAGGAGAGAAAATGAGTTAAAAAAAGTTTGGTTTTGATAGCTGAACTCAAAGCTAACTAAAAAAAATTAGAAAGGGAAAAAAGATTTTTAAAAAGTTTGATTTGATTTGTGGTTTTTCCTCTTACTGTTTATGTGTCAAGGAGACTTTACATATCTAGTTATGGCAATATACTATTATTTGTATAAAGTTATATTGTATTTTCTATGTGGCTATTTATTTATTAATTTGTTATCAATATTCCGTTGAGCCTCAAAGAGGTGACACATACTGTTCTAATTGAATTCAGGTAACTTTTCTGATGATCTTATTTCAACCATGTAATTGTTTTATTAAGCTATATATATATGTGTGTGTATATAGCTCAACCAATATATATGGATGTATATGTTTTGTTGTTGTTATTTTTATTTGTTTATTTGTTTGAAATGGAGTTCTTGCTCCGTTGCCCAGGTTGGAGTGCAATGTCACGATCTTGGCTCACTGCAACCTCCACCTCCCAGGTTCCAGCAATACTCCTGTCTCAGCCTCCCAAGTAGCTGGGATTACAGGTGCCCGCCACCATGCCCAGCTAATTTTTGTATTTTTAGTACAGATGAGTTTTCACCATGTTGGCCAGGCTGGTCTCGAACTCTTGACCCCAGATGATCCTCCCGCCTTGGCCTCCCAAAGTGCTAGGGTTACAGGCGTGAGCCACTGTGCCCGGCCTTTTTGTTTGTTTTTTGTTTTGAGACAGAGTCTTATTCTGTCTCCCAGGTTGGAGTGCAGTGGTGCTCACTGCAGCCTCAACCTCCTGGGCTCAAGCAATCCTCCCACCTCAGCCACCTGAATAGCTAAGACCACACGTGGGCTTCACTATACCTGACTAATTTTTAAATTTTTTGTAGAGATGGGGTCTCCCTATGTTGCCCAGGCTAGTCTTGAATGCTTGGGCTCAAGCAATGCTCCCACCTCGGCCTCCCAAAGTGCCGGGATTACAGGTGTGAGCCACCATGCTCAGCCACCTTAACAATCTATACAATAATCTGGTAATTTCCCTTTGGAGTTGGCAATACAATTGCAGAAAGGGGTTGGATATTAACAGAAACTATTTCAAGTAATTGGGAACAATTGGCACTTGCACATCTTCACATTTTTCATTTGCAAGGAGAGTAATAAAACCCCAAGTAATTACACTCAAATGGCCCTCCAGCTGTGTTCTTCTGCACACATCAATCACACCCTCTCAGTGTTCTAACAGTCAGATGGGCCAAATTGCCCATCTGACAATATGGCAATTTGGGAATATATCTACCAATTCTATATAACTCTTGAGAGAACATGAACAAGTAAATCTGATAAAGTTCTTTTTATGTAAATAGGATTTATTTCCACAAAGATAAATTAAGAATTCCAATAACGATAGAGAGAGCTTGTTTCTTGTGACCCATTCTGTTGGCAGTCAGAGAGAAGAGAGGTCACTTCAGTTTTCTTATGACTGGGCTGGACGGCCCCCTGATTCTACTTGCAAGGCTTAAGGGAGAGAAGCCAATTATTCATTGTTTTTTGTTTTGTTTGTTTTTTAAGACAGAGTCTTGCTCTGTCGCCCAGGCTCGAGTGCAGTGGCACGATCTCTGCTCACTGCAACCTCCGCGTCTCGGGTTCAAGTGATTCTTACACCTCAGCCTCCTGAGTAGCTGGAATTACAAGTGTGCATCACCACGTCTGGCTAATTTTTGTATTTTTAGTAGAGATGGGTTTCACCATGCTGGCCAGGCTGGTCTCGAACCCCTGACCTCAAGAGTTCCATCCACCTTGGCATCCCAAAGTGCTGGGATTACAGGCGTGAGCCACCACACCTGGCCAATCATTCATTCTTGGCAGAGCCAAAGCCCAAGTCCAGTCATCAGGGGACAAGCATGGGCAGAGGGGACAGCACATACGAGGACTTTAGCAAGCTGGGGGTTCATTTCCTCAGCTGTAAAAAAAGACATTTGCCAGATGAAAAGAATCACACAATTCAGTAACCTGGGTGTCCAAAAGTATGACAAATCTATGGTGCAACTGAGTTCTTGCTAGTGTTGGCATCTGAACTCTGTCACCTTGTTAGTTCCCATCAACACAGCTGCAGGACCTCAGTCCCCACATTAGAGTTCTCCTGGCTGTCAACAGGTGACTGGATAAACAAAATATAGTGCATACATATAAGGGAATATTATTTAGGCATGAAAAGGAAGGAAATTCTGATGCATGGTACAATGTGGATGGACATTAAGGACATTATGCCAAGTGAAATAAGCCAAACAAAGACAGACAAACATTGTACGATACTTTATAATTGTACAATATTTACAAATTACAATTGTACAAATGTTGTCTAATAATTGTACAATATTGTACAAATATTGTCTAAGGTAGTCAGATTCCTAGAGACAAAATGTAAAATCAAAGTTGTCGGGGCTGGGGTAAGGGGAGAATTGAAAATTATTGTTTAATGAGTGCAGAGTTTCAGTTTGGGATGATGAAAAAGCTCTGGACATAGATGGTGGTGATGACTGCACAACAATGTAAATGTACTTAATGCTGCTGAATTGTACATTGTAAAATTATTAAAATGGCGTATTTTATGTTATGTATATTTTACCACAATAAAAATAAAATGGTTGCTATTCAAGATTTTTTTTTTTTAATAAAAATTATCTTAGTTGTTCCAGGGACTCTCCAGAATTGTCTCACATTTGCTCAGAAACAAATTCACTCATGTTCATTAATTTTGGCATTGCATTTAAAATTTTTTTTTTATTTTTGAGACAGAGTCTTGCTCTGTCACCCAGGCTAGAGTGTAGTGGCATGATCTCGGCTCACTATAACCTCTGCTTCCCAGGTTCTAGCAATTCTCCTGCCTCAGCCTCCCAAGTAGCTGAGATTACAAGTGTGTGCCACCACGCCCAGCTAATTTTTGTATTTTTTAGTAAAGACAGGGTTTCACCACATTGGCCAAGCTGGTCTCAAATTCCTGACCTCGAGTGATCTGCCTGGCTTGGCCTCCCAAAGTGCTGGGATTACAAGTATGAGCCACTGAGCCTGGCCAACTTTCTTATATGAGTAAGTCCTCTACTTAGAAGTGTTTGAGAGAGGAGTCACTTATTCACTGCCATAGCTACCAGTGTCTCTTCTCTAACACACAGAAGGCTACTTCCTTACTTGCTACATTCTCCATGCTGCAAACGTTCTCATACACAGAATGGCACAGGTTTCCGTTTGGTCCTCCTCCCCGCTGCATGGTCAAGCTGTGTGTCCACAGAAAAATGACAAAGCCTCCCTCTCCCTGGGCTCTATGCCCCAATATGAACCCTAAAGCAGTATGCTTATGTCTTGAGGCTCCTCAATTAACATTTAGAGCAGCTTCTGTGTCTAACTCATTGTCTTGGTCTGCTTTCTGTTGCTATCACAGAATACCACAGACTGGATAATTTATAAACAATAGAAGCTTATTTAGCTCACAGTTCTGCAGACTTGGAAGTCCAGGAGCAAGGCACTAGTGTCTAGTGAGGCTTCTTGCTGTGTCATAACATGGCAAAAGGCAAGAGCCTGCCACCTCAAGTCTCTTTTCTTCTTATAAAGCCACTAGTCTCATCATGGGGTCCCTGTCTTAATGACTTTGTCTAATTCTAATTACCTCCCAAAGGCCCCACCTCCAATCAACATATGAAGCTGGAGATTAGGTTTCCAGTACACGGAATCTGGGGGGCACATGCAAACCATAGCACCCATTTAACCACAGAGGCTCAAAACTCTTCCCAGAACCTCCATTGTCTTAACTTCTCTGGACTTTGGCACAGAAAACTCTGCCCAATGCATACTTTAGCTAAAACATAGCAGCAAACATGGCAGTTTATTCAAATAGAAATTTGGAGTAAGGATAAAGATGGCTAGATCCTCATTCCAAAACCTTAATTAGACTCAGCCAAGATAAACTAATCACGATTCTAAAATCTCGTATTCTTCCAGGAAGCTTCAGTTCACAGTAAGTACTGACAGTGCTTTTTCTATTTCTTGTACAAATAACTAGCTGATATAGCTAATACAGCTATTGTTATTTATTAATGCCCCTCTGGGCAGTTCAGAACAATCTGTTAGAATATGCCGGACATCCAGGTGGTCAAGGAGTCATCTTTGGGGTGATGAGATACAAGAGGGTGGAGCACAGGAGGCGCTGGATACTCTGGGAGCAGGGCAGCTGGAGGAGGTGTAAATGTTTCCGCTACACGCTTCAGGCTTTCTTTTGTAAAGACCTGTGAATTTTGTCCCCCAAAAATACATATTCAAGACCTAACCACTCGTACATGTGAATGTGGTTTTATTTGGAAACAGGGTCTTTGCAGATATAATCAAGTTGAGATGGGGTCCTACTGGATTTAGGTGGGCTCTAAATCCATTGGTGTCTTAATAAGAGAAAGGAGAGTGAAATTTGGATACAGAGACAACAGGCACACAGAGGGGAAGGTCATGAGATGCCAGGTAGAATTTGGAGTGATACAAATATAAGCTAAAGAATGCCAAGGGCTAGGCGTGGTGACACACGCCTGCAGTCCCAGCTACTCAAGAGGCTGAGATGGGCAGATGGCTTGAGTGCAGGAGTTTGAGATCAGCCTGGGCAACGTGGCAAAACCCTGTCTTTACAAAAAATACCATATATATATGTGTGTGTGTGTGTGTATATATATATATAATGTATAGCCAGACGTGGTGGTGCATGCCTGTAATCCCAGCTACTTGGGGGCTGAGGCAGGAGGATTGCTTGTGCCCAAGGAGGAGGCTGCAGTGAGCCAAGATCATGCCACTGCACTCCATCCTGGGCAACAGAGGGAGACCCCATCTCAAACAAACAAACAAGAATGAATACCAAGGGTTGCCAGCAGCCACTAGAAGCTGGGAGGTCATCCTGGGACAGCCTCAGCATCCCCCAAAATAATCTGCCAACACCTCAATTTCAGACTTCCATCCTCCTAAACTGAGAATACATTTCTATTGTTCTGAGCCACCCAGTTTGTGGTCATTTTCTATGGAAGACCTAGAAAACTGACGTTAAAAACCCATGGGAGAAGATTTTCTCAGAACAAGGATCTAGAAAAGCTTTTCTGTGGCTTGCCATTATTTCACACACGATGTGAGTTTAGTAACTAATCAAGTTTTCTTTTCTGCTTGGGCGACCACACAGTTTTGCATAGATGTGGACCCAATTATAGGACATTAGGGAATAAATGTGTGTGTTCATCTCTTTTCTCTTCCTCTGTTTTTAAAGTACCAGTATATATTTCTGTGTTACTATATTCATTTATGTTCATATGCTGTCACAAACTCTTTTATTCTTTAGACTGAGGAGAGGGGGAAAAAGTAGTAACTGGATAAACCTGTTTTTCCCTTCCTTCCCAGGGAAAAGAGCTGAAATGTGATTAGCCCAGATTATTAGCTCTGAAATAAGCCATGCTACTTTTTCAACTGATACGACCTTGTCATTTCAGAGTTCAGAGTTCAACCTTCTCATTTCAAAATTGAGAAAATGGAAGCCTAAGGTCACATGATTAAAAACTAGTACAGGTCACCATCTGTGTCCCTGGTCATTCAAAACACTTTTATCAACTGAGTACCAGGTGCAGAGATAGAAAGACAGTGCTACTTGGAATTTCATACAGCTTTACAAATAATGAAGCCAACTGAAATGATTTATCTTGACTATTACTAATAAACATTTATTCTTTAATAAAATCAAGCTATATTCACCTACATTTTTATCAGCAGATTCCCAAAGCAAAAAACTTTTGGGTTATTCTACCTTTTGTTAATTACAAAGTTCAATATTTCTAGCAGAAGACTTCTTTTTTCCAGAAAAGGAGGGCTAGGTTATTTGGATTGCCTTTAAAAATTGAAAAGCTGATAAAAGTTGACGAGTGGGGACTCAATGTCCACTTTTAGGATAAAGCCTGTTTTCTGAATAATATATTGAACGGGGTTAGGGGAGATCCAAGCTACATTTTCCCTGAGGGAACTGGGGGCAACACCCAGTTGGCCAAGGTTGTTAGTCTTGTGGAGTGAGGGAGACAGAAGTCCAGCACAGGAGGACAGGTCCGAAAGTGTCCCTATAGCCCTTAACCACAGGTGCAACCCCCACAGCATGAGAGTTAAGCAGAACTAAACATGCTCTTCTGCCTCATAACCGCAAGAGACTAGAAAACGTAAACAGGAGAAAAAAAGAAAAGGAAAAAAATCCTTAGAAATATTGGCCACAGACCAGCTCTCACATATATTTGCATTCTGAGCACACAGAATCTAAGGGAGCCAGAGAGCCTCAAGCGTTAATTTGGTTTGAGATGGTTCCCAGGCAGCAGCGTGTCTAAGCACCCGACAGTAGCACATGCGCAGCCTCCCAGGGGAAAGCATATTCCTCCGGAGCCTCAGGAAACCCTCATGTGTAACTTTCAAGAGCAGTGTCAAACATGTAGTTAAAGAGACTCACACTCACATGAAAGCAAAAGCACTTGAGGGAGAACCAGCAGAAACAACAGATAATAGAAAAAGGCCACATGGACTTCAGGGATCAGAATTTTCAGACGCAGATGATAAACCCATTCTGCTTACCAGGTTTAAATAAGTAAATGACAAACCTGAAAATATTTTCAGAAAAGAAGAAACTATAAAAATAACATATAATTATATTCCAAATCATAATTTCATAAATGATACAATTTCAAAGTTACATAAACATGACTTGAATGTGTATGACCGGATGAATGTGATCTGAACATCACCTGTCTAGAGGGTCCCCGAGGATCAAGGGCAGATAATGAAAAGGGAAGTGGAAGAAAGATTTTTCTCAGATAGAATTTCTAGCCATGTAGGTTTCTTCGTTTTATTCCCTCCCCAAATCTAGTCCTCCTTCTGCAGTATTATTATTTTTTTTTGAGATGGGGTCTCAATGTGTAGCCCAGACTGAAGTGCAGTCTGCAATCGCTTGATGCAGGAAATTCAAGCGATTTTGCTGCATCAGCCTTTTGTATAGCTCGGACTACAGGCACAAGCCACCACGCCCGGCTAATTTTTGTATTTTTAGTGGAGACAGGGTTTCACCATGTTGGCCAGGCTGGTCTCGAACTTCTGACCTCAGGTGATCCACCTGCCTCGGCCTCTCAAAGTGCTAGGATTACAGGCGTGAGCCACCACTCCCATCCCTTCTCCTATAGTCTTTACGACTAAGAGTCATCCTTGCCTCTCTTTCACCTCCCACATCCAGTTACCAATTCCTGCTGATTTCACTTTGTAAACATTTCTCAGATAACTTCCCTCTTCCTTATCCTGTTCTCATTGCCATGTTGGGGTCTCATTCAATTCACTACCTGGACTATTGCATTAGCCTCAGGACTGATGTCCCACATAGCTGCCAAAATGATTTATAAGAGATATATATCTGGTGGTGTTATTTCCAAGCTTTCATTCAGTTCCACAAATACTTATTTAGTACCATTTAGATGCTAGGCACCATTTTAAGTATTGAAGACCCATTAGTGAGCAAGACAGACCAGGTTCCTGCACTGAGGGAGCTTAAACTCTCATAGGAATAAATAATTCAAAGCCATGCTTGAATGCCCCTTCTAAGCCCTGACCTCCATGACTTCTATGATGGTTCCTGTATGTACCCCTCCAACCATCAGAGCCCAGTGTTTCCTGCCTCATGCTTTATGTTCAAACAGCGTTCGTTGTTTTGTGGTTCACCTTAGGTATCATTTTCCCCCTGAAAACCTTCATGAGCTGTGCATTGGCCTCAGTGTCCCTTCTCTGTGCTCCCATAGCACCCTATGTATAACTTTATCATAGCAATTTCCCCCTGCCTTTTGTTGTTGCTGTTATTGTTTTTTGTTTTGTTTTGTTTTTTGAAATAGAGTCTCACTCTGTCACCCAGGCTGGAGTGCCGTGGCATGATCTCAGCTCACTGCAACCTCCGTCCCCCAGGTTCAAGCAATTCTCCTGCCTTAGCCTCCCGAGTAGCTGGGATTGTAAGCATGCACCACCATGCCCAGCTAATTTTTGTATTTTTAGTAGAGATGGGGTTTCACCATGTTGGCCAGGCTGATTTTGAACTCCTGACCTCATGTGATCCACCTGCCTCAGCCTCCCAAAGTGCTAGGAATACAGGCATGAGCCACCGTGCCCAGCCTGTTGTTTTTGAGACAGAGTCTCACCCCGCCTCCCAGGCTAGAGTGCAGTGGTGCAGTCATGGCTTTCTGCAGCCAAGAATTCTGGAGCTCAAGTGATCCTCCCACCTCAGCCTCCCAAGGAGCGGGACTACAGGTGCGTGTCACTACACCCTGCTAATTATTTATATTTCTTGTAGAGATGGGGTCTTGCCATGTTGCCCAGGGTGGTCTCAAATTCCTGGGCTCAAGCTATCTTCCCGCCTTGGCATCTCAAAGTGCTGGGGTTACAGGCATAAGCCACTGTGCCTGGCTAAACACATTTTATTAAAATTAAATGTATATGTGTTTGTCTCTTTCACAAGGCTGCACGATCTTTGAGGAAGGAGACTTTGTCTTAATCATTTCTGTACTTCCAAAGCTCCATGCAATGGAGGTACGAAAGACAGAAATCGGGATTAGTAGGTGAAAAAGAGTTGGCTGTGATACTGGTTTTGCACGCATAGGCTGAGGGAGTAGGAGGCATAGGAAGCCTTCCCTAGGCGGGACAGTGGAAAGTCATGAGGAAGGCTGATTCAAAAAGAAAGAGCTTGCTCATGAGTGATTCTGGCACATTCTCAACATTTGTTTGCTTCTGAGTATGACTATGAGAAGGCTGTGACTGTAAAACAAGAGGCTGTTTGCTTTAAAGAGACAAAGCTCTGCAAATGACAAGAGTAAACCCCTTTATTGTCCCATTGACTCTTGTCATTTGCCTCCAGGTCTCCTGGTCTCTGTGAAAGTTATGGGGACAGGGGATGTAAATGCTTTCATATGGCCATAGAGAAATATGACACCCACAAAAGTTAAGGATGAGGTGCTCCTGTCCAGGTTTACATTTTTTCTTACCTTAAACTATTACTAAAACCATTTGGCTGTCAGGCTCCTTAGCAAGTAATTAAGAAGAATTAGGTAATTCACTAGAAGCAGCAGAGACTCAACGGTAATTACACTCAATGCCTAAATGGAGAGACATTTGCAGTAAAATACGTTATAATTTTAGTGAATGAAGGAAACAGGCAAAGTGTCTAACCACACATGCTGGTTAGGCCGTTAACCAAACAAAATCCATTCTCCCTTAGCAGGGTGACATTGAATGCCAGAAATGAACTGAATCAAATAAGCATCAACAACACAACTAAAGGCCATGTGCTGTGGCTCACGCTTGTAATCCCAGCACTTTGGGAGGCTGAGGCGGGTGGATCACTGGAGGTCAAGAGTTTGAGACCAGCCTGGCCAACATGGTGAAACCTCTTCCCTACTAAAAATACAAAAATTAGCTGGGCGTGGTGGTGGGCGCCTGTAATCCCAGCTACTCGGGAGGCTGAGGCAGGAGAATCGCTTGAACCCTGGAAGGCAGAGGATGCAGTGAGCTGAGATCACGCCACTGCACTCCAGCCTGGACGACTGAGTGAGACTCTGTCTCAAAATAAATAAATAAATAAATAAATAAATGGCCAAAGTGGCTCAACAGTCTGGAGAACACTATGGGATAGACATACGACCTGGTTACTTGGCTTGCGAGTGTCAGGGAAGAGAACTACCTCACCTTCCTATCTCAGGTTCAATGTTCAGGGCTTAGATCTCTATAACAAAAGAAACAAGAGAAAAGAAATCAAAAAAAGCATACAAATTGAGTATAAGTTTTACGTGACACGGGAGCCTTCATAAGGAAATGAAGCCCTGAAGAAGTGGGTAAGCCCGTGTATTTTCATGCTAAGTTTGATGAAGATGAGGATGGCCGTGGAAAAGTATGATTGGACACAGCCGTATGATCTAATGGCAGTAAACTGGAGAGAAACGTAGCCAGGCCTGTTTGTTCAGGTTCTCCTCTGGGTCCCTGTGTCGTCGGAGGTTAGGATGTTCCTTTCCTCCAGGTATAGGGAGGGCACCTCTGGAATGAGGGTCTTATGACCTGCTTTAGGGCAACATCAAAAAAATCCTTCCTAAGTTTATGACCTGCTTCAAGGAAGAAGGGTAGGGGGAAAGGTGACAGCCACCTTCTTGTTTTGCCATTTTCTCAAGTTCTTTCAGCCTAAAATATTTTGGGATAGTGTGTCCTGAACCCCATTAGCAGTCACTGAACCCTGTAAATGAAGCAGGAGCCCAATCCTGGCAAGCCAATGTAACAGCTAAAAAGTAGAAAGGGACAGCAGTGACCCTGGACTTCATGCTGAGCACCTGGCCTTGGGTCCCTTCGATTCTCCTGAGCCTCAGAACATGATGAAATCCACGGAGAAGAGTGGTCCCAGGCCAAACTATCAAGGGGCTGCAGAGGCTGGAAAGAGAGAAGTTGGCAGGCTTAATATTCCACTAACTTCCATGAGTGATGTAGAGATTTATTCTAGGAAATGAACATATACATTTTCTCATTAAAAACACCAAAACTTGGCCGGGCACAGTGGCTCACGCCTGTAATTCCAGCACTCTGGGAGACCAAGACAGGCTGATCACTTGAGGTCAGGAGTTCAAGGCCAGCCTGGGCAACATGGTGAAACCCCGTCTCCACCGAAAAATACAAAAATTAGCCGGGCGTGGTGGTGTGTCCCTGTAGTCCCAGCTACTTGGGAAGCTGAGGCAGGAGAATCGCTTGAACCCGGGAGATGGAGGTTGCAGCTAGCCGAGATTGTGCCACTGCACTCCAGCCTAGGCAACAAAGCAAGACTCCGTCTCAAAAAAGAAAAAAACAAACAAAAAAAAACACTAAAATTCTATCATTCTGGGATGATAGACTTTGAAACGACTGTTTCTTCCTCAATACATTTATTCTGCTTATTAGTGACTAAGAACATTTCTAATCGCAAATGAAGGCCAAGCACGATCGCTCATGCCTGTAATCCCAGTAACTTGGGAGGCTGAGGCAGGAGGATTGCTTCAGCCTAGGAGTTTGAGGCTGCAGTGAGGTATGATTGCACCACTGTACTCCAGCCTGAGCGACAGAGTAAGAACCTCTTAAAAAAATAATAAAAAAAAACCCACAAAACTGATGGCACCTTTTGGCCTAGCTAAAGTAGATTTGTCTATAATCCCCTCTATCACACAAGAATATAAAGAGAATTTTATCTCTAGAGTCAGTCTCACACTCCTTGATTTTGTGAGATTTTTATTCGTTTTGAGTCTCACACTCCTTGATTTTGTGGGATTTTTATTCGTTTTGAGTATTCTTTGTTTTTCAGGCTCACGTTACCCAAATGCACTCCGGACCCTCAGATAGCCCCTGTCGTTCCAGTTTTATGTCTGGGACTTTCCTGTCATTGATGTGGGGAAAGAAAGTTCAGGAAAACTTTCCTCTAACGTTAAAAGTGCTTTGAAATTGAGAGCATAGTCCCAGAACACCATCTTGCTTTCTGGCCAAACCTGTTCAGTGGTGATGTTTCCCACCCTTCACTAACAGCCAGGCTGGGTGATGACAGCCAGGGGAAGCGGGTGGGAGGAGGGACAAACAGAAATGAGGGAGGAGGGGAAGAAGAGAATAGTGGGCTTTGTTCTCTCCTCTCACCTCTCCAAGCCAGGGGAGCTGCAAGTAAAGATCAGCATCTTTTAACACCCCAGCAAACCTGGAACCAAGCTCATAACAAGGCACCAACTCAACACACTTTTTTTTTTTTTTTTTTTTTTGAGACAGAGTCTCACTCTGTGATCCAAGCTGGAGTGCAGTGGCATGATCTTGGCTCGCTGCAACCTCTGCTCCAGGGTTCAAGTGATTCTCTACCTCAGCCTCCCGAGTAGCTGAAATTAGAGGCACCCACTACCACGCCTGGCTAATTTTTGTATTTTTGGTGGAGAAGGGGTTTCACCATGTTGGCCGGGCTAATCTTGAACTTCTGACCTCAAGTGATCCACCTGCCTTGGCCTCCCAAAGTGCTGAGATTACAGGCATGAGCCACTGCACTTGACCTCAACACACATTTATTTAGGGCTTATTATATGCCAGGCTCTGTTGTTGTATAAAGTATCTCCCCAGTGAGAGGAACAAATTGTGGAAACAATTTAAGTATCATTCAAGAACTATATAATGAATATTGGACAACTACAGAATTTTTTTAAAAAACAGAATTGTTTTTAAAAGATGAGCTGGAACCCTCTGTATTGACAGGAAAAGGTATCCAAGATGCATAGTCGAAGGGAAAAAGTTTACAGAACAATGTGCATACTATGAACACTGTTTTGATTGTTTTTAAAGTATAAATAATGATCAGCGGTGGATTTATGGTGGAGCTAATGAAATTTAAGGCTCAGAAGCTCTCACTTGCATAAATTTCTTCGAAGACCTTGAACTTAATTTGATATTTTAAAAACCTAAATCATTCCGTGATATTTACATACATGACAAACATTATGGCCAACCTGGGTTATCACGGACAGTTGGAGTATACTATTTTTTTTTTTTTTTTGAGACAGAGTCTCACTCTGTTGCCCAGGCTGGAGTGCAGTGGCGTGATCTCGGCTCACTGCAAGCCCCGCCTCCCGGTTCAAGTGATTCTCCTGTCTCAGCCTCCCGAGTAGCTGGGATTACAGGTGCCCACCACCACTCCCAGCTAATTTTAGTATTTTTAGTAGACATGGCGTTTCACCACGTTGTCCAGGCTGGTCTCAAACTCCTGACCGCCTTGGCCTCCCAAAGCGCTGAGATTATAGGCCTGAGTCACCGTGCCCACTCACTTTATACTTTTTTATTATCCAAAAAAAAAAAAAAAAACCACCTTCTCGTGATACTCCTTTACAGTCATCACTTCCCTCACCCGTAACCCCTGGCAATCCAACCTGTTTCCTAAGTCTTATCTCTGAGTGAGATAACGTGTGGGCTTCGTAAACAGAAATCTATTCTTCAAATAGTGGATATTATTATTACTCCTGTTACTGGAAAGCGGTCCTGATCCAGATCCCAAGAGAGGGTTCTTGGACCTCACAAAAGAAAGAATTCAGGGTGAATCCATAGAGTAAAATGAAAGCAAATTTACTAAGAAAGTAAAGGAATAAAAGAATGGCTACTCCACAGGCAGAGCAGCCCTGAGGGCTGCTGGTTGGCTATTTTTGGGGTTATTTCTTGATTATATGCTAAACAAGGGGCAGATTATTCATGAGTTTTCTGGGAAAGAGGTGGTCAATTCCCGGAACTGAGGGTTCCTCCCCTTTATAGACCATATAGGGTAACTTCCTGATGTTGTCATGGCATTTGTAAACTGTCAGGGTGCTGGTGGGAGTGTCTTTTAGTATGAGAATTAATTATAATTAGCATATAATAACAGAGAGGACAACTAGAGGTCACTTAGAGGTCACTTTTGTCACTGTCTTGGTTTTGGTGGGATTTTGGCAGGGTTCTTTCCCACATCCTTTTATCAGCAAGGTCTTTGTGACCTGTACCTTGTGCCAACCTCCTATCTCATCCTGTGACTTAGAACGCCTAGCCTCCTGGGAATGCAGCCTAGTAGGTCTCAGCCTTGGTTTACCCAGGCCCTATTCAAGGTGGAGTTGCTCTAGTTCAAACACCTCTGACATTCCTATATCCGAGCCAACCTACAGGACAACCTCTATCATCATTTTCCTCTAACTTCTATTTTTCCCAGTTTTCCTACCTCTCTCTCATTGTGCTCATTTTTCAGTAATAAACAAAGACCAAAAAATTACATATATGTGTTTCTACGACAAAGATTTTGTTTCTTGCTAGAGATAAAAAATTCTCTAGCACAATAAATGTGTCTAAAATCTATTTAAAACTTAAGACACAGAAAAATAGCTAGAAAAATCCATAAAACCAAAGGCAATGCTTTTTCTTTCAGCAGATTATGGTGTTTTTTTTTTTGGCATATGTTTTCCTGAAGGGGTGATCTTTGGTGCCCAGAGAAACATAGAGCCTATTTATTGATTGTTGTCTAAAATTGACTTTTTGGGTCAATTGTATTTTCTTAAACATCTTAATATTGTTGTTTCGCATTATAATCAAAATGCTACATTCAGCCAGCACTTCAGACCAATTAGTAGGCTATAAACTATTTGGTCATCATAGAACCAATGCATTAATTGTCTGTAATTAACCTCATTCATAAGAATGGAATATGAAAAAAGTATAATTTTACTACAGCTTGTATCAGTTCAAATTAGGTTCAGGTTGATACAACACTTGGTTGCTTTCTCTTGCAAAGGGATTTTGTAAGTAGGCAGTTTGGTGTGAGTGTGGCAAGGTACCCCAAATTCATTAAGGACTCAATCTCCTTCAGGCTGTCAGATCTATAGTCTCTAGCGTGTGGTCCTTATACTCATGGTCTAAGGTGTCTGGTGCTCCAGTAATCTCTTCCAGGGTTCAGGCTGGCAGCAAAAGAGAAAGAATAAACACAGAACAGTTTCAGAGCCTTGCTCTATCACCCAGGCTGGAGTGCAATAGCACAATCTTGGCTCACTGCAGCCTCTGCCTTCTGGGTTAGAGCAGTTCTCACGCCTCTGCCTCCTGAGTAGTTGGAATTACAAGTGCCCACCACCATGCCCAGCTAATTTTTGTATTTTTAGTAGAGACGGGGTTTCACCATGTTGCCCAGGCTGGTCTCGACCTCCTGACCTCAGGAGATCCGCGTACCTCGGCCTCCCAAAGTGCTGGGATTACAGGCATGAGCCACCACTCCCTGCCAGAACACTTCCTTTATAAGACTTCTCAGAAGACTATGCAGTATTTTGACTTACATTTCTATGACAAGTACTTAGATACCTGACTGAGTCAACTTCAAATGATACTAGGAAATGTCATCTTTTAACTGGACAGCAATGCACCAACCAAAAATTGGAGATATATTACTGCAGAAAAAAGAGAGACTAAATAGGGAAAAGAAATTTGTATTTCTTGCCACTGTCTTAACATAAATAATATCACAATGATTGAAAGATGCTACAGCTCTTTCATAACACTGAATTCTGTTAAAAGATAAAGCAGATAAAAATCTGATTTAAAAATATAAAACCCTTTTCAATCCGTATGGGATATCATCAGAATTTCAAAAATAAAGTTTCAACTGGGCGAGGTGGCTCACGCCTGTAATCCCAGCACTTTGGGAGGCCGAGACGGGCGGATCATGAGGTCAGGAGATCGAGACCATCCTGGCTAACACGGTGAAGCCCCATCTCTACTGAAAATACAAAAAATTAGCCAGGCATGGTGGTGGGTGCCTGTAGTCCCAGCTACTCGGGAGGCTGAGGCAGGAGAATGGCATGAACCTGGGAGGCTGAGCTTGCAGTGAGCCGAGATCGTTCCACTGCACTCCAGCCTGGGCGACAGAGCGAGACTCCGTCTCAAAAAAAAAAAAAAAAACAAACAACAACAACAACAAAAATATATATATACTTTGATAGAAGAAATAAGGCTGAGTTAGTGTTTGACATATCAGTAAGGTGACTATCATTTACAATAATGTATGGTATATTTTTAAATCGCTAGAAGAGAATCATTCGAATGTCTCCCCTATGAAGAAATCACAACTATTTAAGGTGATAGAGATCCCAATTACACTGATTCGGTCTTTACAAACCATGTGAATGTATTAAATTGTGACACGTCCCTGAAAATACGTACATCTATTATGCATTAATTAAAAAATCATAAAATAATAGCTAGAAATAAATAAACAATTCATTGTATCACCAATGCATGGTTGGGCTGCATTTTAAGAGTATTTGCGTGGAGGGATGAAGACTATTTAGGGAGCAACCATTGTTCCTCATCTGAGCTATTACACTTGCTGAGCTCTAGATGGTGCATGCCAGACCTGTGCCTGACTGTGGAATTCAGTGCTAAAGAACAGCAAGAAGCAGGAAGTAGTGTCAGAGGCCTTGGAACCAGAGGGACTCTATCTTTAATAGAGGCTGGGTAAAATGAGGCTGAGACCTGCTGGGCTGCATTCCCAGGAGGTTAGGAATTCTTAGTCACAGGGTGAGATAGGAGGTCAGCACAGGACCAAGTCACAAAGACCCTGCTGATAAAACAGGATACAGTAAAGAAGCCGGCCCAAACCCGCCAAAACCAAACCAAGATGGTGATGAAAGTAACCTCTGGTTGTCTTCAGTGCTGATTATACGCTAATAAAAATGCATTCGAATGCTAAAAGACCCTCCACCAGCACCACGGCAGTTTACAAATGCCATAGCAACATCCGGAAATAACCCTATATGGTCTAAAAGGGGAGGGACCTTAGTTCTGGGAAATCCTCACCCCTTTTCTGGAAAACTCCTGAATAATCTACCCTTTGTTTAGCATATGATCAAGAAATAACCGTAAAAATAGCCAACCTGCAGCCCCGAGAGCTTTCCTTCTCTAATAAACTTGCTTTCACTGTATTCTGTGGGCTCTCCCTGAATTCTTTTTTGCTGGAGATCCAAGAACCCTCTTGAGGGGTCTGGATCAGGACCCCTTTCTGGTAAAAGCCTCCTATCTCCAAAAGTATTTCCATTTGTGCTGAGGAATAAGTTAGATAAATTCTTCAGCTTTTAATATACTCACAATACAAGAAGTCTCAATATAATGATGAAAGAAAATCCACAAGGCAGTATGTGATTTTTTTCTCGGCCAATCAAATGTTACAAACAGTAAGTATTATAAGTGATGGCATGTGGTTCCAGTGACGAGGAGGTAATGGCTAAGCTGTAACTAAAGGAAGAAAAAGTCTGAGAAAGAATGGGTAAGAAAATCTAGATTGCCGATTTAGGACTTAACGTTCATCAAACGCTGCTATGCAGCAGGCGGTTTACTAGGCGCTTGGCATAATATATGAGAGAAAGATCATCTCGTTTTCAGATGAGGAAGCTGAAGCTCACATAAGTAATTTCCCACTGTTGAACAGCCAGCTAGTAGAGGAAGCAGAAGTTGTCTTCAATACTGTTCCAAAATCTATGCTCTTTCTGCTATAGAATTCTACCTGGGGAGTTGCATAAACACATTGTAATCCAAGCCTCACCAGCTGGGAGGTTCTGGATGAGGTCACATTTACATGCAGATTTCACCAGTTCAATGAAACTATCACTCACTCATCGAAGAATTCTAATTTATTTATTTATTTATTTTTGAGATGAAGTCTCACTCTGTCACCCAGGCTGGAGTGCAGTGGTGCGATCTTGGCTCACCGCAACCTCCGCCTCCCACGTTCAAGTGATTCTCCTGCCTCAGCCTCCCAAGTAGCTGGGATTACAGTATTACAGGTGCTCGCCACTGCACTGGGCTAATTTTTTTTTTCTTTTTCAGTAGAGACGGGGTTTTACTATGTTGGCCAGGCTGGTCTTGAACTCCTGACCTCAGGTAATCCGCCCGCCACTGCTGCTTCCCTACACTGGTCTCTACCACCTGACAACACTGGGCCACCACTGCCCTTGACTGCTCCCTGTGGGCTTTAGTGCACAGCCTGTCTGCCATAATTCTTTCAATCCTGACAGTGCAGCAGTTTCTTTTAAGACAACTGCTTCTCCCTTTCTATATTATGTCAGCTGGTTTGGGGCCACGAGGGGGGCAGTGATTCCATGGCATAGCAAAGTTGATTGGTACATCAGCTGATTGAGTACTATGTGTGTTTCATTCATTCAAATATTTATCAGGGGCCTCTGTGTGAGGAGGAGGTGAACAAGACCTATGAACCTGGTTTTTACACAGAGACAGTTAGCTATTGTTTTAATGAGAGGAGGCAGACAATGAGCATAATAATTGCTAATTGTGGTAAATGCTATTAGGAAAATAAACAGAGGGCTGTGATAGGAAATAATGGCAGGCAGTAGGGAAGAGGTGGTAAGGATTGTTTGCATGGAAAACACTGGAACATCAAATAAGATAGCGATTTCTTTTTGCAAACACAGCTTTGTTGGTTGGTTTAAACTCCCCAGGACAATCACTCATACCAGGAGAGCTGAGCAGATTATAAAATAAAAAAGCAGCTCTGAGGCCTTACCCGGCCCCATTATTTTCCTCTAATGTTCATGCACGGTTACAGAATCTGCCTCATCCTACCAACCTCCTTCATCTCTGCAGATCAGTGGTTCTGAAACCTGACTGAGGTGGGGCGCAGTGGTTCATGCCTGTAATCCCAGCACATTGGGAGGCTGAGGCCAGTGGATCATTTGAGCCCAGGAGTTCACGACCAGCCTGGCCAACATGGCAAAAATCCTCCATGTCTGCTAAAATACAAAACAAAAATAAAAATAAAAAATAAAAATAGCCAGGCATAGTGGTGCGAGCCAGCAGTCCCAGCTACTCAGAAGGCTGAGGCACAAGAATTGCTTGAACTTGGGAGGAGGAGATGGCAGTGAGGTGAGAATATGCCACTGCATTCCAGCCTGGGAAACAGAGTGAGACTGTTAAAAAAGAAAAGAAAAGAAAAGAAAAGAAATCTGACTGAGTAATCAGAATCCCTGGGAGATGTTTAAAAAATTTAGGTGCTTGGGCCCTGCCTCTAGAGATTAGAGTTAGTGGATTTTGGACGAGTCTTAGGCATGAATATGTTTGGAAGGTTCCCAGGTGATTCTAATATGTACATTGAGTTATGAATCACTTCTGGATAGCAGTGATTGTCAAACTGGAGCATGCATCAGAATTTTCTAGAGGGATTTGCTATTGTTCTGCTCACTGGTTTCCCTAATCTTGCCCTAAGGAAATGGCCTGGTTGCCTCGCTAAGCCTACTGGCAGGCTCCTGATTTTGTTATCTGTGGTTTTCATACTTAGTGCAGGGCTTCTTCATCTTTAATGGGCATAAGAATCTCCTGGGAATCTTGTTAAAATGCAGATTCTGGGTGGTCGCCAGAGGCTGTGGGACTAAGAAATGGGGGTTGTTTAATGGGTATAGAGTTTCATTTCTGCAAGATGAAAAGAGTTCTGGAGATAGGTTATACAATCATGTGAATGCACTTAACACTCCTGAACTGTACACTTAAAGAAGGTAAATCGTACGCTATGTGTATTACATTTTACTATGATGTTTTAAACATGCAGATTCAGTAGGTTTGGGGCTAGGCATGAGTTTCTGAAGTTTTTGTAACGGCCCAGTGATGCCCATGCTGTTGTCCCAGGGACCACACTTGAAGTAGTGAGGGTATAAGGTGCACCAGGACTACCTGGGGGAACTTGATTTAATGAAGATTCTCCATCCCCATCTCAGAGATCTTGATTCAACATGTCTGAGCTCTGAGGAGTAGGTGCTCTGAATTTACTTTGAGAAACAATCTTCTCTGGGTTTCACCTCCAAGGTCAGATAGGGAGATATATCATTTACAGATGGGAACTGATTCTGACATTTAATTTCTTTTTCAACAATCCAAGTTTCTCGTGTTTAGTGCTCTATGGAGCCAGTGGCCCACTCTTGTTCAGCGAGCTAGAAATGGAAAAAATTATCCATTGGAAAAGGAAGTAGGTGTCAGAATCGAATCACCCAGTGCCCACTTTTGCAGGCTGTGGGTTTAGAGTTGCCCTGGAGCTCCTGGAATACCATATCTCCCAGCAGACCAACCTCAGGGGTCCACAGTGTGCCATACCTCACCAGGTATCCCCCAGACCCCTGTGCTGTTACCAACCCACACCCAACACCATCTCCAATTCATAGCAAGACCCAATAACCAGCCAATCTAAACCTACTCCCGGCAAGTCTCAGAGCCCCAGAGTCACTCAAAGACACACAAAGTACTCTTTATATGCACCTGCTACATGACCGGACCTCAGCCCTCTCATCTCATTTGCCAACAACTGTGAGGCATTTACTGTTATCACCATTTTATGGGTGAGAAAACAGGGGCTCTGCTAAGATAGGTAACATTTCCCAAGTCATAGAGCCTGTGGGTGACAGAGCCAGGAATTGAAAGTAGCTTTTTCTGGCAAGAATGCTCAGGCTCTTTACACCGTGGAGACCTGTTTCCACGGGCCAGGAATCTGGGCCAACAGTGGATTGCAGCCCAGGAGCACTGATTAGCATTTGAGCTATGGCCTGGATGCCAGGAAAGGGTCCCACATTCAAAGTCGCATCTCTGGTGCTCACTGTCCCCAGCGAGAAGCTCTTGTAGGAGGATCTCTATGTGGAATAATTTGCATTAAGGGATAAACGAGGCTTAGCCTTCCTAACAAGTAATGAAGTTTTTAAAACAGAAACTTGAGCCCATGGTTACTAGAATGTGAGGGAAATCCATGGGCCTGTGTGTGGGGGATGGGGTGTTCAGGGGTGTCAAGGGACTCTCCTCTTACATAAGATCTTTGAAACAGAAAGGGATCCTATTTTGCTTCTCTTTTTCTTTGTTTCAGGACAGGTTTCCACAAAGCAAGTATAAACATGGTTTAATATAAATTCCCACAGTCAGTTTACAAATTTCTTTTTCATTTAACACCCTCCCTCACCTTGTTCTAAGTAGGAATTGAAGAAGAGATTGTTGGAACACAGATCTATGTATTTATACAGCATTTACTGGGCACCTTTTTACCAGATTCTGAGCTCAAGCTTCAAAGCTTGAAATATAAAAATCAAAATAAAATGCTTGGCTCCAAAAAACTCAGTCTCTGGTGGATATATACAGTTGACCCTTGATCAACGCAGGTTTGAATGTGAGTCAAAACCTATTTATATGTGGATTTTTTTTCCAATGAAATTTACACTGAAGGTTCGTCATGGTGGCTCATGCCTGTAATCCCAGCACTTTGGGAGGCCGAGGGGGGCAGATCACTTGAGGTCAGGAGTTTGAGACCAGCCTGGCCAACATGGTGAAACCCCGTCTCTACTAAAAACACAAAAAGTAGCCAGGCATAGTGGCATGTGCCTGTAATCCCAGCTACTCGGGAGGCAGAGGCTCGAGAATCATCTGAACCTGGGAGGTGGAGGTTGCAGTGAGCCAAGACTGCACCACTGCACTCCAGCCTAGGTGACAGAGAGAGACTCTCTAAAAAAAAAAAAAAAAAAAAAAAGTAAACTGAGTGTGCCTGTCTCTCCTGCTCCCCCTTCCTTCCACCTCTTCCACCTCTTCTACCTCTGCTACCCACCCACCCCCAACCCCTCCTCTTCCTCCTCTTCTGCAGCCTACTCAACTTGAAGACAACAAAGATAAAGACCTTTAGGATGATCTCCTTCCACTTAATGACTAGTAAACACATTTGCTCTTCCTTATGATTTTCTTAGTAACATTTTCTTTTCTCTAGCTAGCTTACTTTATTGTAAAAATATAGTATGTAATACATGTAACATGCAAAATATGTGTTGATCAACTGTGGATGCCATCAGTAAGGCTTCTGGTCAATGGGATGCGATTGCTAGTTACGTTTTGGAGGAGTTAAGTTATATGCAGATTTTTGACTGTGCAGGGGGTCGACGCCCCTAACCCTTGAGTTTTTCAAGGGTCAGCTGGAATTGTCTTGGGTGCTGAGGTAGCTCGCAAGAGGAAACAGTAAAATACCAGGAAGAGACATTTTAGCTGAGACTTGAAGTCTTCCTGGAAAGGGGTCCCAATCAGACCCCAAGAGAAGGTTCTTGGATCTCACACAAGAAAGAATTCAGGGTGAGTCCATAGAGTAAAATGAAAGCAAGTTTATTAAAAAAGTAAAGGAGTAAAGAATGGCTCTTCCACAGACAGAGCAGCAGCTTGAGCTACTCAACCAAGGATACTTACATACTGCTTGACTGTATGCTGAACAAGGGGTGGCTCATTCATGAGTTTTCTGGCAAAGAGGTGGGCAATTCCTGGAAATGAGGATTCCTCCCCTTTTTAGACCAGGGTAACTTCCTAATGTTGCCATGGCATTTGTAAGCTGTCTGTGCACTGGTGGTAACGTCTTGTAGCATATTGATTCATTATAATTACTGTATTATGAGCAGTGAGGACAACCAGAGGTCAGTTTGTTTGCCATCTTGGTTTTGGCAGATTTTGGCTGGCGTCTTTACCACATGCTGTTTTATCAGCAAGGTCTTCGTGACCTATATCTTGTGCCGACCTCCTGTCTCATGGTATGACTTAGAATGCCTAACCGCCTGGGAATGCAGCCCCGTAGGTCTCAGCCTTATTTTACCCAGCCCATGTTCAAGGTGGCACAGCTCTGGTTGGAATGCCTCTGACCTAAGGATGGCAAATCTAAGAGTTTACTAGGCCAGCAGGCAGGGGCAAGAACCTTCTGGGAGGAAGGTCAGGGAAGGGCACTTGAAAGCCCACGGCAAATGGTTTTCTATGGAGCTAGGGGCTGCATGAGGAGGCTGCAGGGTGCAGAACCAGACCAGCAGGCAGTGTCAGATTGAACCCCTAGCGAGGCTTTAGCAATAAATAAAAGTATAATCATACAGAGGTATTAGCAGAGGTGAGCAGACTGGGTGAGACTAAGGCCCCTCAGATGGCCAGGCAACACTCTGGGTCTGGAACAGTGAGGACCCGAAGGGGAAGGGAGCCTGCTGGGGTCACGTAAGACCCTGGGGTTTGCTTTCACTTAACCCTCATATTACACCTCGTAGCAGCTGATCCTCCAATGTGGGATCTGAGACTCAACAGCAATGCCAAAGAAACACCGAAGGAATATATCAACAAGGAACTGCCAGAATTTGAGTCTGAAGAATAATGATGACTTAACAACAAGTAGAAAGACTACAATTTAGGTTTTAAAAGTATTAATGCACCTGAAGTAATATTGGAGTAAGTTAAAGGTTTTGGTGGTGTTTTTTTTAACCCCCTCTCTAAATAGCTTTGCTGGCTATTTCTGAAAGTGCTAATAATGACACTAAGGGGTGTTAACTCAGCACATAATACATGCTGCGTGTTTGCCAAGTGCCGTGCTCACCCCTTTTTGGGCAGGAACTCCCGGCACCGCTCCTTTCAGCTTCCTTTCAGCTCTGCCAAAGATTCTGTCTCAGCAGCTTTGGATGGAGTTTTCGGGCTTCCTGGCAGCATCCGCGGGACCATGAGGTCAGGGTGGCCTGATTCCTGTTTGCCCAAACACAGGAGAGCACTGTATTTTTTTCAACCTGTTTTTTTAACTGTTGCTGTAGAGAGTAGGAATTGACTTCCACCCACCCTTCCCTGCCGCGCACCCACACACGCAGCACAGCAACAGTCACATGACATTTGCAAAAGAGTCTTTAAGTCATTTGACCCTCAGAAGATTACTTGTGTCATGGAGAAAGGCCTTTGCTCCAGATGAAATCACAGAGTGTTGGAACTGGACTACATCTTAGATTCCACTTTGTGCTTGAGAAAACTCAGGCCCAAATGGGTTAAGTAACTTGGATCTGGTCAGCCAGCTAGTTAGTGGCAAAGCTGAACTCATGAATCAAATGTAACTTTCAGCCAAGGCTTTCCCGTTATACCTCCTCTTAACTTCCTATCAAGCCATTTAAAAGAGAAGTGACTGGAGAAACAAAATAAGGGCAATAGAGCGAAACACTTAATAATCAATCACCCTGATCCCTTGATAAGTGGTATAGGTCAAATTCCTCTGAAATGTTTCATAGGGAAAGTTTCTATTGAACCATACTAGTTTGGTCAGGTATTTCTTCTTTGATTCCGCAACCATCTCTAAAGAAATGCCCAGAGAGAAGCAAAACTTCAGTCCAAAAAGGCAGAAGCCTCTTGCCAATCTGAGCATTTAAGGCTCCAAAAATTGTGTCAGATAATAGATGTTAAGAGCACTTACACTCCAGAAGTTTGGGAATCTGTATATACTTAAAAATTTTTTTTAATGGGGTTTTGCCCTGTTACCCAGGCTGGAATGCAGTGCCATGATCATAGCTCACTGCAGCCTTGACTTCCCAGGCTCAAGCGACCCTCCTGCCTCAGTGTCCCAAGTAGCTGGGATTACAGGTGTGTGCCGCCACGCCGGTTAATTTCTATTTTTTTTTTTTTTTTTTTTTTTTGCAGAGATAGATTCTTGTTATGTTGCCCAGGCTGGTCTTGAACCCCTGGCCTCAAGTGATCCTACAACCTTAGCCTCCCAAAGTGCTGGGATTACAGATGTGAGCCACCATGCCTGGCCTGCATATACTTTTAAAATATTAATCTTTCTGGCTGGGTGCGGTGGCTCACGCCTGTAATCCCAGCACTTTGGGAGGCAGAGGTGGACAGAAGGCCTGAGGTCAGGAGTTTGAGACCAGCCTGACCAACATGGAAAAAAACCTGTCTCCACTAAAAATACAAAAAAGTAGCTGGGCGTGGTAGCGCATGCCTGTAACTCCAGCTACTAGGGAGGCTGAGGCAGGAGAATCGCTTGAGCCTGGGAGGCAGAGGTTGTCGTGAGCCGAGATCATGCCATTGCACTCCAGCCTGGACAACAAGAGCAAAACTCCACCTCAAAAAAAAAAAAAATTTTTTTTTGATATTTCCAGAAAACTGGAACCACATCATGGAGAATACATTTTTGTATTTTACATACCTGCTGCACAAAATTCATCTCCTCGATTTTAATCTAAAATCCATGTAGCAAACTGTCCTTTACTAAAATGACTTTGCTCTGAATCAAAACCAACTGATGCCAAGGAGCTTGAAGCCTCACTTGGGAAGGAAGTGATCCTTTAAAAACCAGGTCCTGGATTTGGGATGAAAGGAAGTGGAAGAAATGCGGAACCACGGCCGCTATGGTTGCTGTTTGCGGTGGTCTAGGGAGGAAGAAGTTGACACACCTGGTAACGGCTGCTGTCAGCCTTACACATTCCGGGACTCACACGGTGCTTTGGAGAAGAGGTTGTTCACAATATAAACAGGTATCCAGCAACGAGGACCTGGTCTTTGTGGGAAGAAACAGAAAGAAATCACGAAAGCAATTAAGAGAGCTCAAATAATGGGGTTTATGTCAGTTACATACAAGGATCCTGCATATCTCAAGGACCCTAAAGGTTGTAACATCAGATATCGGGAATAAATTCTATCACCTTACTACTAATAAACTTATTTTACAGTAAAAAAAACAAAAAAACAAAAAAACCAGGTCTTCTGTAAACAGAGTATGCTAAAACTGTAAAAGAAGGCTACTGCGTTAAGTCTTTACATTTCGTACTCTATTCTGCCACATTCCAAAAAAAGGATTTCACGCCATCAGGAGGCATGTTCCATAATCAAAGAAAATGTAACTATTTGCCTTTTGAAAATTATGATGATATGATTTTATATATGCTGGCTTGCTAACACCACCAGAATTAGTTTTAGTTTCTTAATTTGTCTGAATTATGGTACAGCATAATGAGCTAGTTTTTTGTTTGTTTGTACTATGATGTATATCATCTAAGAAAGAATGTCTCAACTACTATTCAAACTCATTTATTCCACTTCCAGGAATTCCTCCTAAAGAAATATTTCAAAAGAGAAAAAATGCAAACCATGCAGAGATGTTTATAACCAACTTTATTTATGATAGCAAAAAGCAAGGATGAGTAACAAGTAGATAATGGTTAAACAAACTATGACAGCAACTCAGAGTAATATGCAACTGTTACAAGTGATACATAGAAAAACATAACAGAAGCAATTACGTGTCACTAAATGTCTCATAATTGTATACTTTAGAGTTTACGAATTGTTTTTGTATTATCTTACTTCACTTGATTTTCATAACAGCCCTGTGAAACAAAAGCAATTATCTCCATTTGCTGATAAGAAAATAGATGAGTGGAGGTGAAGTGGTTTGTCTGGGGTCACTCATGAAATATTCAACATGTTGACCGCAACGATCTAAAACCATAGGCACATAGATCAAGATTGGAAATAACATAACAAGTTGCAACTAGTTACTCCTTTAAAGCGGTGTTCTTCTCCATGAGTACATGTGTATGTGCTTTTTGTAAAACTTCTTTAAACACTGAATAGGTCTAAGATGATTTATCCTAATCACTGAAGTTCTTCAGCTTTCTTATGAAACATCAAAATGTTGAGATTACCTATGATATAAGTTCTCCTTGCTTTTGAAGATACACATAAATCTTATTATTTCAGGGCCTGCATTCCCATGCAGAAAGGAAGATTTTCAGGGTGGCCAAATGGCAAGTGGCTTTTACATCTGGCCTGCCCACTGTATCCCCAATTCCAACGCTGCTATGGCCACAAAGGAGCCCTCTCCACTCAATCGAGCTGGAGGCATTCACTTGTAGACCCACTAAAGAGAGACCTCTCTGAAAATTAAGGCCTTGGAGTCCTTCGCAGCTGGATGTTCCCAGAGATGCTTTCAGGACAAGTGTCCTGCAGTAGCCAGAATGATTTGATGAGTATATGTGATAAAGCTCTCGGCTTGGGCTCCTGTTTTGTTGTGACAAATCTACCCTCATCGATACGTTGCTCCCCCTGTGATATGGTCTGGTTGTGTTCCCACCCAAATCTCATCTTGAACTGTAGCTCTCGTAATCCCCATGTGTTGTGGGAGAAACTCAGTGGGAGGTAATTAAATCATGGGGGTGGGTTTTTCTCATGCTGTTCTCGTGATAGTGAATACGTCTCACGAGATCCGATGGTTTTATGAAGGGCCGTTCCCCGCACACGCACTTGCTATTTTGCCCACCACCGTGTAAGACACACCTTTGCTCCTCCTTTGCCTTCTGCCATGATTGTGAGGCCTCCCCAGCCATGTGGAACTGTGAGTCCATGAAAGACATACCCAGTCTCCAGTATGTCTTTATTAGCAGTGTGAGAATGGACTAATACACTGTTTCTTATTTTTCTCTTTGAGGCTCAATGTCTTTTTTTTTTTTTTTTTGAGATGGAGTCTTGCTCTGTCTGTCACCCAGGCTGGAGGGCAGTGGTGTGATCTCAGCTCACTGCAACCTCTGCCTTATGGGTTCAAGCAATTCTCCTGCCTCAGTCTCCCTAGTAGCTGGGATTATAGGTGCATGCCACCACACCTGGCTAATTATTTTTGTATTTCTAGTAGAAACGGGGTTTTACCATGTTGGCCAGGCTGTTCTCGAACTCCTGACCTCAGGTGACCCACTCGCCTTGGCCTCCCAAAGTACTGAGATTACAGGCATGAGCCACCGTGCCCAGCCCTCAATGTCTTTTCTAGGACACAAGCATCCCCCATGGGGAACACTCACTCTAATTCAAACACCTCTAAAGCTGGAACAATCAGAGCAGAAGGCAGCGCTCTGTTCCTTCTTGTCAACACAGAAACACGTTCATCCGGATAATACCTTCTCCATGACAGCATGAACAATTTCTGTTTGAAAATGATCTTTAGGCCGGGCGTGGTGGCTCACGCCTGTAATCCCAGCACTTTGGGAGGCCGAGGGGGGCGGATCATCTGAGGTTGGGAGTTCAAGACCAGCCTGACCAACATGGGGAAACCCTGTGTCTACTAAAAATACAAAAAAATTAGCTGGGCATGGTGGCCCATACTTTTAATCCCAGCTACTCAGGAGGCTGAGGTAGGAGAATCACTTGAATCCGGGAGGCGGAGGTTGCTGTGAGCGGAGATCACACCATTGCACTCCAGCCTGGGCAATAAGAACGAAACTCAGTTAAAAAAAAAAAAAAAAAGAAAGAAAATGATCTTTAAAGTATTACTGCCTGGCTACAACTTGATTGTAAACACAAATATAAACAGAGGAACTGAAACTTGGAAGCAATATTCACTTAGAAATTGGCATCCAGGGGACACTGTGTGTGTGTATGTGTGTGTGTGTGTCTGTGTGTGTCTTTTAAAATTCTCAGGTCTTACAGACTGAGAATCTGTCAAGGACCCCAGTTTGAAAAACATTGCTCTAACCTCACAGCCTTTTGGCTACAGCCCTCTTTCTTTCTTTCCTTTCAGAATCAAGCGTTGTAAAGAACTGGCTGGGCATGGTGGCTCACGCCTGCAATCCCAGCACTTTCGGAGACTGAGACCAGCCTAGCCAACGTGGTGAAATCCCGTGTAACACAAAAATTAGCCAGGCTTGGTGGCACATGCCACCTACTCAGGAGGCTGAGACAGGAGAATAGCTTGAACCTGGGAGGCGGAGGTTGCAGTGAGCCGAGGTCACACCACAACACTACAGCTTGGGTGACAGAGTGAGACTCCGTTTAAAAAAAAAAAAAAAAGAATTGTCCCCACACATGATCTCTACTTCTTACTCTGAAGCATTCTGGCTTTAGCTCCTGCTGTTCCACTGAAATGGTCCATCCAGCTACTCCTTTTGAGAAATTGATGGGCACAGTTCAGTACTTGTTTACAGCATTATTGTGTAGCTTTTTGACCCTTTGGCCTTTCTCTATTTTTCTCTTGTCTTCACGTCCCACTAGGTGGTCCCCTCGACCATCTGCCCCATAGCTCCTCAGACCTCACATTTCATGTACACCATCCCGGAGTAAGTCCTCAGCTGATGACAGATGGGAAGTAGCGATACATACTGGAACTTCCCCACCCTCAAGTGGGACAGCTCACAGGTCCATGTTCCTCACTATTTCCAAGATTTCCCCAGAAATTAAACTCCAATTGCCTACAGGGGTAACTTGGTAACAACCATTTGTTTGGTTTCTTCTCTTTTCTATCTGACGTCCTCATTTCCCCACTACACTCTCTTGGGATCATTTCCCAAATAAACTGCTTACATTCAAATTATTCTTTCAAGATCTGCTATTGGGGGAAGTGTTAAATTCTTTCTGGGAATTCTTTCTTCTGAATTTTTTTCCGATAATTCGCTACTCCCTTGGTATGCCCAACCAGAAGGACCTGGGTGATACAGCATGTGAGGGCCAACTCTAAGGGGACAGAGCATCACAGAGAAGGTTGGAAGGATGGATCTGAGGGAAATGGGCTGTAGATGATGGACATATTGGGCCAGTGTCTCTAGAGGCAGACATGCTACTTCTTTGGTAGAATTATGTGTGGCCATTGGTCTGCGTGTGCCCCTAGGATTTATTCGCTCTGCATGCATTTTCTGATTTTTCTATAATAGCTACATTTTGCTTTTGCAATAGTAAATAACATTATAGCCAGTCACAGTGGCTCACATCTGTGATCCCAGCACTTTGGGAGGCCGAGGTGGATCACTTGAGTCTAGGAGTTCAAGACCAGCCTGGGCAACATAGACTCCCATCTCTACAAAGAAATAAAAAAATTAGCCAAGCATGGTGGTGTGTGCCTGTAGGCCCAGCTACTCGGGAGGCTGAGGCAGGAGAATTGCTTGAGCCCAAGGGCTCAAGGCTGGAGTGAGCCATAATCTCACCACTGTACTCCAGCATGGGTGACAGAGCAATACCCTGTCCTCCCCAAAAAAATAAGTAAAAAAGAAAAGAAAAAACAGAAAGAAAAAAACGAAAGAAGAAATATATATAAAGATAAAAATCATACTTTTAAATGAAGTCAGTCTTCTTCTTCTTCTTTTTTTTTTTTTTTTGAGACCAAGTTTCCCTCTTATTGCCCAGGCTAGAGTGCACAGGCGTGATCCTGGCTCACTGCAAACTCTGTCTCCTGGGTTCACGCAACTCTCCTGCCTCAGTCTCCTGAGTAGCTGGGATTACAGGCGCCCGCCACCATGCCCAGCTAATTTTTGTATTTTTAGTAGAGATAGGGTTTCACGATGTTGCCCAGGCTTGTCTTGAACTCCTGAACTCAGGTGATCCGCTCACCTCGGCCTCCCAAAGCACTGGGATTACAGGTGTGAGCCACTGTGTCTGGCCAGGATTTTGCTTTCTAGACATTGTGGTTCATTTTTCTATACATGGGTGCACGTTACACAATCTCCATAGCAGATTTTTCTCTTTTAGTAATGTAATGATCTCCCACTAGGTATGTGGCAAAATACTGGAACACGAGGGAAAATCAGAGCATTGCTAACATTTGTCTGGACCAAATAAGCACATTTGATTTTTTTTAAGCTATGTAAAACATACATACCATAAAATTGTCTGTTTTAACCGTTTCTAGGTGTATAGTTGACTGGCATTAAGTACATTAATATCGTTTTGCAACCATCACCACCAGCCATGTCCAAAATTTTGCAGGAACAGAAAACCAAATACCACATATTCTCACTTATAAGTGGGAGCTAAATGAATTTTCCCAGACTGAAAATCTGTACCCATTAAACAATTGCTCCCCATTGCAACATGCTACTTTCTGTCTCTATGAATTTGACTCCCCTGGTTATCTCATGTAAGTGGAAGTATACAGTATTTGTTCTTTCGTGTCTGGCTTATTTAACTTAGCATAACGTCTTCCAGGTTCATCTATGTTGTAGAATGTGTAAAAATTTTTATTTCTTTTAAGGGCTGAATAATATTCCATAGTGTGCATACGTCACGTTTTCCTATCCATGAACAGCTAGGTTGTTTCCATCTTTTGGCTATCATGCATAATGCTGCTATAAACTTTGGTGTACGAATAGCTGAGTCCATGTGCATATGATTTTTAGTAGCCATCCAATTTCTACATATTCAGCATACGTGATGGGTATTTATCTATTTACTATTATTTTTAAATTTTTTAAAAAGTCTTGCTCTGTTGCCCAGGCTGGAGTGCAGCGGCATGATCTCTGCTCACTGCAACCTCCTCCTCCCAGGTTCAAGCGATTCTCCTGCCTCAGCTTCCTGAGTAGCTGAAACTACATGTGTGTGCCACCACCCCTGGCTAATTTTTATATGTTTATTAGAGACGGGGTTTCACTATGTTGGCCAGGCTGGTCTCGAACTCCCGACCTCAAGTGATCTGCCCACCTCAGCCTCCCAACATGCTGGAATTACAGGCGTGAGCTACCGTGCCCGGCCTCAGCATGTGTGATGCATGTTCAAACCATATTGATGGGCCTGGTGTGGTGGCTCACGCCTGTAATCCCAGCACTTTGGGAGGCTGAGACGGGCAGATCACGAGGTCAGGAGATCGAGACCATCCTGGCTAACATGGTGAAACCCCGTCTCTACTAAAAATACAAAAAAATTAGCTGGGCGTGGTGGCGGGCGCCTGTAGTCCCAGCTACTCGGGAGGCTGAGGCGGGCGAATGGTGTGAACCTGGGAGTCGGAGCTTGCAGTGAACCGAGATCACACCACTGCACTCCATCCTGGGCAACAGAGCCAGACTCTGTCTATACATAAATAAATAAATAAATAAATAAATAGATAGATAAATAAACAGACCATATTGAGTGGCTGTCCTTTGAGAGGTTAGAGCTCAAAAGACTTTACAAAGAAACTACATAGATGAAATATTCATTATGTTTTTGAACTACAGATAGAAAACAGGTGTAAACAAGAATAGAGGTTTAACACAAAGGAAATAAAGGCATAGCTTAATGACAAGATATAAAAATCAAGCACCACAAGCACTGTAAAACATCCTGTATTTCTCCTTTTGTTTTTTGTTTTTTTTTTGAGGCGGAGTCTGTGTTGCCCAGGCTGGAGTGCAGTGGCGCAATCTCTGCTCACTGCAAGCTCCGCCTCCCGGGTTGGTGCTATTCTCCTGCCTCAGCCTCCCGAATAGCTGGGACCACAGGCGCCCGCAACCACGCCCAGCTAATTTTTTTTTTGTATTTTAGTAGAGACGGGGTTTCACCATGTTAGCCAGGATGGTCTCAATCTCCTGACCCTGTGATCCGTCCACCTCGGCCTCCCAAAGTGCTGGGATTATAGGCGTGAGCCACCGCGCCCGGCCCATGTTTCTCCTTTTGTGGATACTTGTCTTGGTTTCCTGAAATTGAACATAAGGAGATTAAAACTTAAGAGGCAAGGGGTAGAGTGATCTTAGAATGATATTTAACTTTTAGGAAAATTATTTAACCCTGACTTAAACTCTTCAAATGCATTCTGTGGGTTTAAGTAAACTATTAATATTCTTACTTAAAAGTGGACTTAAAATATTGTGACAGGTTGTCACTATATTGCCCAGGTTGGTCTTGAACTCCTGGGCTCAAGTAATCCTCCTGCCTCAGCCTCCTAAGTAGCTGGGATAGATTTTATTTATTAAAATTTTTAAAATCTATTTATGAGTTTACATAGTTGCTATCACTTGACATCTAGGAGCTTTGAGAGACATTTTGTTTTGGCTCCAAATACTGTCAGATTTTTTTTTTTCACAACTGTTTTTTTTTTTTGAGGCGGAGTTTTGCTCTTGTTGCTCAGGCTGGAGTGCAATGGGGTGGTCTTGGCTCACTGCAACCTCCGCCTCCTGGGTTTAAGCAATTCTCCTCCCTCAGCCTCCCAAGTAACTGGGATTACAGGTGGCCGTGACCTCACCTGGCTAAATTTTTTTGTACTTTTAGCAGAGACGGGGTTTCACCATGTTGGCAAGGCTGGTCTCGAACTCCTGACCTCAGGTGATCAGCCCGCCTTGGCCTCTCAAAGTGCTGGGATTACAGGTGTGAGCCACTGCACCCGACCGGGTTTTTTTTTCTTTTATAAACACAGCAAGCACATTCACCTTGTCAAGGAACGAGACAAGACAAATAGATGGCCATCTGAAGCATCAGCCCATCTAACCCCAAAAGGTGATTCTTATTTGAAAATCATACAAATAAGTTGTGTAGCAGAGCAACTATGTAGCTCAAGCCGGCTTAACCGTGAGCAGCTGGAGCTACTCCTAGTGGCTGCAGCCTGGAACTGTTGCTAGGTAACCATTTTGAAATGGCCATCAAGCCACTACTAACTGCCATCTTCCTTTTCTCCTGTTTCTAAGAACAGAAATCTTAATTCCTAAATCCAGTATAACATCAACGAGGAAGGGTGGAGGGGGAGAGAGATGGAGAGATATTAGTGCGTATTTGTGAAAATACTTAAACAACATGCCATTCATAAATAACTATTTGGTCAATATTTTCATTGTTTTAGACCCTGATATGGTTTGGCTGTGCTCCCACTCAAATCTCAACTTGAATTGTATCTCCCAGAATTCCCACGTGATGTGGGAGGGACCCAGGGAGAGGTAATTGAATCATGGGGGCCGGTCTTTCCCATGCTATTCTGTGATAGTGAATAAATCTCACCAGATCTGATCGGTTAATCAGGGGTTTCCACTTTTGCTTCTTCCTCATTTACTCTTGCTGCTGCCATGTAAGAAGTGCCATTTGCCTCCCGCCATGATTCTGAGGCCTCCCCAGCCATGTGGAACTGTAAGTCCGATTAAACCTCTTTTTCTTCCCAGTCTCTGATATGTCTTTGTCAGCAGCGTGAAACAGGCTAATACAGTAAATTGGTACCAGTAGAGTGGGGCATTGCTGAAAAGATACCCAAAAATATGGAAGCAACTTTGGAACTGGGTAACAGGCAGAGAATGGAACAGTTTGGAGGGCTCAGAAGAAGACAGGAAAATGTGGGAAAGTTTGGAACTTCCTAGAGATTTGTAGAGTGGCTTTGACGAAAACGCTGATAGTGATATGAACAATAAGGTCCAGGCTGAGGTGGTCTCAGATGGAGATAAGGAACTTGTTGGGAACTGGAGTAAAGGTGACTCTTGTTATGTTTTAGCAAAGAAACTGGCGGCATTTTGCCTCTGCCCTAGAGATTTGTGGAACTTTGAACTTGAAAGTGATGATTTAGGGTACCAGGTGGAGAAAAGTTCCAAGAAGCAAAGCATTCAAGAGGTGACTTGGGTGCTGTGAAAAGCATTCAGTTGCCCGGGCGCAGTGGCTCACGCCTGTAGTCTCAGCACTTTGGGAGGCTGAGGCGGGTGGATCATGAGGTCAGGAGATAGAGACCATCCTGGCTAATACAGTGAAACCCCATCTCGACTAAAAATACAGAAAAATTAGCTGGGCGTGGTGGTGGGTGCCTGTCGTCCCAGCTACTGGGGAGGCTGAGGTGGGAGAATGGCGTGAACCTGGGAGGCGGAGCTTGCAGTGAGCCCAGATTGTGCCACTGCACTCCAGCCTGGGCCACAGAGCGAGACTCTGTCTCCAAAAGAGAAAAAAAAAGCATTCGGTTTTAAAAGGGAAACAGAGCATAGAAATTTCGAAAATGTGCAGCCTGACAATGCAATAGAAAAGAAAACCCCATTTTCTGGGGAGAAATTCAAGCCAGCTGCAGAAATTTGCATAAGTAGCAAGGAGCCTGGTGTTAATCCCCAAGACCATGGGGGAAATGTCTCCAGGCCATGTCAGAGACCTTCATGGCAGCCCCTCCCATCACAGGCCCGGAGGCCCAGAAGGAAAAAGTGATTCTGTGGGGTGGGCCGAGGGCACTCTGCTGTGTGCAGCCTAGGGACTTGGTTGGTGCCCTGTGTCCCAGCTGCTCCAGCAGTGACTGAAAGGGGCCAACATAGAACTCACGTTGTGGCTTCAGAGGGTGGAAGCCCCAAGCCTTGGCAGCTTCTACACGGTATTGAGCCTGTTGGTGGACAGAAGTCAAGAATTGAGGTTTGGGAACCTCCGCCTAGATTTCAGAGGATGTATGGAAACATCTGGATGCCCAGGCAGAAGTTTGCTGCAGGCCAGGTCCCTCATGGAGAACCTCTGCTAGGGCAGTGCTGAAGGGAAATATGGGGTTGGAGCCCCCACACAGAGTCTCTATTGGGGTACTGCCTAGTGGAGCTGTGAGAAGAGGGCCACCGTCCTCCAGACCCCAGGATGGTAGGTCCACTGACAGCTTGCACCATGTGCCTGGAAAACAGGCACAGACACTCAATGCCAGCCCATGAAAACAGCTGGGAGGGAGTCTGCACCCTGCAAAGCCAAAGGAGTGGAGCTGCCCAAGACCATGGGAACCCACCTCTTGCATCAGCGTGACCTGGATGTGAGACCTGGAGTCAAAGGAGATCCTTTTGGAGCTCTAAGATTTGACTGCCCTGCTGGATTTCAGACACGCATGAGCTATGTAACCCCTTTGTTTTGGCCAATTTCTCCCATTTGGATTGGCTGTATTTACCCGGTACATATACTCCAATTGTATCTAGGAAGTAATTAGCTTGCTTTTGATTTTACAGGCTCATAGGCGGAAAGGACTTGCCTTGTCTGGATGAGACTTTGGACTGTGTACTTTTGGGTTAATGCTGAAATGAATTCAGACTTTGGGGGACTGCTGGGAACACATGATTGGTATTTAAATGTGAGGACATGAGATATGGAGGGGCCAGGAGCAGAATAATATGGTTTGGCTGCCCCCCTACCCAAATCTCAACTTGAATTGAATCTCCCAGAATTCCCATATGCTGTGGGAGGGAACCAGGCGGAGGTAATTGAATCACGGGGGCCAGTCTTTCCTGTGCTATCCTTGTGAAAGTGAGTAAGTCTCAGGAGATCTGATGGGTTTATCAGGGGTTTCCACTTTTTCTTTCTCCTCATTTTCTCTTACTACTGTCACTTAATAAGTGCCTTTTGCCTTCTGCCATGATTCTGAGGCCTCCCCAGCCATGTGGAACTGTAAGTCCAATTGAACCTCTTTTTCTTCCCAGTCTCGGGTGTGTCTTTGTCAGCAACGTGAAAACGGACTAATTCAAACCCCATACTTAACACCTTCCAAACCAAAGCAATTTGTGTTCCTTTACATTTTAATAGGTCATACTTCTTGGCATTTCTCCCAAAATTCAGTAAGTGTGTAATTTTTATGTAAAGGAAACAAAAGCTAAATTTATACTGTTGTTTGAAAGCTCATTAAAAAAATCTCTTTTGTAAAGATGATGAGTTAACAAAAATTATGCTACTTATTATCAATTATTATTCCATGTAAGGGCATAATCTTTTTGTGAGGGAGAGTCTGCTTCGTGCCCTGCTTTTATTGACTAGAATTAGGTGCTTAAGGGTACCTTAGGGTATCCCACAAGGAGAGTTTTATCATGAACAGTTGTGTAGCCTCATTTTTTAAGGGATGCTGGTGTTGTTGGAGAGTTAAAAGGCAGGGAGAAGAAGATGTAACTAAAATTTATATTAGTTAGGATTAGATTGATCTGTGAGTGACAGAAAACCCCAAATCAGAGTGGGTTAAACAAGGTAGAAGCTTACTTTTTGTTGCACATAGATTCAGCTGGCATAATGGCACCACCATCCTGAGAAGACAGGCGTCTTCCGTCTTCTTGTTCCATCGTATTCAGCCCTTGCTTTTCACTCCATGTAGTCCAAGATGGATGTTCCTTCCATGTCAGGCACCTGTCCCTGTATTAGTCTATTTTCTGATTGCTGTAAAGAAACACCCGGCTGGGTGCGGTGGCTCATGCCTGTAATCCCAGCACCGTTGGAGGCTGAGATGGGCAGATCATCTGAGGTCAGGAGTTCGAGACCAGCCTGGCCAACATGGCAAAACCCCTCCTCTACTAAAAATACAAAAATTAGTGGGGCATGTTGGCGCGTGCTTGTAATCCCAGCCACTCAGGAGGCTGAGGCAGGAGAACTGCTTGAACCTGGGAGGTGGAGGTTGCAGTGAGCTGAGATTTTACCATTGCACTCCAGCCTGGGGGACAGAGCAATCTAAAAAAAAAAAAAAAAAAAAAGAGGAAGAAGAAATACCCAAGACTGCGTAATTTATAAAGGAAAGAAGTTTAATTGACTCACTGTTCTGCATGGCTAGGGAGGCCTCAAGAAACTTAACAATCATAGCAGAAGGCGGAGGAGAAGCAAATACCTTCTTCACAAGCAGCAGGAAAGAGAGAGAGTGAGGGAGTAATTGCCAAACACTTATAAAACCATCAGATCTTGTTAGAACTCACTATCATGAGAACAGCATGGGGGAATCCACCACCATGATCCAATCACCTCCCACCAGGTCCCTACCTTGACATGTGGGGATTACAATTCAAGATGAGATTTGGGTGGGCACACAGAGCCGAGCCCTATCAGTTCTCCTTCTACCCAGTAGGAAAGGAAGAGATGAGGAGAAAGGCACCTCTCCTTTACAGACACTTGGTGGAAATCTCATATTCCACTTCTGACTACAGCAGTGTTTATGGACAATTTCTTTTGCCTTTAGTCTATCAGACTCTACTCATTTCCAGAGTTACTTAGGTTGACATCTTTTCCCTCCACTCTTCAGTGAGGTGGTTTCATACTTTTGTAAAACAGTTAGATCGTTTTACTGCATTCCACGTTCTATCCTGGGATCTTTTGACCTCATGAATGATTAGTAAATGTGCATTCATTCGGGTTTACTCTTGGTGCTATCAAATTGTATGAGTTTTGTCATATATCATTTTAAATATTAATAAAGGATGGCATTTACATATTATTTTAATGAGTTATATTTAATACTTTAATATTTTAATATCAATTTCATATAAATAACGACAAATAATTTGCCCATGGTCACATAGCTATTAAGTGGCAGAGCTAGGATTCAAACTTAGATGAGTGAGTTTGCAAAACCCCCTTTCCTTTCACCACGCCATTTTCTTCTTTCAACAATCTTAAACTCTCAATCAGCTCATATTTTAGGGACAACTTTAGGTTTGTTATTATTATTATTATTATTTTGAGATCAAATCTCACTCTGTGGTCCAGGCTGGAGTGCAGTGATGTGATCTCGGCTCACTGCAACCTCCACCTCCCGGGTTCAAGCAATTCTCCTGCATCAGCCTCCTCAGTAGCTGGGATTACAGGCACCCGCCATCACGCCTCGCTAATTTTTGTATTTTTAGTAGAGATGGGGTTTCACTGTGTTGGTCAGGCTGGTCTTGAACTCATGACTTCAGGTGATCTGCCCACCTTGGCCTCCCAAAGTGCTGGGATTTCAGGCGTGAGCCATCGTGCCTGGCCCATATGTTAATAAAAGTTATTTTTTAGGGCAGTTTCGGGTTCATAGCAAAATTGAGTAGAAAGTACAGAGAGTTCCCATGTACCCCTTTTCCCCACACATGCCACAACCTTCCCTGCTATCAACATCCAACACCGCAATAATACTACATTTATCACAATCAATGAACTTACATTGAGATGTCATTATGACTACAATTTACTCTTGATATTGCACAACTTATGGGTTTTTGTTTTGTTTTTTATTAGTAGTAGAGATGGGATTTCACCATGTTACCCAGGCTGGTCTTGAACTCCTGGACTCAAGCAATCTGCCTGCCTCAGCCTTCCAAAGTGCTGGGTTTACGGATGTGAGCCACTGCACTCAGCCCGATCTATGAGTTTTGACAAATATATAATGACACACATCCACTATTGTCCAGACATCAGGTCAGATTGGAACGTGGACATGGGTTTGTTTTTAAATTACCAACTGTCACTGGATGACAAGAGCATGCTGATGATTGATTTGATCACAGCTCAATGAAGAGGCACCGACTAGTCAGAGGTGTGTAATCTATATCCTAACAGATATAAATTACAGTTGACTAATGGTCACATGTAAATCCTGTCCCACCATACATGTTTCTTTCCCCTTGCTGTATTAATATCTTGGATGAGTCAGCACCTATAAACTGATACTTTTTTCATCCATCTATCCACCTATCCATCCATCCCTCCCTCCCTCCCTCCATTCATCCCTCTCTCCCTCCCTCCCTCCATCCCTCTCTCCCTCCCTCCCTCCATCCATCCATCACCACCTGGCTACCCAGCTGTGCCCTCTCACCTCACAATGTCTAATGAAGTTGCTAAGACTTCTCCCCTTACTTCTGTTAGTGATGGCTGGCTGCTGCGGAGGCTGAAAAAAGATGGAGCTGATGCAGCAGCAAAGGAAGTGGCAAAGGAAGGAAATGAGCTTTGTGTCAAAAGTACCAAGAAGAAAAAAACCAACCCTTTCATAGAAATTCAGCTAAAATTAAGGTCAGGCCCAGTGGTTCATGCCTGTAATCCCAGCACTTTGGGAGGCTGAGGTGGGCAGACCACTTGAGGCCAGGAGGTCTTAAGTAAATGGATGATTGACGGTCAGAGCCAGACTTCTCACTGTTGGTGGAAGGGAAAGAGGCTAGAATGATCCATGAGGTAATGGAATAGAGTTGGGACATCCCTATGAATGCATATTTAACTTGATATCACTATAAATGGTCACACACAGCAATGTTTATGGATATATGTAAATATATGGGTTAGTGTATGCACATATATTTCCTTTCTCTTTCAGCTGAGAAGCAAAGACTTCCCCACAGCAACAACCATATCTACCACCTAGATCTTGATATTTAGTACCATTTTTCAATAAAAGGAACCAGGGCTTCTTGGAGAAATGGCTGATTCTACTAGCGGAGGAGAAAATATACAAGATGTCTGAAATATCCTGTAGAGCCAGAAATTGAGGAAGTGCTCAAACACACACACACACACACACACACACACACACACACACACACACACACACAAAGGAGTATGTCATAGGTACAGAGAAGTCAACTGAAAGAGCTTGCAGCATGGCCAAAGCTGGAAAAAAAAGCAAGAAAGCAAGAGAAAGACAGAGAGAGACGGGGAGAGGAAAGAAGGAAGGAAGGAAGGAAGGAAAAGAAGGGAATTAGATTATAACTCAAAACATTAAAAAAAAATCCTTGGGTCCACGTTGATATAAATAAATGACTAAATAAGAACTTCCAATAATTTATATAAATCCTCTGTCTTAAAGAGATGGGCTGTAAGTCCCTCCTCCTTAAGTGTGGGCCATGCATAGCAACTTCCTTCCAAAGAGCACAGAACAGAAGTGTTGGGGGGGGAGCGGGGTCACTTTACAGCAGAGAAGCCTGACTAACACAATCTCAGCCAGGTGATCAAGGTAAAAGCAGCAGTGATAATCCATCTTGATAGTATGTACCCTTGGCATGATGTGATGAAAATGGCATTCTGCCTCTGTGGTCTTGCTCCCACCAACACTTAACTCCAGTCTAATGGGAAACACATTAGACAAATGTCAATGAGGGATATGCTACAAAATACCTGTCCAATATTCCTCAAAACTGTCAGGCTCACAAAAAAGAAAGTCTGAGAATCTGTCACAGCCAAGAAGAACCTAAGGAGATGGATGACTAGAATGTCATGTTGTATCTGGGAGGGATTCCAGAACACAAAAAGGACAACAGGTAAAAAATAAGGCAATAAAAATTAAGTATAGATGTCAGTTAATCATAACATACCAATATTCATATAGCATTACATTAATTGTAACAAATGGATCATGCCAATGTAGGAGGTTAATAATAGGGGAACTTGAGTATGGCATATATGGAAACTCTGTACTGTCTTCCCAATTTTTCTGTAAACCTAAAACTGCTCTAACGTATAGCGCTTTTTTTTTTTTTTAGGTGGAGTCTCGCTCTGTTGCCCAGGCTGGAGTGTAGTGGCGTGATCTCAGCTCACTGCAGCCTCCACCTCCTGGGTTCAAGCAATTCTCCTGCCTCAGCCTCCTGAGTAGCTGGAACTACAGGTGCCTGCCACCACACCCAGCTAATTTTTGGATTTTTAGTAGAGTTGGGGTTTCGCCATGTTGGCCAGGCTGGTCTCGGACTCCTGACCTCCTGTGATTTGCCTGCCTCGGCCTCCCAAAATGCTGGGATTATAGGCGTGAGCCATTGTGCCTGGCCATATACTGCTTATTTTTAATAGAATAGTATATGAAAGTACCTGGCACATTGTAAACATTCAACATGTGCATGCTGACTTCACCGACTTGTATTCTTGGCACAATTCCTCAGAGAAGTGGTGTCTTCCTTGTCCTGGGCATTCTGTGTATGGGCTAGAATAATCAGAATTTTCCCAAATCCTGTGAAGTTAGCTCCACTCTTGAACGGGAATATAGAATATGTTTTTAGAAAGAAAACAAACAGATTAAATAAAACAGAGTCTGGAACCAATATAGACTTGAACATCAAAGAGCAGAGAATGACACATAAGCACAAAGGCAAAGTTGAAACTGACTCACTTCACAGAAGATAACAAGAGATGCAGTGAACTGACTGATTAGTCATGCCGCCTGCTCTAATTGTAATTACAAAAGCCAAACTGTTTTTATGGGCAACACCCAATGAGCCAGACGAAACAGGAGGAATTATTAAAGGGAGTGTTTGAACAGGGGTGCTGAATGATGACACCAGCTTCCTTGCTTCTGAGAACGTATAGCAAATGTTGTCCCAACAGCCTGCAGCAAGGAGGGGGAAAGCAACACTTTAAAGGAGCTTAAGTCATCTAGTGACAAGGATCCAACACCACCACCAGTGAAGGAAGGGATTCAGGCAATCAGGGTTCTGGAAGCTCCCAGTGAGATGCAAAGGTTGAACTATGGAGAGGGTCAGGGTTTCTAGTCCTAGATCTCAGAGGTCAAAGTTTTTGTGCTTTTTCTTGCTCATTATGAAAAAAGGATTTCTTTTTCAGTAATTACTTCCTCATTTGTATCTATTTTTCTTTTTCTTTTTGAGACAGAGTCTTGCTTTGTCACCCAAGCGGGAGTGCAGTGGTGCAATCATGGCTCACTGCAGCCTCCACCTCCTGGGCTCAAGTAATCCTCCCACCTCAGCCTCCCAAGTAGCTGCAACTACAGGCATGTGCCACCACACCTGGCTAATTTTTGTATTTTTTGTAGAGATGGGTTGCATCCTGTTGCTCAGGCTGGTCTCGAACTCCTGGGCTCAAGTGATCCACCTGCCTCAGCCTCCCAAAGTGCTGGGATAACAGATATGAGCCACCACCTGTATCTATTTTTCTATGTTATCTTTGTTAACATTCACAATTAAGCAAGCAAGCAAACCAAATACATACCAGGTGTGAGAACTTGCTAGCAAATAAATGCAAACCATGTACCCCTGGGACTCTTCATATAGAGGGATCTGAATTGTTAAATGTAATAACTACTGTGTAACAACAGGGCTGTGTTTTACTTTAAGCTATAGGTATCAGCATGGGTAGAACTTTCAGGCATTCAAATCTGTATCCATTTTCCAGCAAGAGAGAATGATTGATGATGAAGCTTTAAGAGCTCTAAAATAAGAGTAAACATACTTCGTGTGTATTTTATTATTAAGAATTATATTGAGGCAGTTTATATTATACAAATAACCACTTTGGTTCTGCATGGCTCACATGTAATACCACAGTTGTTTTTTTCTTTTCTCAGAGTTTGTTTTGAGACAGGGTCTCACTCTGTCCCTCAGGCTGAAGTGCGGTCATGGCTCACAGCAGCCTCGACCTCCCAGGCTCAAGTGATCCTCCCACTTCAGTTTACAAGTAGCTTGAACTACAGGCATGCACCACCATGCCTGGCTAAATTTTGTGGATACGGCATCTTGCTATGTTGCCCAGGCTGGCCTCAAACTCCTGGGCTGAAGTGATCCTCATGGCCTCAGTCTCCCGAAGTGCTGGGATTACCGGCATGAGCCACTGTGCCCGGCCTAATACCAAAGTTTTGATTACGTTGACATCCTTTTCATCTTAGCCTAATTTAACTTAAATCCTAGATTCTGAAAACTAGATCCTTTTGAGAAATAGCCACAGCATTGAAGAATACAGTAAGATATTACTAACGGCAATACTGAAATTGTTTACAACATCTAGACTTACAGAGAAATCTAGAAACCATTATATTCGGGGTTCTCTGGCTTTGGGTCCTTCTTAGATTCCATTCTCAGGTCTTGCATAGGGACTTCCATGGACTGAGCCTCTTCTTCAAGGGTCTCTATCTTGGTTGCATTTTGGATGCTGCTTTAAAAAATCACAATGCCTAGGCCACTCCTCAGATCAAATAAACACACATCTTAGGCGGTGGAATCCAGGGATCACTATTTGTAAAGTTTCCAGGTGATTCCAAAGTGCAGCCAAAGTTGAGAACCACTGTCCCTATATAATGATTGTTATTATGATTATTTGTTTATATTTTGATACAGAATCTCACTCTGTCACCCAGGCTGGAGTGCAGTGGCATGATCTCGGCTCAGTGCCGACTCCACCTCCTAGGTTCAAGCTATTCTTGTGCCTCAACCTCCCCAGTAGTTGGGATTACAAGCAAGCACCACCACGCCCAGCTAATTTTTGTATTTTTAGTAGAGACAGGGTTTCACCAGGTTGACCAGGCTGGTGTCAAACTCCTGACCTCCAGTGATCGGCCTGCCTAGGCCTCCCAAAGTGCTGGGATTACAGGTGTGAGCCATGGCCCCCAGCTCCCACCGCCCCCCCCTTTTTTTTTCCTTTTGAGACGTCCGCATTTTAAAAGAGAATTCTTAATGAAAAACGAGATTGCATACTGAACTTTGGGGTCATACTTTCTAGTAACATTTGAATAATTAAAAATTAAATTAGACTTTGAGAAACTCTTTCACAGACACTACACAAAGGGTTTCCCCTACATTTGCAATAGATGTGGGGTGGCACAATCCATTTTAAAACAAAATGAGGAATGAACATTAATGAAACTACTAACTGGTAAATTATTTATAGACCATATAGTTCTGCTAAAACAGTAACTTACTTTTTTTTTTTTTTTTTTTTTTTTTGAGACAGAGTCTTGCTTTGTCGGCCAGGCTGGAGGGCAGTGGCATGATCTCGGCTCACTGCAACCTCCGTCTCCTGGGCTCAAGCAATTCTGCCTCAGCCTCCCAAATAGCTGGGATTACAGGTGTGTGCCACCACGTTCAGCTAATTTTTGTATTTTCATTAGAGACGGGGTTTCACGATGTTGGCTAGGCTGGTCTCGAACTCCTGACCTCCGGTAATCTGCCCGCTTCGGCCTCCCAAAGTGCTGGGATTACAGGCATGAGCCACCGCATCCAGCCGCTACTTACTTTTTTAAAAAAATTCACATTTTATTCATTGAAGTTGACTTGCTCTTTTTTCCTTATATAAATAAGTAACAAGATAATTTCATTCAGTGAGATTAGTGAGGTGACTATAGATCTTTGAAATGAATACAATAAAATGTTAATTTTGTGATCCTATTTATTCTGCTTAAGTTTCTACATGATAGGAAGCAAATGCAAATTTTGACCTATGGTCATTCCTTAATATTTCCAGCAGCAGAAAAACAAATCTATTAGAGTGCCTGAATTTTACAAGCAAATTCAACATATTTTATACAGACAAACATACTAATGTCTTGGATGTAGTTATTCATAGTCCTAGATACTTACTGAGCTCTCACTCAGCATTTCTTCATTTTATTTCTCAATTTTCTTGACACATTTTTACCTTCTGAAGGAAGAACTCTGCTTCTGTTAACCCTTTATGCAACTTTTACACACATGTGTTTAGGGTGTGGCACAATCAGATTGGGATTTTTTTTTTTTTTTGAGACAGGGTCTTGCTCTGTCACCCAGCCTGGAGTACAGTGGTGCAATCTTGATTCACCGCAATCTCTGCCTCCCGGGCCAAGTGATCCTCCCGCCTCAGCCTCCCAAGTAGCTGCGATCACAGGTGCATGCCGCCACGCCTGGCTGTTTTTTTTTTTTGTATTATTAGTAGAGATGAGGTTTCACCATGTTGCCCAGGCTGGTCCCAAACTCCTTGCCTGAAGTGACTCACCCACTTCGGCCTCCCAGAGTGCTGGAATTATAGGCATGAGCCACCCTGCCTGGCCTCATTTGGGATTTAGAAAGACATTCTCGTCTTTCTAAAGGATGCCTGGCAGAACAAATAACTGGCGGCAGAGAGATCAGTAGGAGAGCATTAGCTTACTTTGTGAATTACTGTATCCAGATTGAGGAATGAGTTCCTGAATGAGCGCTTACAGCAACTGAATCACCTGCTGTCACAACAAACCAATTCCTCACTTGAAAAGATTTTAAATTGGGGAATTGTGAATGCTTTTAAATGAGCTATAACAAGCACAAAATATAGTTAAACGACTTTGGGGAATCAGTTGCTCAGAACTAAATATCCCAAATTCTATTCATCTGGCTCTGACGTTGACTCATTCATTGATCTTTAGGGATTTAGTTAGTCTATGCTTTAGTTTTCCCATCTATAAAATGCAGCATTAGCATCTGTGTCATGGAGCAAAATCATTAATTATTTACATGCACTGTGAAGATGAAAAGTACAAGTAGTTAAATTCCATGAAAGTTCCCAAGGAAGAGGTTGCTAAAGATGAGTGAAGTTCATTGTTCTAGCTAGAAGTTAGAATCTCTTTAATGTTAGTGCCTTTTTAACACTTTATTCATTGATGCAATAAATATTCATTTGTGACCTACCCTGTGCCAAGGCCAAGGTTAAAAGTCAATGGTGAATAAAACAGTCAAATTTCCTTCCTCATGAGGTTATAGTCTTATAGGGGAAGAAGACAACAAACAAACATATCAGGTAGTGGTAAGTGCATGGAGGGAGGAGATAGGATATGGGTAAAGAAATAGAGAGGTAGACAAAGTAAGAGTAGGGATCCTATTGATCCCCGGTACCAATTTTCCGTGTTAGCCGGTTCTCGCATTGCTATAAAGAAATACTTGAGACTGGGGTAATTTACAAAGAAAAGAGGTTTAGTTGACTCATTCCCCAGGCTGTACAGGAAGCATGATTCTGGCATCTGCTCAGCTTCTGGGGAGATCTCAGGAAACAATCATGGTGGAAGGGGAAGAGGAAGCAGGCACCTACCTCTTACATGGCCATAGCAGGAGCAAGAGAGGGAGATGCTACACAATTTTTAAACAGCCAGATCTCACAAGAACTCACTCACTATCACAAGAAGAGCACCAAGGGGGAAATCCACCCCCATGGTTTAATCACCTCCCACCAAGCCCCACCTTGAACATGTTCAATTACAATTGAACATGAGATTTGGGTGGGGACACAGATGCAAACCATATCGCGGTGGCTAGAGCAGGTGTCTAGGGAAGGTTACAAGAAAAAGCAGGGAGAGGAGGTTCTTGCAAACATCTTAAGAGAGCTTTCTAAACAAAGGGAATCATAAATAGAATGTGTGGGGGCCTATAAGTTACAATACAAAGGCTTGGCAGCTGGGATGGAGTGACTGGGGGGCTTGTGTAAGTCAATATCAACCCGTGTGTCCTAAGAGTGAGAGTAAGATAGGCAGACTTCTTCTCCAAGTAAACAGTGATGGTCTACAGGGCAGCATAGGAATTCCAAAAATAGAGTCCATTGTTTCTTCATCAAATATTTATTAGTGCCCTTTATTTTCTCGACTTTTTTTAAGATAAAACAACAAACTTGGTTCTCAAGAAGTACACAGTTTAGAGAATATATACACAAATTCACTCTTAGTTTGGGCAAGCAAACTAAAGTTTAGATTCCAATAGGTAACACATTTTGGTTAAAAATCATAGATTCTGATTTTATTTATGTAAGGTTAACAGCAATATGTGTTTACAGGTGTGCTCTTTTTTCCCTCTCTTTTTAAATTTAAGTGACTCATGGTTGACACTGTTTCATCTCTACCCTCCTTGTTAGCACTCACCAGATTTTTCTGAAGCAAATGACAGCATTATTTCATCTGTAAAGATTTCACTAAGTAGCTCTAAAAGAGAGTCTTTGAAAGAGATCAAAATTAATAATAATTCTTCTACATCATTGCACATCTACTTAGTATTCAAATTTCCTTCACTATCTCACAATTTATTTATTTCTGTTCTTTTTATTTTCTTGTGAGTCAGAGTCTCACTCTGTTGCCCAGGAGTGCAGTGGCGAGATCTCAACTCACTGGGACTTCTGACTCCTGGTTCAAACATTTCTCGTGCTTCAGCCTCCCTAGTAGATGGGACTACAGGCACGTGCTACAACACCCGGCTAGTTTTTGCATTTTTAATTGAGATGGGGTTTCACCATGATGGCCAGGCTGGTGTCGAACTCCGGACCTCAAGCTGTCTGCCTGCCTTGGCTTCCCAAAGAGTGGGGATTACAGGCATGCACCACCATGCCTAGCCTTTTGTTTGTTTGTTTTACAATTCAGTGGATTTAAAAAATTGTGGTAAAATATACACAACGTAAGATTTACCATTGTTAAGTGTAAAGTTGAGTGACGTTAACTTCATTCATATTGTCATGCAATCATCATCACCATCCATCACCAGAGAGTCTTCATCTTCCCAAACAGAAATTCTGCACCCATTAAACAGTAGCTCTCCATTCCCCAGCCCACTCAACTCCCTCAACAGTGTGACAATCAACATTCTGCTTTCTGGCTCTGAATTTGACTTCTCTAGGTGTCTCATATTAGTGAACTCATACAATATTTGACCTTTTGTGACTGGCTTATTTCACTCAGCATCACATCTTCAAGACCCACCCACATTATAGCATATATCAGAATTTCCCTCCTTTTTATGGCTGAATAATATCCCACTGCATGAATATACTACATTTTGTTTTTATCCAATTGTCTCATTCTTTTTTTTTTTGAGACTGAGTCTCACTCTGCCACCCAGGCTGGAGTTTAGTGGTGCTATCTCGGCTCACTGCAACCTCTGCCTCCCGAGTTAAAATGATTCTCATGCCTCAGCCTCCCCAGTAGCTGTGATTACAAGCTCATGGCACCATGCCTGGCTAATTTTTGTATTTTTAGTAGAGACGGGGTTACACCATGTTGGCCAGGCTGGTCTCGAACTCCTGACCTCAAGTGATCCACCAGCCACAGCCTCCCCAATGTCTTATTCTTTTTAATTGTTTTATTTTCATCTTCATTTGCAAATTGACTGAATTTGGGGGGACAACACTACATAAAAATACATGGTAGCAATATTTTTCAAAAAGCTAAAGAGATGAGCAATGTAATATTAAATGACCAAATTTCACCTTTTGTAAGACTTTTATAGGAGCTCTAACAATCCAAGGTTAACTACTTTAGAATAAAAATGAACTGCGGTCCACAGTTGCAGGGCCGGTCTATTGTTTTGTTCTGTGGATGTGGTGTCTCTGCTGCACACTGACGTCGTTGCAGGTCACCCAGAACACGTGAGATCAGCTCTGCATGCTCAGCGAGGCTGGTCAAAAAACAGGGCTATTATCTAGCACCATGCTTCAGTGGCCCCTAGCAAAAACGCTCCCAGAGTGCTCCTTCCATACAGAATTTCCCGACACATCTCTAGCTAGTGTCCAAAGCCGCAAGATGCTAAACGTCTGTATCATCATTTAGTTGCTTTTAATGTGGTCTCTTGAAAGAATAGGTAAATGTCAGAGAGACCGATGTGAATAGATATGTTACATTATTAATGTCAAGCAGGGAATGAAAATCTGGAGATTCTGAATTCATTATCGCTACATTATTTACATATTGATGGGGTTAGGGATCTTGGAGTTACAGTTCTATAACATTCCCCCATATCCTTCCAATCTATTCTTTTCTTGAGACAGGGTCTTCCTCTGTAGCCCAGCCTACTCTGTAAAAATACAATGCTGAGGCCAGGCGTGGTGGCTCATGCCTGTAATCCCAGCACTTTGGGAGGCTGAGGTGGGCAGATCATGAGGTCAGGAGTTCGAGACCAGCCTGGCCAACATAGTGAAACCCCGTCTCTACTAAAAATACAAAAAAATTAGCCAAGAATGGTAGCACATGCCTGTAGTCCCAGCTACTAGGGAGGCTGAAGCAGGAGAATCACTTGAACCCAGGAGGCAGAAGTTGCAGTGAGCCAAGATCACACCACTGCGCTCCAACCTGCATGACAGAGCGAGACTGTGTCTCAAAAAATAAAAAAAAAAATACTATGCTGGCCAAGTGTGGTGGCTCACAATTGTAATTCCAATATTTTGGTAGGCTGAGGCAGGTGGATTGTTCGACACCAGCCTGGACAACATGGTAAAACCCCATCTCTACAAAAAATACAAAATTTAGCCAGGCATGGTGGCGTGCACATGTAGTCCCAGCTACTCACGAGGCTGAGGTAGGAGAATCATGTGAGCCTGGGGAGATAAAGGCTGCAGTGAGCTGTGATGGAGCCACTGCACTCCAGCCTGGGCAACAGAGTGAGAATCTGTCTCAAAAAAGAAAAAAAAATACTATGCCAAGGTTGGCATCGGGATCATATACTGAAAACACTGTGTATAACTATCCTTAAGACACATTACATTTAAAATATTTTAATTGGATGAACAAAACTAGTAAATTGTGTCTAATTTCCCACAGTTGCAAAATGTCCTTCACTGACATGAAATATAACAGATTTTTAACTATTTTAATATATTTTCTGTATTTTGTAGCTCCTGTGCACCCATACATATTCAAACCCCTTTTGTAGAAAAATTCCTTATAGACGAGAGAGGAAACATATTTTTTACTTCACACTGGAGTCTGGCCTTACCTGTTTGAAGTCTGAGTAAACCTAAACGTGGTATAAAATAAAGCTTTCTTTTTACTCATTTATTTATATTATTAAAAATTTTTTTCTATCCAAAAAGCTGAGATACAATAAAATAAAGTTTTCTAATCAAGTAAAAGTTCTATCCAAAATATGCATCAATGGAGAATCCTGGAATGTTGATCTCGAATGAAATTTAAAGGTTGTATAATTCTGTGGGTCAGTCTCTCTTGGGTTCATGAATTGAGAATCTGATGTAAGCTATGAATCTTTTTCCTAGAAAAATGCATATTATTTTGCTGATAATTTTACCTGTTCATGGACCTTCTGATGCCCATCATCAGACTCCAAATTAAGAATGTGATGTACATCTGTAATCCCAGCACTTTGGGAGACCAAGGCAGGTGGATCACTTGAGGTCAGGAGTTTGAGACCAGCCTGGCCAATATGGTGAAACATCGTCTCTACTAAAAATACAAAAATTAGTTGTGCATGGTGGCAGGTGCCTGTAGTCCCAGCTACTCAGGAGGCTGAGGCAGGAGAATTGCTTGAACCCGGAAGGCGGAGGTTGCAGTGAGCCGAGATTGCACCACTGCACTCCAGCCTGGATGATAGAGCAAGACTCCGTCTACAAAAAAAAAGAGAACCTGATATAATTCAACTCCTTCCTTTTATAGTTGATGGAATTGACAGTCATGGTGGCTATGCAACTTGCCCATGGTCACAGAGTGAGGGAGGGTAGAGATTTCACTATAATTACAATGGGGCTTTGTCTATCACTTGATTACAAAACTCCACCTAACAGATTATCCATGTGACAGGTACCATTGCACCCGATGTACCTCCTTACCCAGTCTTTGATAATACCTCAAATTCTCACATGTGGGGTCTTCTGGTAGCATATTTGTATCAACTTGGACAAGGCATCAAGCACCATCTTCCATGCACATGCCAGGTGAAGGCAAACTAGAGTATAATATGGGTCATTAGCCCAGACTCCTGTCTCTCAGGCTCAATCCCCTTTGGTGCTCTTGGTCTCTTTACCTGCTGTTAAGCTTGACACCTACACATGTTCGCCTATTGTCCAATGATCAGCTCTACACAAAGGGATGAGGGGTAGAGAAATAGGGTGTTTATAAAGGGAGGGGTGGGGCAGAAGAGTCTGTTTAAAAGGATTAAAGTTAAGCAAAAACAGCATATTCAGAACTTCATCTGCTTCAATTTTTTTTTTTTTTTTTCAGCTAGAAGTGAGAGTGCTGGAAATGTTTTGTACTGAAATACTAAGCAACCAGATTCCTGACATTGTTGAAATGTATTTAAAAATCCCCAATTTTATGAGTCTCATGCAATTAACTTGGAGAAACTGCACATGTTGAATAAGGATTGTGTTATGGCCAAGAAGGAAGCACAGAGTGTGATATTCCAGGAAAGAGGGGGATTTCCTTGTGAACATATTTGCTCTGAATCATAAATTGAGATATAGAAATATCACATTAAATATTACAAGTATTTTTGTGATTGAACAAAGTGTATGTATATTTTTGCGTGAATTTCTTTTGATATATAATTTATTCTGATAAAGATCATACCTATTATAGGAAATTTGAAAAATAAAAAAGAAAGAAAAGAAAATTGCTGTAATTCCAGTAAGCAGAACTAACAACTACTCATAATCTGATGCATATATTTTCAGGCTTTTTTCTATGAATACATATTTACACACACATTATATATATAATTACAAATAGATCTATTTTATTTATCAAAGTAAGGTCATGTTTATATGAAGGACTGTAGTTTGATCTTGTCAACAAATACTACAGCATAAGTATTTTTAAAAGTTATTAAATTTTCTTGGAAAACAGTTTTTAATAGCTACATGGATTCCATCATATATCCATGCCAACATTTATTTAATCATTTGGAAATCCAGAGTGTTTTCAGTATTCCCCTCTACATATCCTTGTATGTCGATCTTTGGGTGCATCTCTATTTCTTTAGAATTTTTTAAAAAATTTTTTTCGTAATTTTTATTTTAGTAGAGATGGGGTTTCACCACGTTGGCCAGGCTGGTCTCAAGTACTCCTGTCCTCAAGTAATCCACCCGCTTCGGCCTCCCAAAGTGCTTGGATTACAGGTGTGAGCCACTGTACCAAGCCTTTTTAGAAAACTTTTTATTTTTCTCAGCTTTTTGGCTAGCAGAAATTTCTAAAAGTAAAATAATTCCCAAGAGTAGAACATTTTCTTAGGTTTTTGCTGTATATTATTAAATGTTTATGTACCGTTCTACCAATTTGCACCTCTAGCTGCAGTATTTGTTAGTGTTACTTTTGCCTATTCTCTGGTTAATATTGGATGTTTAAAAATTGATTCCAATTTGAGAGGCTAAATATGGTATCCTATTTTAATTTGCATTAGTTTGATTACTCTTCAAAGTTAAACTATTTTAAAAATATGTTTACTAGCTATTTGCATTTGTCCTAATGCAAACTGTTTTGCCTGTTTTTGTATTATGGTACTCATCTTTCGCAAATTGATTGGTAGGAACTCCTTATATATTTTTACCATAAACCCTATGTCGTATGTATTGAAAACACTTTATCATTGTCTTTAACTTATGATGACACTTTTTTTCTCTAATAAATCATGAAATGTCACCTGTGCCCCCATGTTGCAAAGCTGTTGTAAAACTGATTTGCTTTACAAGGGGGCAGGTCTCAGCGTGTTTATCTGATGGGATGAATGGAATGAAACAGACATGTGCAGGGTTTTGGGAATCAAAGCAGAAGTTTTGAAGCTGAAGTCCTTAGGTCCTCTGGTTTCTATCAGATATTCTCATTCTAATTATAAACATACATTTTCCCAATCAACACCCCAATTTTAGTTTCAAAAATGGTTACAATAAAGGATCTGGTTGCTACTAAGCATGATACATAATTAGCATGGTTTGTGTCCTTACAGATGTGTTTCTTTTGGGACAGGGTCTCGCTCTGTCACCCAGGTTGGAGTGTAGGGGTGCAATCTCGGTTCACTGCAACCTCTGCCTCCCAGGCTCAAGCAATTCTCATTCTCAGCCTCCCGAGTAGCTGGGACTACAGGTGCCTGCCACCACACCCGGCTAACTTTTGTATTTTTTGTGCAGAAGGGATTTCGCCATGTTGCCCAGTATGGGCTTGAACTCTTGAACTCAGGTGATCCACACGCCTTGGCCTCTCAAAGTGCTGGGATTACAGGCATGAGCCACCATGAATGGCCCTTATAGATGCTTTTTAGATTAACTTTCAGCAAGATTAGACGGCTGGCTGTGATCAGAAAGGCTTCTGGTACATAACTGTATTCTTACTCTATTTTCCATTGTCTTCTTTCAGCAAGGCAAGCTTGGCCTGAAGTCTCTCTCTTTCTTGCTCTTACTGTACTTCCTTGAAAGTCTACAAGAACTGCACACATGAAACCATACTGTTTCTTGGTTAGAGGACTATCCACTTCTCACCCCATCTGCTTTGATATAACAATTTCCTTTAATGGACTGTAACTTGTAAACTCACTTCCAGATAAAAATTTCTATGTTAAGATTCTTTGGGTTTTAAAGAAGAGAAACCAATTCAAAGGCACTCTAGCAAAAGCAGGAGATTTATTGTAAGTCTCGAAGGCAGGGAGAGGAGCTAGGATTCAAGAATACCAGTCAAGAAAGCAAAATGTTGGAAACTCAAGAAACGTGGCCTCTCATATTTGCCATCTTCTTTCTCGGTGGACTGGCTTTTCTCTGCTCCTAAGTCCCCTTAATAGTCTGGAGTTGCCTTCTTATGGTTCCAAATTTACCATCTGGACCCAGAGAAAGACTGGCTTTCCTTCTCTCAACCCCAAGTCCAAATTTCTTGCTGTATTTTTTTTTTTTTTTTTTTTGAGACGGAGTCTCGCTCAGTCGTCCAGGCTGGAGTTTGATGGCGCAATCTAGGCTTACTGCAACCTCTGCCTCCTAAGTTCAAGTGATTGTCAAGTAGAGACGGGGTTTCACCGTGTTGCGCAGGCTGGTCTCAAACTCCCGCACTCAGGCAACCCACTCGCCTCGGCCTCCCAAAGTGCTGGGATTATAGGCGTGACCAAGTCCAAATTTCTAAGAAAGAGACTTTGGCCCCGTTTCAGTTAAGCACCTACCTCAGGTCTAATTATTCGAAGGCAAGGATGTGGGGTCACATGGACAAATGGCTCCTGACAGCCCACTACTGGGGGAGACAGGGAGCAGTTGAAGAGCCATTGTGAATTTACACAGATACGAAAAAGCTGTGCATCACAGCAACTGTATTTTTAAAAGCATGTCCTAGAATCTTTTGTCAGATTTAATGTTACGCATGAGGATATTTAAAAATAAACTATCCATTTTAAGAACATCATCCGTAAGAAAGTGAACACTAAAATTTAAGAGGAAACCTGAGTTTGGTTCCAGTTAAATCCAGTTGCTCTGCAGAGACACAGCCTGTAACACAGTCATGATAAGCAGCAGAGACATATGATTATGTCCTAAGCTGCTAGGATAAGGCTTCTATAATTTTTCCAAACAATTTTGGAGGATATTTTCATTTAATTGGTACAACATGTTAAACTTGCTAATAAGAACTTACTAAAATAAGCCCAACTAAGAAAAATAATAATAAATTCAGCGTTCCATACTAGAACAAAACCAAACCTGTAATACATAAACTTAATATTCCAAGTATTGTTTTGAAAATATAAATTAAATGTTAACATCATTGTATTCAAGATCCACCAAGGCAATGGAACAATATTCTCTTACAGAGAAAGGGAACGGCTTCCTCAAATTGTTCTTAAATACCAGAACAGCTGCTGTAATTAGGGGACAAAGGAACCAGACAGAGGGGTCTGTTAGCTACTTCCATCAAATCAGAGAATTTTGAAACAGAGTGTATCTTGTTAACTTTATCAGAGGACCACAGCTTTGGAAGAGCACCTTAATCAATAGTGGCTAAATGCTTTATGTGTACGCTTTGAGGGAGAGAACAAAGATAGAAGTCTTCTTAAGTTGTCTCGAGTCCAGGCAGCTTAGCCAGGGCCTTACATAAATATTTGTGGGGTTAGTAATGAACTTATGACCAACGGCGATGCTTACATTATTATACACCATAGTCCCTTATGGCATTATTTCAAGGACTCTTATTTCATAGGATGACATCGAGAGTAGACTAGGTTTTCTTGTTTTGTTTTACAGAAAAGTAAACAGAAGTTGTTTTTGCTATGAGTCATTAGTATCAGAAATAAATGATAACTTTGGTTTTCCTGGGTTTATTAAATACATGGCTTCATCATGTTGATGAAAAAAGTCAAACTCTAAAATATTTGAAGAAATATTTTAATCGGATCCCAATATGAGTGACCATGGCCGGTGACACAGCCCTCAGGAAGTCCTGAGAACACGTGCCCTAGGTGTGGGGCACAGCTTGGTTTATACATTTTTGGGAGACATAAAATATCAATCAAATTCTTTTCTGTTTGTTTTTTGAGACAGAGTCTCACTCTGTTGCCCAGGCTGGAGTGCAGTGGCATGATCTCGGCTCACTGCAACCTCTGCCTCCTGGGTTCAAGCGATTCTCCTACCTCAGCCTCCAGAGTAGCTCGGATTACAGGCACGCGCTACCAGGCCTGGGTACTTTTTGTAGTTTTAATAGAGACGAGGTTTCATCATGTTTGCCAGGCTGGCCTCAAATTCCTAACCTCAAGTGATCAGCCCACCTCAGCCTCCCAAAGTGCTGGCATCACAGGCATAAGCCACCTCACCCGGCCAATCACATACATTTAAGATGTACATTGGTTTGTGTCAGAAAGGTGGGACAACTCAAAGCGGGGGTGGGGCTTCCAGGCTATAGGAAGATTTAAAATTTTTCTGGTTGACAATTTGTTGAGTATATCTAAAGACCTGGGATCAATAGAAAGGAAATGTCTGGGTTAAGATAAAGGATTTTAGTGACCAAAGTTTTTACTACGCAAGAGGAAGTCTTCAGGTAGCAGGCTTCACAGAGAATAGGTTGTAAATGTTTCTTACCGGACTTAAAAGGGTGCTAGGCTCTTTCTTAGTTGATTCGCTCCTGGATCCAGAAAAAGGCCTGGAAAAAGGGAAAAGGGGATTATTTATAGAATGCAGATTTTTCCCCACAAGAGACGACTGTGCAGGACACTTTCAAGGTATGGCAAGGAAACATATTTGGGGTTAAAATATTTTGATTTACTTCCTTGTTATGTGATGTTAGGACAGAGTCAGGTTGGAAGGCAGGCCACATTATATAGGGTTAAATATAACCTCTCTGATGAGATTTTATGGTTTGTAGGCCGTGACTCCCCAGGCCCCTAGGGTAGGAATTTGGGCAAGAGAAGAAAAAAAGTCAAAGTTTAGTCTGTCTTCAATAATAATATTAATATTAATAACAATAGTTACACTAATTTGGTAGGACTTAACATTTTTTTTTCCCTAGTTTTTTTTGAGACAGAGTCTGTCCGTTTCTTAGGCTGGAGTGCAGTGGCATGATCTTGGCTCACTGTAACCGCCACCTCCCAGGTTCAAGCAATTGTTGAGCCTCAGCCTCCTGAGTAGCTGGGATTACAGGCTTTTGCCATCATGCCTGGCTAATTTTTGTATTTTTTGTAGAGACGAGATTTCACCATGTTTGCCAGGCTGGTCTCGAACTCCTGACCTCAAGTGATTTGACCACCTTGGCCTCCCATAGTGGTTGGATTACAGGCATGAGCCACCATGCTGGGCTGGACTTTACATTTTCAATGCTACGCTTTATAGTATGTGTTAGGTCATTGTAGAGTTTTCTGAAATTTTGGAACTACGATGTTCAAAAAGGAGGGCCCAATATCCCTGGGTCGTTTATTTAAAAGGTAGGTACTAGTACATTTATTTTTAAATATGAAAAATATTTCAAAGCCTTGTGGACGGAAGCAAGGTCTTAAACCATTTATCTCACTGTGACTGCATCTCATTATAGTTCAGACTGGTAACTGAAACTCCATTCCCAGGGCTACACAGCTTATGCTGTGCACACACACCCTTGGAAGAAGGCATGGAAGACAAAAGCACCTAAACTTCACTCACCATGCCTAGGAGCATGGTTGGGTCTGTGGAGAGTGATGCATTGCTCTCCCTTTCACTGAGGCACCATACAGGCCCTGATATGGTTTGACTGTGTCCCCACCCAAATCTCATCTTGAATTTCCACACGCTATGGGAGGGACCTGGTGGGAGGTAATTGAATCATGGGGGCAGGTCTTTCCCATACTGTTCTTGTGACAGTGAAGAAGTCTCATGATATCTGATGGTTTTATAAGGGGAGTTCTCCTGCACAAGCTCTCTCTTTTTGCCTGCTGCCATCCATGTAAGACGTGACTTACTCCTCCTTGCCTTCTGCCATGATCGTGAAGGCCTCCCCAGCCACGTGGAACTGTGAGTTCATTAAACCTATTTTTCTTCCCAGTCTCAGGTATGTCTTCACCAGCAGTGTGAAAACGGACTAATACAGGCCCCTTTTGAAAAGCCCCACAATAGAGTGTCTCCCTGTCCAATGCTTGCCGTTAGCAATAGACACGAAGCGGGGGATGATAGGGACATCCTCTCTGCAACCCATTCTCCCTCTCCCCTCCTCCTGGACATGCTTCATTTCAAAATGCCAAGTATGCTACAGTTAGCCTCATGTGTCATGACTATTTCACAGATATTTTCCGTTGGTCTTTCACTGGACTAATTTTCCTTGTTTTTCTCAGAAAGAGGATGTTTTCTCCAGGATTCGGTGGGCAGTTGGGGGTTGGGAGGGGACACTGCTACTCTGGGACCCCCAGGAAAAGTTCTGGAATTCTAGGTGACGTCGAGGCAAATCCTTTGGCTTGCAGGGAAATGGCCTGGGTCCTGTGGAATATCTTCAGCTGAAAGTACTTTCAACGGATGCTAAAAATACATTACAGTTTATTTTCCCCAGTAGGGAGCGTGTGTGTTCCCACTTGACCTGGAAACACAAAGAGATCCAATGTTAAATGTAATGTTGCTCATTCCAAGATAAATGAGTTTTCTGGAGAGCAAGGGAAAGAAAAAACAACAGTCGTCTGGGTATAGTTTTGCCTTTGCTCTCTGGAGGAGTCAGTGTCTTGAACACATACTTTATGCTCCACGCTTGTAGTTAAGTGGCAATTCTCAGGCTTCTTAGCCATTGCTGATCAGAACTGGCTTGCTTTCAAATCACATGAGTCCAAGGCAGATTTATTAAATTTAGGAAAGAGGGGTGAGGTATGTTTTATATATTTTTTAAATAAAATTTTAAAAAATCCAAACAAAAGGGGTCAGATTCTTTGTATCTAATCTGAGCTTAATAAATTCATCTTCCATCTTTTTTCAAAAAATGCAGTCAAAATATGAAGTCTGAAACACCCTCTAATTGGAGTGTAGATTTACGGTCATTGTTATTAAACCCTTTCTGTGTAAAACTAGCAAATTGAACAAACACAGCTGATCTACAATTAGCATAGACATTCTGTTGGTTTCCTGCAGTGACATTTATGAATAGTTGTTCAGCCCAGTTCTTGTAGTTGGGGACACTGTGTTTAGAGCTTTGGATTGCCCAATATAATATTCTTCAATTTTGTAAGAGCTCAGTTCAATTTCTACTGAAGACTGGGTGGCAGCCCTGTCTCCAGCTGGTACCTCTTTCCCTCTTTTCTACAGCTTAAAATACACAGTCTGTTCCAGGTCAGTTAAGAACCAATCTCCTCCACCCTCCTGACCCCTGAAGAATTAGCACCGTGATTAAATACATGAATTTTACAGTCTGCTTTGTTTTGAGTGAATTTTGCCACTCAGTAGCTCTGCTTTCATTTTTCTCCATCTGTAAATGAGGCTAATGGAACCTACTATTCAGGGCTGTTGTGAAGATTAAATGAAATATTGCATGAAAAGCACACAACACAGTGCCTGGGTGCATGGAAAACTTTTAAGAGATGTTAGCTATCATGACTCGTGATTATTCTGAGATTTCCCATTGAGTGATGCCCAGTGGCAGGAGAGAATGCCATGATCACCAAGACCTCGTTTGACAAAACTGTTTGATGTCCATTTTTAAGACTTTATTTCTAATCCCCTGCTTTGGACCAAGCCTAACACCTTTCGAAGGGCTATCTCTTCCTGGCCGGGTGCAGTGGCTCACACCTGTAATCCCCAGCACGTTGGGAGGCTGAGGCAGGTGGATCACTTGAGGTCAGGAGTTCGAGACCAGCCTGGCCAACATGGTGAAACCCTGTCTCTACTAAAAAATACAAAAATTAGCCGGGCTTGATGGTGTGTGCTTGTAGTCCCAGCTACTAGGGAGGGTGAGGCAGGAGAATCTCTTCAACTGGGGAGGCAGATATTGCAATGAGCCTAGATCACGGCACTGCACTCCAGCCTGGGCAACAGAGCAAGACTCTGTCTCAAATAAATACATACATAAATAAATAAATATTTCTTCCTTTTCCTCTGTCTGTTTTTCTCTTGACTTTTTCCACTTCTATCTCCTCCAAAGACAAGCCAAGAAGGGTGTGGCCTAATTAAAATCTCAAAGGTGAGATTTTCTCTTAGTTGCCTTTAGCCACATAGGAGGAAGCATTGTTGTTGCTGTCATTTATTTAAAGCAAAACACGACCTAAAATTACAAGAAAGGAGAAATGTGGGAAACCCTTTGCCCCTTTTCATGATACAGGCAGCATATCTTCAGCTTCTCCAGACTTCAAGGAGAAAACTCAGTTCATTTTCTCATGAGATGTTTAACCCAGCCCTGGGTCTCATTTGTGTGGAAGGGTTAAGTGATTGCCAAATTTTCTTTCAAGACTAGACAGGTAATTTTCATACTCCAAAGTCAGCTGGAACCTCCAGCCCATGAATATCCTGTCTTCTAAGGTAGTGAACAACTAGGTAAATGAAATCAGAACAAAGTCTAAATCAGAACTAAAGCAGCTGAAAATGTGCTACATTTCCTGGAAGCTGTGCTTTCTGAACTCCTGAAGGGTAAAGGGAGAGTAAGTTAAAGGGTTTGTTTTAAAGACCAAGTCAGTTAACAAATTGTACTAGTTTCCTAAGATTACCCTAGTTTTAAGAACAGAATGTCTCCTATCCTGAGAGACCCCTCAGTCTTGTGCACATTGGAGCATTTTGTCACCTTAAAATCAAGACTTGATTAAGTTGTGATAGATTAAATTAAAATTCAATGGAAAAGGGTGCTCATATGATTTTCAAAATGCATCTTTAATAGAAATAGAATAATATAAATTTAAGTGGAAAAACCATACTGACTAAATATCCTCCTAAGAAGCTATCATTATCTAGGCAAATCCTGGCCACTCTGCCCACGTAGTTATAGTGCTTCGTTTGGTAGCACTTATTCTAATTGCAAACTTGATCCCTATAAGGAAATAATTAGCCTTTATAGGGACTCCTTTTGAAAACCCAAACCTTAAAGTGACACCAAATATCCTATAGGCCAAGAAAGGAAAAAGTTTCCAAAGGAAGTTGTTTAACATTTTCAGCGATGGGAGGTCAAGGAGGAGAAAGGGTGAGTTGACCCTTAAGAGGGAAAGGCTCATCAGCATGGTGGGGATGGAAACCAGATTCCTGGACTGGCCCAAGGAGGGAGCCAGGGGAGAGGAGTCAGACTAGCGTGGACCAATTATGGAAGATATTTGACAGAGAAAGGAAGTAAAGTAGTCAGACAGTAGCTAGGGCATTAGCAAGGTTGAGAGAAATCTGTCAAGATGGAAGAAGGTTGATTGAATATGCTGAAGACACAGCAAAAGAAACTAGGATGAAAGCTTACTTGGGGCTTGTTGATAGTTTTAGCAAAGGATAGGAACAAACTACTCTTGCCCACCTCTATTCAGACTTTTTTTTTTTTGAGACAGCGTCTCGCTCTGTCGTCCAGGCTGGAGTGCAGTGGCACGATCTCGGCTCACTGTGACCTCTGCCTCCTGGGTTCAAGTGATCCTCCTGCCTCAGCCTCCTGAGTAGCTAGGATTACAGGAGTGCATCACCACGTCTGGCTAATTTTTTTTTTTTTGTATTTTTAGTAGAGAGGGGGTGTCACCGTGTTGGCCAGGCTGGTCTTGAACTCCTGACCTCAAGTGATCCGCCCACCTCTACCTCCCAAAGTGTTGGGATTACAGTCGTGAGCCATCACACATTGCCAATCCAGACTGTTCTTGACAAAAGACGCTTATCTGGAGCATCTAGGATTCTCCCTTCTAAACAGCCATGTTTCAAGGCCTCACTCAAGACACAACCTCTTTCCATGTACTCTCCACTCTCCTGAATGACTCTGCTCTTGCAGACAGGGTCTAGACTCTGGAACAAAGCCAATGTGTATGGAATGCTCTTGCCATCATAAGGCAGCAGCGAAAGAGAAAACAATCTAAGAGTCAGAAAACAGGATATATTAAAAGGCTTAAGCTGAAAAGGTTTTGGAAAGTTTATAGATTAGATTCATGACATTGGATAGACCTCTAAGGAAAGAAAACTTTATATAATAGAGTTCCTCTTCTCCAAACAATGTTGTTGTTGTTTTTGCTTTTAGAAAAACCCTACCATTTGCAGGGCCACGCTTATCCTTTGCAGGGCCTGGGGAAAGGGTACACGGGAAGGCCCACATGCCACATGCCTAAATATCTAAATGTGTTACATCACCCTAACAGATGTGGCACATTCACACTCCTTGCCCTAGCCTGGGCTACATCCAGCACAGAGAGGAGCTTCGTCGGCACACAGCTGAGGTCCAGCTCCTGCACAACCCCCAGGTCTAGGGATGCCCACCTCAATAACTTCTTTCGAATGACTATGAAAGACTGCCCCACGCTCCCCATCCAGGCTTGAGGCTATTTGCATTGGGAATTCAGGGTCCTCCATACCATGTGTGTTCTAGAAGGTGGAGGGGGCGTGCCCCCTTGGCCCATCAGAAACTTAACCACACGGGGTACAGCATGGTGAGAGGAGGGCCAGGTTAGGTGCCCACGGCAGGAGTCCTTGCCTGGGTTGATACTTGAGAGGATCACTTGAGCACAGGAGTTCGAGATCAGCCCGGGCAACATAAGCAGACCCTGTCTCAATGAAAAAACAGAAAAGATGATACTTTCATGAATCCTCTTTCTTTCTTTCTTTTTTCTTTCTGAGATGGAATCTTGCTCTGTTGCCCAGGCTGGAGTGCAGTGGCATGATCTCGGCTCACTGTGACCTCTGCCTCCCGGGTCCACGCGATTCTCCTGCCTCAGCCTCCTGAGTAGCTGAGACTACAGGCACCCACCACCATGCCCAGCTAATTTTTGTATTTTTAGTAGAGATGAGGTTTCACCACGTTGGCCAGGCTGGTCTCGAACTCCTGACCTTGTGATCTGCCCGCCTCGGCCTCCCAAACTGCTGGGATTACAGGTGTGAGCCACTGCACCCAGCCCAGGAATCATTTCTATAGTTCTTTACGAAGCAGTTTCTTTGAAAGTGGAAAGCACAAAGAAAAAAAAATTTTAAAGCTATATGGAACACAATATCTTTTCATAGAGTTTTCTTTTATCATTGAGTTATCTTTTATCATTTGACTTTCTAGTTTTTAGCATACTGACTTTCTTTTGTTGTGTTGTGTTGTATTTTGAGACAGAGTCTCACTCTGTTTCCCAGGCTGGAGTACAGTGGTGCAGTCTTGGCTCACTGCCGCCTCCACTTCCCAGCCTCAAGTGATCTTCCCGCGTCACTCCTGAGTAGCTGGGACTACAGGTGTGCGCCACCACACCCTACTAATTTTTGTATTTTTTGTAGAGATGATGTCTTGCCTTGTTGCACAGGCTGGTCTCGAACTCCTGAGCTCAAATGATCTGCTCGCCTCAGCCTCTGGAAGTGCTGGGATTACAGGCATATACCCCTGTGCCCATTCACATACTGACTTTCAAAGAACTCATAGACAAGGATTCTTACAAGGCTTCCTACTATATTGACTGCATCAGCTGAGGGGCTCACAAAGAATTGCCACCCCCAGCACACTTATTCACTCCAGGCTTTGGGGCTTTAGTGGGGCTTGAAGCCCCTAGCGCAGGGTCCTAGCCAGTACTTTTTATTAGATAAAGCAAATTATAGATGATCTCCTGACAAATGAAGAGTGCAGTTTTCCAAGGACATTTAAAATAGAAGTATAAGCTGGTCAGGGTGGCTTATGCCTATAATCCCAGCTACTCAGGAGGCTCAGGCAAAAAGACTGCTTGAGCCCAGGAGTTCGAGTCCAGCATGGGCAACAAAGCAAGACCCCCATCTCCAGAAAAAAAAAAAAAAAAGAAAGAAAGAAAAGAAAGGAAAATATAATTTTCTTCAGAGAAAAAGTCTCACTCTGTCACCCAGGCTGGAGTGCAGTGGTGTGATCTTGGCTGACTGCAACCTCCGCCTTCTGGTTTCGAGCAACTCTCGTGCCTCAGCCTCCTGAGTAGCTGGGGACTAAAGGTGCGCACCACTATGCCTGGCTAATTTTTGTATTTTTAGTAGAGATGGGGTTTTGACATGTTGGCCAGGCTGGTCTTGAGCTCCTAACCTCAACTGATCCACCACCTCGGCCTCCCAAAGTGCTGAGATTACAGGCATGAGATGCCATGTCCGGCCATTTTTCTTTTTTAAAATAATTTTTTAAATGAAAATATTATTAAATAAATGAACACCATGAATTTGCATGTCATCTTTGTGCAGGGCCATGCTAATCCTCTCTGTATTTTTCCAATTTTAGTATATGTGCTGCTGAAGCAAGCACAATTTTCATTTTTTTCAATTGATTTCAGCTTCTGCAGGAGGAAGTATAATTTTCTGATGGCTTCTAAAGAGGAACAGTTAGCAGTTATTGAGATATAATCATGTAAGGTGGTGTAGGATGGTGATGCCTACTCCAGTCTCCTTACCCAGGCTGAGTTCATATTTTTGTTAGAAGAAGCTGCAGGATGGAGAATTTGGGGTCTGGCTCAAGAACAGTGTGAGTACAGGTGATGATCACAGGGGAATACATTCCACACGGGGAGTTAGCAGTCCTGCCTCTACTCTACTTTGATGGCTGATTGAGAAGTCACTTACTTTGAGCCCATTTCCTCCTCTGTGGGGGAAAAAAAGGGTCAGCCTAGATAACTCAGAATATTTGTTGTAAAATTGACTGTCTCTGGGAGGGAGTGTGGGTGGGGCTACCCTGAGCCATCTGAACTCTCGGAAGTCCTTCAGAGTGAACACAGATCAGCTCTTGCTGTTCACTTACTCACATTTCATCTGTGGTGTCAGAGCCTCAGGGACCCAGCAGAACTGGGGAACATCCTCCAGTTACAGCATGTACTACCTGCAGCCTGATAACCATCACTGGGGTGGATTTCCAGCCTCAGATGTTCAGGTGCTCTTTTTGGAAACACACACTTCTCACGTTACTGCACCAAATATGGGTCCCCAAATGACAGCCATAGCGCATGTCGGGGAGAGCTGCAGTGGGTCAAGTGATGCCTTTAACCAACTGAACGCAGTTTTCGGTCCCTGAAAACTATTTGCTTCCTTATCAATCAACCTGAAGGGAATGATGGAGGTGACACTGGGAGTCTTGGTAGGTTTCCAGACTTTCATAAGTTCGGGAGAAATTATTGACTTAGCATAGATGTGAGCTCAAAGAAACATTTCCTAACAGCAATAAAAATAAGCATTAGAGTTGAACAATGGACTGTGACTGTTTCCCAAAATAGCTGTTTTCTTGAGTCCGCAGAACAACAGGTACTGTATTAATGGGGATACAGTATTTGTTTCACAGCGTTGTTGTGAAGATAAACGGGATACCCCAGATAAACAGCTTGTGTCCCCCCCATCTTAACAACCCTCCTTTAGGCTGGCGGGCCACCTGCTCAAAAGCCTTCCCCAGGGGGGTTAAAACCGTCTTTTAGTAGTTCTGGTACGGGTGGGCTGGGGGAGATCCTCTAAAGCCAGTGCGACCTTGACCCCAGCCAATGTCCAGGCTCTTGACACATCCAGAGAATGAGTTCAAGGACAACTCAGAAAATAGTGACAATATGCAGATTTATTGCAAAGGGAAAAGTACACACCCAGGAAAAGGGATTGTGGAGAGGGTCACTCACAACGGGGCTTGGGGCTGCTACCTTTATGGGTTTCTTTAACCAAGGGGTGAAATATTCATGAAAATTCCTGGAAAAGTGTGGAGATTTTTCGGGACTGTGGTGCCACCCATTTTTACTTCAAATATGGGTGTCCCCGGAATTGTCATGGCACTGGTGTGACTTAGGATGTTAAAGAGCGTATAATGGAGGCCTAGGAGAAACCTAGGTCAAATCCAGGACCACGTCGGGTCCAGCCGGTCTTAGCCAGCTTGGTACACACCCTGGTTTTCAGGGTCTTATCAGCCCATAGCCTCCAGTCAAGTGAAACTGCTGCCTGGTATTTTTTATTCTCCTCTGACCAGCCTGCATTACTCCTGTCCCATGTTCAACACGAAATAGGGCCTCAGGAAATATTTACCAAATGAATGAATGGTTGCCTGTTCTAATTTTGTTTAACCACACTCTTGTCCTAAGCTTCTATGATGATACCCAGGGCCCCCGAGTTGTGCCAGTTCCACTACGGCGTGGATGCAAGGCGAGCGGCAGGGGAGCAGGTAAAGGATGAGTAAGGGAAGCCGGCGGATCCGACGCATTAGAGAACAAGAAAAAGAAATCCTTAGAGACTGGGGGCCAACAAAGAGCCAGGCGCGGGCGAACCCACCAGGGGGGCCCCGGAGCCCCACATCCGCCGCTGGGACGACCTCCCCGCCCAGCATGGTCCGGGGCGCGGACCCGGCCCCGCGCCAGGCGCCCCCGGCCCCGCACCCGGCGCCCTCCGCAGCTCCCGCCCCCGGGGCGGTGCCGGGAAAACGCGGCGCCTCCGCCGGTCACGTGGGGGCCGCTCCGGCGGGCGGCGCTGCCGCTTCCCAATCGCGCCCTCCCAGCGCCGGGGACGCGGCGCCCGCGCTCCCGCCCGAGCCCGGGGAAACGGAGACAAGGAGGCGCCGCCGCCCCCTCCCCGCGGCTGCGCCCCAGCCCTGCGCCCGCAGCATGCCCGCCGCCGGGCCGAGCGCCGCCCTCCCCCAGGAGCTCGAGGAGGCGACGCCGCTGCCGGCCGCGGGACCGCGGCTGCGAGGGTAGCGGGGCCGGAGCCGGGCCCCCCGAGGCGCCGCGCGGCGGGCGGAGAGGGAGGAGGAGCAGGCATCCTCCGCGGCGCGCGGGCGGCGGCCCTGCTGCCCGGCGCGCCCATGGCCCGGCCGCAGGGAGAATGCAAGCTGCTCTCCACGCGCTCGGCGTCCCCCGGAGCCGCTCGCGTCGCCGCCGCCCCCTAGCCGCCAGCGCTCGGCCGCTGGCTGCGCTAGGACCCGCGGCCGCCGGCCGCCGAGCGCGGGAGGGCAGGCAGGGGCAGGAGCCGGAGGGCCCGGGGCGCGGCGCGGCATGTAGCTGCGGGCTCCCGCGTCCGCGTGAGGCTGTCGGCCCGGGGCCCCGCCATGGCTGGGATGGACAGTGGCAACCTGAAGACCGCGAGGCTGTGGCGGGACGCCGCCCTGCGTGCCAGGAAGCTGCGGAGCAACCTGCGCCAGCTCACGCTTACCGCCGCCGGGGCCTGCCCCGGGGCCGGGGCCGACGCGCTCGAGTCCCCCGCCTCCCCCCAGCTCGTGCTGCCGGCCAACCTCGGGGACATTGAGGCACTGAACCTGGGGAACAACGGCCTGGAGGAGGTACCCGAGGGGCTGGGGTCGGCGCTGGGCAGCCTGCGCGTCCTGGTCCTGCGCAGGAACCGCTTCGCCCGGCTGCCCCCGGCGGTGGCCGAGCTCGGCCACCACCTCACCGAGCTGGACGTGAGCCACAACCGGCTGACCGCCCTGGGCGCGGAGGTGGTGAGTGCTCTGAGGGAGCTGCGGAAGCTCAACCTCAGCCACAACCAGCTGCCCGCCCTGCCCGCCCAGCTGGGCGCTCTCGCTCACCTGGAGGAGCTGGATGTCAGCTTTAACCGGCTGGCGCACCTGCCTGACTCCCTCTCCTGCCTCTCCCGCCTGCGCACCCTGGACGTGGATCACAACCAGCTCACTGCCTTCCCCCGGCAGCTGCTGCAGCTGGTGGCCCTGGAGGAGCTGGACGTGTCCAGCAACCGGCTGCGGGGCCTGCCTGAGGATATCAGTGCCCTGCGTGCCCTCAAGATCCTCTGGCTGAGTGGGGCCGAGCTTGGCACGCTGCCCGCCGGCTTCTGCGAGCTGGCCAGTTTGGAGAGCCTCATGCTAGACAACAACGGGCTGCAGGCTCTGCCCGCCCAGTTCAGCTGCCTGCAGCGGCTCAAAATGCTCAACCTCTCCTCCAACCTCTTCGAGGAGTTCCCTGCCGCGCTGCTGCCCCTGGCTGGTCTGGAGGAGCTCTACCTTAGTCGCAACCAGCTCACCTCGGTGCCATCCCTTATCTCGGGCCTGGGCCGGCTTCTCACCTTGTGGCTGGATAATAACCGCATCCGCTACCTGCCGGACTCCATCGTGGAGCTGACCGGCCTGGAGGAGCTCGTGCTGCAGGGGAACCAGATCGCGGTGCTGCCCGACCACTTTGGCCAGCTCTCCCGGGTGGGTTTGTGGAAGATCAAAGACAACCCACTGATCCAGCCCCCCTACGAGGTCTGCATGAAGGGGATCCCCTACATCGCAGCCTACCAGAAGGAACTGGCTCATTCCCAGCCGGCGGTGCAGCCCCGGCTCAAGCTGCTCCTGATGGGGCATAAGGCTGCAGGAAAGACTTTGCTGCGCCACTGCCTCACCGAGGAGAGAGTGGAGGGATGCCCAGGAGGAGGGGACAAGGAGAAGTGCTACCCACCGTCACCTCCCCCTGTGAGCAAGGGCATCGAGGTGACCAGCTGGACGGCCGATGCCTCCCGGGGCCTGCGGTTCATCGTGTATGACTTAGCTGGGGATGAAAGTTATGAGGTGATCCAGCCCTTCTTCCTGTCCCCAGGGGCCCTATACGTGCTGGTGGTCAACTTGGCCACCTATGAGCCTCGCCACTTTCCTACCACCGTGGGCTCCTTCTTGCATCGGGTCGGGGCGAGAGTGCCCCACGCGGTGGTGTGCATCGTGGGCACCCACGCAGACCTGTGCGGAGAGCGTGAGCTGGAGGAGAAATGTCTGGACATTCACCGCCAGATCGCCCTGCAGGAGAAGCACGACGCGGAGGGACTGAGCCGCTTGGCCAAGGTGGTGGACGAGGCACTGGCCCGGGACTTCGAGCTGCGCTCTGCCAGCCCCCACGCAGCCTACTATGGCGTTTCGGACAAGAACCTTCGACGGCGCAAGGCCCATTTTCAATACCTGCTCAACCACCGGCTGCAGATCCTCTCCCCCGTGTTGCCTGTTAGCTGCAGGGACCCGCGCCACTTACGACGCCTTCGGGACAAGTTGCTGTCAGTTGCTGAGCACCGAGAGATCTTCCCCAACTTACACAGAGTACTGCCTCGATCCTGGCAGGTGCTGGAGGAACTGCATTTCCAGCCACCTCAGGCCCAGCGACTGTGGCTAAGCTGGTGGGACTCGGCGCGCTTGGGCCTGCAGGCGGGTCTGACCGAGGACCGACTGCAGAGTGCCCTCTCCTACCTGCATGAGAGCGGCAAGCTACTCTACTTTGAGGACAGTCCGGCTCTCAAGGAGCACGTCTTCCACAACCTCACCCGCCTCATCGACATCCTCAATGTCTTCTTCCAGAGGGATCCCTCTTTGCTGCTGCATAAGCTGCTCCTAGGGACCAGTGGAGAGGGCAAGGCGGAGGGGGAAAGCTCCCCGCCCATGGCGCGGTCCACCCCCAGCCAGGAACTGCTCCGGGCCACCCAGCTCCATCAGTATGTGGAGGGCTTTCTGTTGCATGGGCTCTTGCCAGCTCATGTCATTCGGTTGCTGCTTAAGCCTCATGTCCAGGCCCAGCAGGACTTGCAGCTGTTGCTGGAGCTGCTGGAGAAGATGGGACTCTGTTACTGCCTCAATAAACCCAAGGGCAAGCCTTTGAATGGGTCCACAGCTTGGTACAAGTTCCCATGCTATGTGCAGAACGAGGTGCCCCATGCAGAAGCCTGGATTAATGGGACCAACCTAGCTGGGCAGTCTTTTGTGGCTGAGCAGTTGCAGATTGAATATAGCTTTCCTTTTACTTTTCCACTTGGGTTGTTTGCACGCTACAGTGTCCAGATCAACAGCCATGTGGTGCACAGGTCGGATGGTAAATTTCAGATCTTTGCCTATAGAGGGAAAGTTCCTGTGGTTGTGAGTTACAGACCTGCCAGGGGAGTCCTGCAGCCAGACACCCTGTCCATTGCTAGCCATGCATCATTACCAAATATATGGACCGCATGGCAAGCCATAACCCCCTTGGTGGAGGAACTGAATGTCCTACTTCAGGAATGGCCTGGACTGCACTACACCGTGCACATTCTCTGTTCTAAGTGCCTTAAGAGAGGATCGCCCAATCCACATGCTTTTCCAGGTAAGTGGAGAGAGGGAGAAGTTCTTCTGTGGTATGCTGTAAGATATGTTTTTGGAGATACTTGGTTGTCATTTGGCAGAATGTTTGTTTAACTTCACGGGTTCTCCAGGAAAGCTTCGTAAGGGAAACACAGGGAGATTTGGAGATGAGCAAAAGGTAGTAAGTACCTGAGCCTTATGAAATGCAGTCACAAGTGTCATCCTCTCCTAACAGACTCAGACTTCCAAAATGGGTTCCAGTCACAACATTTGCCATCTCCTTTCCCCTCTTGTCGATGTAGCCCACATTTGGTGGAAGGAAATTTCAGGTGGTTGAACAGATAGATTCTGGACAGTGTCCGATGTTAGCCTCTTACTGATCGTTGGCTAAAGTGTTCATTAGACACGTCTCAAAGGGGTAGATGAGTTTGAGTTTCAAGTGTCCAGTGTCACAATTTTTTAAAAAACTTAAATTTTCGTGAGTACATAGGTTTGTATATTTGTGGGGTGCATGAGATGTTTTGATACAGGCATGCAATGCATAGAAATCAGATTGTAAAATGCGGTATCCATCCCCTCAAGCATTTAAGCACTCTGCTTACATTCAGAATGTAATTAGAAAGTAAAAATTACTGCTCACTTTTCTTAAGAAATTCCAGAGAAAATCTTTTGTAATTGGAGTGAACAATGGATGAGTAAAGACAGAAATTTCAGACTGTAATGCATGACTAAATCCTGGGGCTGCTGCTCCCCTCCGCCCACTCAGGGACATGGAAGATAGATGACTGAAATCTTTGAGGGGCGTTTCCTCGGGAATTTCCTGGCAGTTTCGAGTTTTATAGACGTCTTAAGGTTTGTTTTTTGGTAAGTGTTAAGCAAATGAAGCTTTCTGGCAGTGCTTAATAATTGAGACGGAAGGGACAGAAAGCTAAGAGTTTTCTGGAGAGTGTTTTCCAGTAGACTTTTTTTTCGTTTTCTTTTTTTAAACCATCATAAGCAAGTGGAAGAATTCCAGGACTAGTTGTCTGGGGTTTTTTGTTTTTTTTTTTTTTGAAGACTTTTTTTTTTTTCTTAGAGCAGTTTTAAGTTTATAGCAAAACTGAACAGAAGGTACAGAGATTTCCCATATATCCCCTTCCCCACATGCGTAGCTTCACCAACGTCAACATCTCCCACCAGAGCAGTACATTTGTTTCAGTTGATAAACCTGCAGTGACACATCAGTACCAGCCAAAGGTCATAGTTTACACAGGGTTTACTCTGTGTTGGGCATTCTGTGGGTTTGGACAAATGTCCAATGACCTGTATCCCCCATTATAGTATCATACAGAGTAGTTCTACTGCTTTAAAAATCCTCTGTGCTCTGCCAATTCATTCCCCCCAACCCCGGCAACCACAGATCTTTTTACTGTCTCCATAAGTTTTGCGTTTTACTTATATGGGATTTTTTTCTTTTGAGCCTGGTTAATTGGTATCAAACTAGTTTTTAGTTGGGAACGTGTCCATTTCCTCATCCTTTGTAGTTCTTTAAACAACTGTTTTTGTGTGTGTGTGTGTGTGTGTGTTTTGTTTTTTGTTTTTTTGTGGAGCAGGTGGTTAACAACATTCCAAGTGTCCTAAGCACAAACCAGACAGAACAATAGCATCCTTGCACGTTTCTCACCTGGGTCCCCACCCCCAGGGGACCCGGAGGGGTGATGAAATGGAAGACTGCGTCCCACTCTGATCTTTGTCCTGGTCAGAGAGGGACAACAAGAATGCAGCTGGTAATAGTATCAGGAAGGAATTGAATACCAATATTTCCGAAGGTGACATCTTTCCGTTGCCCTGGATCTAGGTTGAATTTAATTCTTAAGCATGAAAAAAGCCAGCGTATTCAGTTACCAGTCAACTGAGACATCCATTCTGTATGTTTATCTGGAATCTTGTCACACTCCATGACTTGGTAGACTCTTCAGTTTGTTTTATATTTGTCATTGTGTGTTATTCATGGAAGCAAGATACTTCTTTATTGTGATACCAAATGGAATAAAGTGACTGGGAGTTACGCATTTACAGGGTAGTTTACTGAAGGAGCAACCTGAAGCCATTCTTAATCCAAAGTAATAAAAACGAATGTTATTAACAACAAAAGGAGAGACATAGGTTATTGAGCAAGTAAAGATCTTCTAAGAACTTTGAGGAGTTAGGGGCGAGGCTGGAGGTTTTTTTTTTTTTTTTTTTGTTTTTTTTGCTAACGTCAGCTCTTTATGTTTAATTTTTACCAGTCATAAATTCCACAGACAAGCTTGTACTGAGATGCAGAAACAAGCCCCTTGTCTTGTGTTGTCTATTTGCCTTTCAAATGAGGCACACCTGGTTTTGCAATCCAGGCTATAAGGAAGAGATTTTTTTTCAATGTGGAAAACAAATGATTGAAAAATTGTAAAATTATCTTATAGATTGAATAGGAATAAATCATCAGTTGTTTTTAGAGCACGATTATAAAATATATACATATACATATAATTATAAAATATGTACATATAAAATATATATGTATATATACACCAACGTACATATTTTTGTCTTATAGTCTTTTTGTTTTTTTTTGAATTGTGTTGTTTTTCAAAAGTAGCAGAGGGTATAGAATAGTAGAAAACATGATTATAGTACATTTCTCGTTACATTAAGAAGATGCAAAAAACATTTTCCTCTTCTGTATTTTTCTGTGATAGCCATCATTTGTTAGTAATTGTTACAGTTACGAAAGATTTGGTAAAAGTTAAAATAATGAGTTAGAAATAAAAGCTAAATGTGGGAACAGAATTATGTTGAGTGTTTAAGTAGAGCATACATTAAAAATAGATTCATTGAATCCCTAGATTATTAAAATATATATTAATTCAGCAGAAACCCTTTGAATCTATTGGCAGCCTTTGCCTTTTCATGTTTTTTTGTTTGTTTGTTTGTTTTTGAGATGGAGTCTTGCTCTGTTGCCCAGGCTGGAGTGCAGTGGAGTGATCTTGACTCACTGCAACCTCTGCCTCCTGGATTCAAGCGATTCTCCTGCCTCAGCCTCCCAAGTAGCTGGAATTAGAGGCATGCGCCACCACACCTGGCTAATTTTTGTATTTTTAGTAGAGGCGGGGGTTTCGCCAGGTTGGCCAGGCTGGTCTTGAACTCCTGACCTCAGATGATCCACCCACCTCAGTCTCGCAAAGTGCTGGGATTATAAGCGTGAGCCACTAGGCTTGGCCACCTTTGTCTTTTTAAGAAGTCATTTTGCTTCTGGGGACATTAAAAATTGTTTACTTTTATGTTTTATAAAAGCGTTAAGTTGTCCTATAAACTATAACAATTTTATATGCAACGCTGAAAAAGTTGGACTTTGAATTTTCTTAACTTTGGGATGTTACAGTAAAAGTAAATAGTAAATTACTGTCTCTCTTGATTTTATACAGAAAAAATGTATAAAGTTGCACTAATATCTTTTAAAGTATTTTTATGTGAAAAGCCTATTTTGGCCTTGTCCTGTTGGATTTTCTGGCCTGAGCTGCCCTACTGTAGTTGACCACGGGAAGTATAATGGTAAATTTCTCTTTTCTTATTTTGGTTTATACAAGAAAAGTAATGGGCAGCGTGCAGTGGCTCAGGGCTGTAATCCCTTTGCTTTGGGAGGCTGAGGCAGGAGGATCACTTGGGTCAAGGAGTTCGAGACCAGCCTGAGTAATGTAGCCAGACTCCGTGTCTACAAAAAAAAATAAAAAATAAAAATCAGCTAAGCGTGCACACTTGTGGTCCCAGCTAGTTGGGGGGCTGAGGTGGGACAATCACTTGAGCATGGGAGTTTGAGGTTGCAGTGAACTATGATTGTGCCATTGCACTCTGACCCTGTCTCTTAAAAAAAAAAAAAGAAATGATTGGAAAATGCACATCCAGCAATCACTAGTTTCATAGTTTTTTGTAAAAATAAATCACATTGTCAGAGAGAAGACCTATTTGTCTTATTTAAAATAGGTAATCTGACAACGTGATTATCTTTTTAAGACATCTTATTTAAGACAAATGGGTTGAGTGACAGGAGATTCTTTTGGAAACTCGGAGATGGCCTATGATGAAGCCTAAATGTCACTGTGAAAGTCTTGACCTGCTTTCTCCATCCTGGCCAACATCCTAGCCTGGTCAACCTGGTGAAACCCCATCTCTACAAAAAATACAAAAAAATTAGCTGGGCATGGTGGCTCATGCCTGTAATCCCAGCTCCTGGGAAGAATGAGGCACGAGAATCCCTTGAACTTGGGAGGCGGAGGTTGCAGTGAGCTGAGATTGTGCCACTGCGCTCCAGCCTGGGCGACAGGGCAAGACCCTGGCTCCGAAAAGAAAGTCTTTACCTGCTTCCTGCAGGTACCCTTTCTTTTTTGCAGACTTGCTGCCCATAGCTGGTAGCCAGGATTCCCTTCCTTTTGCTGTTTTCCTTCTCATTGGTTGGTCCTGTATACTTGTCTTAGAGCAAGTTTCTTCTTGTGGGATATTTGTTTATGCTTTTATTCTGTTCTACCAGTATGACCTCTAAACTCAAAGAGTTGGTACTCTTGAAGTTGAGTGAGGGTACATTAAGATGTGGTGGTTAGGACACGGGCCTGCAGCAAGATTCAAGTGCTTTGATATTCCTTTTAAGCAGATGAGTGAATACTGTGTTTTTGAATTGGAAGAGTGTGTCTTAGTGAGTTAAACTTGCATTGACTGCAGATTTTCACTAAATATCCTACTCTCCAAATTATTTAAGGTCATTTTAAAAAATAAGGAGAAAGCAACCCAAATCAGTAGACAGAATGAGTTATGTGGCTTTCTTTAGCTTTACTGTCTTTCATTTACTCAGTAACTTGATGCCTTTTTGTATCTCATGCCAAATGTCTTCTGTCCCTCAGTTTCTTGCACACGGAGTGTACCTCTCCGACAACACAGCATATTTGACTTGTTTTGTTGGTGTTTGGTTGCGTCATGATATATCTTTGATTAGGTTGTTCACTTGCTGCTTCTGAGCCAGAG